>NC_000011.10:103536060-103839091 GCF_000001405.40 Homo sapiens | reverse complement strand
CTTTTTGGCCTAGTATGTGATAAATTTGTGAAAATGTTCCTTGCATGTCAAAAAGAATTATCCAGAATTATCCAATAATTGGATAAATGTTCTTAATATGTTTATTAGGACATTCATGTTCATTGTGTTTACAATTTCTATAACATTGCTAGTTTTGATCTGCTTTTCATGTCAATACCTGAGATAGGTCTGTTTAAATTTCTTACTATAATGGTAGATTTGTTACAATTTCATTGTAGCCTGTACATTTTTGCTTTATATATGCTGAATAAA
Source organism: Homo sapiens (assembly GCF_000001405.40). Taxonomy (NCBI): domain Eukaryota; kingdom Metazoa; phylum Chordata; class Mammalia; order Primates; family Hominidae; genus Homo; species Homo sapiens. Next base: position 103,838,818 of record NC_000011.10, on the reverse strand, counting down.
TGTTAATATGTGCCCATATAAGCTTAAACATTATAATTACTTTATCTTCCTGGAAAATTGTAATTTTCATCAATATGTGCTCACCCCCTTTTTATCTGGTAACTATTTTGACCTTGAAGTCTATGACCAGCAAGAGAAGCTTTCCTTAGCTTAGGGTTTCCAGTTGTCTTCATTTATTTTGTGCTGCTATAACAGGATAGCACAGAATGTATAATTTTTTAAACAATTATTTTAGATTCAGTGGTATATGTGCAGGTATGTTATATAGGTAAATTGTGTGACACAGGGGTTTGCTAAATACATTATTTCATCACCCATTTAATAAGCATAGTACCTGATAACTAGTTTCTTTACCTCCTCTCTCTTCCCACCATACATCCTCAAGCAGGCCCAGGTGTCTGTTGTTCCCCTGTTTGTGTCCATGTGTGCTCAATGTTTAACTCCCACTTATAACTCAGAACATGAAGTACTTTATTGTCTCTTCCTCTGTTAGTTCACATAGAATAATGGCCTCCAGATCCATCCATGCAGCCGCAAAGGACATGATCTCATTCTTTTTCTCTGCCTGTGTAGTATTCCATGGTGTATATGTACCACATTTTCTGTATCCAGTCTACCATTGACGGGCATTTAGGTTGATTCCATGTCTTTGCTCTTATGAGTAGTGCTATGATGAACATATACATATGTGTGTCCTTATGGTATTAACAGAATGATTTATATTCCTTTGGGTATATACCCAATAATGGGATTTCCGGGTGGAAGAGTAATTCTGTTTTAAGCTCTCTGGAAAACTGCTACCCTACTTTCCACAGTGGCTGAACTAGTTTATATTCCCACTATCAGTGTATAAGCATGCCTTTTTCTACACAATCTTGCCAGCATCTGGGTTTTTTTTTTTTTGACTTTTTAATAATAACCATTCTGGCTGGTGTGAGATTGTATCTCATTTTGGTTTTGATTTCCATTTCTGTGATAAATGATGTTGAACATTTTTTTATGCTTATTGGCCATGTATATATCTTCTTTTGAAAATGTTTGTTCATGTCCTTTGCCCACTTTTTTTTTATTATTTAAGTTTTAGGGTACATGTGCACAATGTGCAGGTTAGTTACATATGTATACGTGTGCCATGCTGGTGCACTGCACCCACTAACTCGTCATCTAGCATTAGGTATATCTCCTTTGCCCACTTTTCAGTGGGATTTTTTGTTTTTGCTTCTTCATTTGTTTAAGTTCCTTATAGATGCTGGATATTAGACCTTTGTAGAATATATGGTTTGCAAATATTTTCTTCCATTCTGTAGGTTGTCTGTTTACTCTGTTAATAGTTTCCTTTGCTTGCAGAAGCTTTTTAGTTTAATTAGGTCCTATTTGTCAATTTTTGGTTTTGTTGCAATTTGTTTTGTCATCTTTGTCATGAAATCTTTGCCAGGACCTCTATCCAGAATGGTATCTCCTGGATTATCTTCCAGGGTTTATATAGTTTTGAGTTTTACATTTAAGTCTTTAATCCATCTTGAGTTGATTTTTATATATGGTGTAACAAAGAGGTCCAGTTTTAGTCTCTGCATATGGTTAGCCAGTTATCCCAGCACCATCTATTGAATAGTCTAATATGGTTAGGCTTTGTGTCCCCACCCAAATCTCATTTTGAATTGTAATCCTCATAATCCCCACATGTCAAGGGAGAGACCTGGTGGGAAGTGATTAGATTATGGGGGTGGTGTCCCCCATGCTGTTCTCATGATAGCAAGTGAGTTCTCATGAGATCTGATGGTTTTATAAGTGTCTGACAGTTCCTCCTTCACACACTCGCTCTCTTGCCTGCTGCCATGTAAGATGTGCCTCTTCCCTTTCCACCATGATTGTAAATTTCCTGATACCTCCCCAGCGATGAGGAACTGTGAGTCAGTTAAACCTACTTTTTAAATAAATTATGCAGTCTTGGGTATGTCTTTATAGCAGTGTGAAAATGAACTAATACAGAGTCTTTTCTCCATTACTTGTTTTGTCAACTTTGTCGAACATCAGATAGTTGTGACATTATTTGTGGATCTGTGAAGATGAGGGGTGTGGCATTATTTGTGGACTCTGTATTCTATTTCATTGGTCTGTGTATTTGCTTTTGTACCAGTACCATGCTATTTCTATTACTGTACTCCTGTGGTACAGTAATACCTTCTGTACTCCTGTGGTACAGATTGAAGTCAGGTAATGTGATGCCTCCTGCTTTGTTCTTTTTGGTTAGGATTGCCTTTGATATTCAGGCTCTTTTTTGGTTCCATATGAATTTTAAAAGAGTTTTTTCTTTTCTTTTTTGTTTTCTTTTTTTTTTTTTTTTTTTTTTTGAGACAGAGTCTTGCTCTGTCACCCAGGCTGGAGTGCAGTGGCGTGATCTCGGCTCACTGCAAGCTCCGCCTCATGGATTCACGCCATTCTGCTGCCTCAGCCTCCCGAGTAGCTGGGACTACAGGCACCCACCATCACGCCCGGCTGATTTATTTTTTTTAGTAGAGACAAGGTTTCACTGTGTTAGCCAGGATGGTCTTGATCTCCTGATTTCGTGATCTGCCCGCCTCAGCCTCCCAAAGTAAAAGAGTTTTTTCTATTTCTGTGAAGAGTGTCATTGGTAGTTTGACAGGAAGAGCATCAAAGCTATGAATTTCTTTGTTCAGTATGGCCATTTTAACAATATTGATTCTTCCTATCCTTATGAGCATGGAATGTTTTTCCATTTGTTGGTGTCTTCTCTGATTTCTTTGAGAAGTGATTTGCAATTCTTGTTATACAGATCCTTTTGCCTCCTACTTAGCTGTATTCCTAGGTATTTTATTTTATTTGTGGCTATTGTGAATGGGATTGTGTTCTTGATTTGGCTCTCAGCTTGGATATTGTTGGTGTATTGAAATGCTACTGATTTTTGTGCATTGATTTTGTATCCTGAAACTTTGCTGAAGTTGTTTATCAGATTACGGAGCTTTTTGGCAGAGACCATGGGGTTTTTTAGGTATAAAATCATATTTTCTGCAAACAGAAATAGTTTCACTTCCTCTCGTCCTATTTGGATGCCTTTTTTATTTCTTCTCTTGCCTGAAGTTGTTTATCAGGTCAAGGAACTTTTGGGCAGAGACCACAGGGTTTTCTATGCGACTCATACTGTCTGCAAACGGGGATATTTTGACTTCCTCTCTTTCTATTTGGATGCCTTTTTAAATTTCTTCTCTTGCCTGATTGCCAGGACTTGTAGTACTATATTGAATAGGAGTGGTGAGAAAGCCATCTTGTCTTGTTCAGGTTCTCAAGGGAAATGCTTCCAGCTTTTGTTTATTCAGTATCATCATGTTGTCTGTAGGTATGTCATAGATGGATCTTATTATTTTGAGGTGTGTTCCTAGGATGGCTACTTTGTTGAGGGATTTTTAACATGAAGGAATTTTGAATATTATCAAAAGCCTTTTATGCATCTATTGAGATGATCCAGTGTGTTTTGCTTTAGTTCTGTTTAGATGATGAATCACATTTATCAATTTATTTATGTTGAACCAAACTTGCATCCCAGGGATAAAGCCTACTTGTTGATCATAGTACATTAGCTGCTGGATTCAGAATGCTAGTATTTTATTGTGGATTTTTGCCATTATCTTCATCAGAAATATTGGCCTGAAGTTTTATTTTTATTTTTTGTATTTCTGCCAGGTTTGGGTATCAGGATGATGCTGACCTCATAGAATGAGCTCAGGACCAGTCCCTCCTCAATTTTTTGGAATAGCTTCTGTAGGAATGGTACCAGCTCTTCTTTGTACATGGGGTAGAATTTGGCTATGAATACATCTGATCCTGGGCTTTTTCTGGTTGGTAGGGGTTTTTTTAATATCTAATTAAATTTTAAAACTCATTGTTGGTCTGTTTAGTTTCCATTTTTTCCTGATTTAATATTGAGAGGTTGTATGTTTCCAGGAATTTATCCATTTCTTTTAGGATTTCTAGTTTGTGTGCACAGAGGTGTTCATAGTAGTCTATGGGTTTTTTTTTTTTTTTTTGTATTTCTGTGGGGTTAGTGGTCATGTCCCATTTGTCATTTCTGATTGTGTTTATTTGGACATTCCCTCTTTTTTTCTTTATTAGTCTTGACAGTGGTTTATCATTGTTACCTATGCTTTCAAAGAACAAGCTCCTGAATTTGTTGATGTTTTGTATGTTTTTTTTTTTTTTTTATCTCAACTTCATTCAGTTCAGCTCTGATTTGGGTTATTTCTTGTCTTCTGCTGGCTTTGGGGTTGGTTTGCTCTTGTTTATTTTTCTTTAGTTACTCTAGGTGTAATGTTAGGTTGTTAATTTAATATTTTTCTAAATTTTTGATGTAGGCTTTTAGTCCTATAAACTTTCCTCTTAACATTGCTTTAGCTGTGTCTGAGAGAATCTGGTATGTTTTAGCTTTGTTCTAATTTGTTTCAAAAACTTCTTGACTTTTGCCTTAATGTCATCATTTACCCAAATGTCATTCAGAAGCTGGTCGTTTAATTTTCATATCACTTTATGGTTTTGAGCAATCTTCTTAGTATTGATTTCGATTTCTGGGGGGGGCTGTGGTCCAGGAGTGTAGTTGGTATAATTATGGACTTTGTGAACATGCTGACAATTGTATTATAACCAACTGTGTGGCTAATTTTAGAGTGTGTGCCATGTGCAGATGAGAAGAATGTATATTCTGTTGTTTTGAGGTGGAGAGTGCTGTAGATATCCTTTAGGCTCATTTGGTCAAGTGTTGAGGTCAGGTCCTGAATATCTTTGTCAGTTTTCTACTTTGACGATCTTTCTAATACATTCAGTAGGATGTTAAGTCTCCCACTGTTATTGTGTGGCCATCTAAGTCTCTGTGTAAGTCCTTGAAAATTTGATTTATGAATCTGGGTGCTTCTGTTTTGGGTGCATATATATTAAGGATAGTTAGGTCTTCTTGTTGAATTGAGCCCTTTACCATTATGAAACGCTGTTCTTTTTTTTATTGCTGTTGGTTTAAAGTCTGTTTTGTTTGAAATTAGAATAGCAACTCCTGCTTTTTTCTGTTTTCTATTTCTTTGGTAGGATTTTTCTATCCCTTTACTTTGAGCATATGGGTGTCATTGTATGAGAGATGATTCTCTTGAAGACAGCGTGCAGTTGAGTCTTGCCTCTTTATCCAACTTGCCACTCTGTGCCTTTTAACTGCAGCATTTAGCCCATTTGTCTTCAAGGTTAATGTTGATATGTGCAAATTTGATCCTGTCACCATGTTGTTAGCTGGTTATTTAGCAGGCTTAATTGTGTGATTGCTTTACAGTGGCAATGGTCTATATACTTAAGTGTGTTTATGTGGTGGCTGGTAATGGTCTTTACTTTCCATATTTAGCATTCCCTTTTGTAAGGCAGGTCTGGTGGTAACAAATTCCCTTAGCATTTGTTTATCTGGAAAGAATCTTATTTCTCCTTTGCTTATAAAGCTTAGTTTAGATGGATATAAAATTCTTGGTTGAAATTTTTTTTTTCTTATAGAATGCTGAATATGGGTCCTTGATTTCTTCTGGCTTGTAGGATTTCTGCTGAAAAGTTTGCTGTTAGCTGATAGGATTCCCTTTTTAAGTGATGTGCCTCTTCTGTCTAGATGGCTTTAATATTTTTTTCTTTTATTTTGACCTTGGAGAGTCTGATGACTATGTCTCTTGGGGATGTTCGTATTGTATAGTATCTTGCAGAAGTTCTCTGCATTTTCTGAACTTGAATCTTGGTCTCACTAGCGAGGTTGGGGAAATTTTTGTGGACAAGATCCTCAAATATGTTTTCCACGTTGCTTGGTTTCTGTCCCTCTCTTTCAGGGATGCTGATGAGTCATAGATTTGGTCTCTTTACATAATCCCATATTGCTTAGAGGTTTTGTTTATTCTTCTTTCTTTTCTTTCTTTTTTTGTCATACTGAATTACTTTGCAAAACTAGTGTTTGAGCTCTGAGATTCTTTCCTCAACTTGGTCAATTCTGCTATTGGTACTTGCAATTATATTATAAAATTCTTGAAATGAGAGTTTTAGCTCTACCAGATCAGTTTCATTCTTTCTTAAAACAGCCATTTTATCTTTTATCTCCTATATCATTTCATTGTATCCCTTAGACTGGGTTTCAGCTTTCTCCTTTATGTCAATGATCTTTATTTCTATTCATCTTCTGAATTATATTTCTGTCATTTCAGCCATTTTAGCCTGGTTAAGAACCATTGCTGGGGAACTATTGCGGTGTTTGGAGGTAAGAAGACATTCTGGCTTTTCAAGTTGCCAGAGTGCTTGCCCTAGGTCTTTCTTACCTGTGTGTGCAGATGTTCCTTCAATCTTTGAAGTTACTGTCCTTTGGATGAGGTTCCTTGCTTTTGTCTTCTTTGATACCCTTGGAAGTTTGATTGTCGTAGAAGGTGGGCTTGGTCAACTGAGTTGATGTCTGAAAGATTTTAGGAGACCAAAGCTCAGCTCAGCACTCCTGGTCTGCATTCTTTAACACAGGGCCTGGTACCAGGACCCTGGTTTTGTTCTCTTGTCCCTTGAGGTTTGGAACCAGCTGTGCTGGATGGGCTGAGATATTCCTGGTCCACTGGCCACAGCACTCTGATGGGTGCTACTGGCCAGAGTGCTTCACTGGGGTGGTGGCATCAGGATCCTTGCTCACTTTTGCATGCCAGCAACCATGGCAGTGTGGCAGGGTGCACATACATTGGCTGGGGTGGGGTAAACCAGTGGAAACAGGGCTGTGGCATTCCTGCACATTCTCATGCCAGCACTGGGGCACAGTCAGGGGCAGGTTTGCTGGTGTCTGTATTTGCACTCACACTGGCAGCAGCAGTGCAGTGGGGGTACTGGTGGGCATGGGGATTACTGGCCTCCATGTGCACATTCATGGTGGTCACAGCACGGGGTTGGGCAAGGTTACTGGTGTTCATGTGTGTGTTTACAATGGTGGTGGTGTCATCATGGGGGGAGCAGAGCCACTGGCATCTATGCACTTATTCACTCTGGTGGCAATGGCTTCAGGGGATGGGGGCAAGATTGATGGCATCTGTCTGTGTGTTCATGCTGGCATTGGCAGTGTGGCTGGGTGCCCGCGTGCCAGAATAGGTGTTTGGGGTGGCAACAGGTTGAACTCACACCAGCAGAAGTGGCACAGCAGGGTAATCATGCACATACTCCCTGGCATAGGACAAAGGTGAGGCTCACCCACGTGCAGGCATGCCAGCAAAGCAGTAGGGGGTTGGCCATGGGTGAGTACATGCCAGCAAAGCAGCATAGGAAAGATTGGGAGAGGGTGTGAGTGAGTCACTGCATGTCAGCTGGGACCAATCTGCTGGAGCTCTTAGATGGTCAGTTGTGGTCTGCAGGTAAAGAAGCTATGATGAGGGCCCCTGTGAAGCACCCTGGTTGGGCATCTAAGGCTGTCCCGCCAGTGGGCATGGCCAGGTCTGGGGCCCTAGGAGAGGCCAGTGGACAGGGGTGTGCTCAGATTGGACTGGTCCCGTCTCAAAGCCAAGACCACCCTACTCTCTCCAGGTTCAGCAGTCCCCCAATATCTAAAGTCTCCTAGAGGAATCTGGCAGGCCTTGGGTGAAGGGTATCCCTGGCTGTGCCCCACTAGAGATATTCCTGCACCAAACCCATGCAGTCTTGGGTCCTGCTCCTCCTACTTCTCTAAGCAGCTCTTCCTGCCAACTTAAGTGTCCATAGGTGTTGTGGAGTTTTCTGTTGCCCAGAGGTACATGGTGAGATCAGGCTACTCCTCACCTGTCCACCTCACCTTTTCCCCAGGAGTTCCTGGGAACCAAGAAAAAGTCCTGATGGTAGGTAGCCTGGTGCAGGGTTGTCAGCTTCCTCTCCCTTCAGCTCACATCTTCATCCTTCCTCCATTCATTTTCAATGTGGATAACTTACAATGAACAGAAATTTATTTGGCTCATGATTCTGGAGGCTGGGAAGTCCAAGGGCATGGCAGTGGCATTGGCATCTTCTCAGCATCTAGTGAGGGCCTTCTTACTGTATCATGTCACAGCAGAAGGCAGAAGGTGGAAGGGTAGAAGAGCATGCAAGAGAGAGACAGAAATGGAGTCAAACTCCTTCTTTTATCAAGAACTCACTCCTGCAATAACTAACCTACTTACATGTTAATGGCATTAATCCATTAATGAGGGCAGAACCCTCACAACCTAAAAGCTCCCATCTCTCAACACTGTTGCATTGGAGGCTAAATTCCCAGCCCATAAACTTTCAGGAACACATTCAAATCATAGCATTTCACCCTTTGCCCCTCAAATGTATGTTCTTCTCATATGTGAAATATATTAATTCCATCCCAATAGCCCCAATAAAGTCATAAGTTGTTCCAACATCAACTGTAAAGTCCAAAGTCCAGATTCTCATCAAAATCAGATTGAGTGAGACTCAAGGCATGATCTATGCTGAGGCAAATTCCCCTCCAGCTATGAGCACATGAAACCAAAACAAGTACATGCTTCCAAAATACAGTGAGATAGACAAAAGATAGACATTCCCATTCCAAAAGGATGAAACAGGCAAAAAGAAAGAAGTAGCTGGTCGCAAGTAAGTCCAAAATCCAAGAGTGAAAACAGTAATAAATGTTAAGATTCCAGTATAATCTCTTTTGACTCCATGTCTCACCTCCTAGGCACACTGGGGCAGGGACTAGATACCCAGTGCCTCAGGGAGCCCTGCTCCTTTGGCTTTGCTGGGCTCAGTTCACCCAGCAGCTCTCACAGGTCTCATGCCTACAGCTTTCCCAGACTGGAATTGCATGCAGGTGGCTCAACAGTTCTGAGGTCTTGCGGGGGCTGCCCCACTCCCATGGCCCTGCTAGACATTACCTATAGGCACTCTCTGCAGGGGCTTCTCTCCTGTGGCCTTGCTGGGCACTGCCCTAGTAGCAGCTTACTGTGGTGGCTCTGTTCCTGTGACAAGTTTCTGCCTGGGCCCCTGGCTGTTCAATACATCCTTTGAAATCCAGTGGAGGTCACCATGGCCTCACAGCTCGTGCACTCTGTCTGCAGACTTGACGTGCACTGGAGCATCATGTGGATGCCGCCAAAGCTTACTGTTTGCACCCTTTGGAGCTGTGGCATGAGATGCACCTGGCATGCTTGAGCTATGGCTGGGACAGCCAAGGAGCACTGCACTGGGATGCAGAAAGCAGAGTCTTGAGGTGGCCCCAGGCAGCAAATACTGAGGTCCCATGTGTACTTCTCTGAAAACCTTGCTCTCAAGGACCTAGCTTGCCTTGATCACTGAAATGTCTTTGGGGTAATTTTCTCCATTGTCTTGATTAATACAGCCTGGATTTATTCTATCCATATTAATCTCTTTACCAAATGGTCACTTGGGCACACCCTTTGTATTTGCCCCTTAACATACTTTTTTATTCTGTACATGACCAAGCTGAAAGCTTTCCAAATCTTTCTGTTCTGCTTTGCTTTTAATTATAAATTTCTCTGTTAAATAATTTCTCTTTTCTCTTATGTTACTGTAGTGGCCAAAAGAAGCCATGTAGCACCTTGAATGCTTTGCTGCTTTGATACTTATTCTGCCAGATATCTTAGTTCATTCCTCTTAAGTTCTGCCATCCACAAAGTCCTGGAACCTGGACACAATTCTGCCAAGTTTTTTGCAACTGTATAATAAAGATGGCCTTTATTCCAGATTTCACTCCCTTGTTCCTCAGTTCCGTCTGAGAACTTATCAAAATAGCTTTCAGTTTCCATATTTCTACCAACATTTTGATCACAACCACTTAAGTAATCCCTACAAAGGTTTAGGCTCTCGCTACAGCTCTTTTCTCCTTCTGGGCCCTCACTAGAATTGCTCTTAATGTTCCGTGGCAATATAAGCTTTTTCTTTCCTGAGTGTACAGAATTTTCCAGCTTCTACCTATCACCCAGTTCCAAAGCCACTTGCACATTTTCAAGTGTTTGTTCCAGCAATAGCCTCACTTCTCAACACTAATTTTTTTAGTGTGTTTTGTGCTGCTATAACAGAATATTTGAGACTGGATAACTTATAATGAACAGAAATTTATTTGACACATGGTTCTAACTTTAAGGGGCTGCATTTGGTGAGGGCCTTTGTGCTGTGTCATCACATGGTGAAAGGAGGAAGGAGAAAAGAGCTGCAGATAGGGAGAGGAAGCAGGGCAAACTCATCCTTTTATCGGGAACCCACTCCCGTGATAACTGATCCACTCCTGAATAATAGCATTAATCTATTAATTAGAGCAAAGCCCTTATGTCCTAACTACCTCTTAAAGGCCTCACCTCTCTACACTATTGCATTGGGGATTAAGTTTCCAACACATGAACTTTAGGAGACACATCCAACCTCTTACCCTTGTGTGTGTTTTTTTCACCTTTTCTGTGCTCTTCTGATTTAGATGTGCTTTTTAGAAAGAGCACATGGTAAGACGTAGTTTCTTTTGTCCAGCCTAACCAAGTTTTATCGTTCACCTGGAGAATTTATTACATTTTATTTATAAATACAGATTTTTAAAAAATTCATAGATGTCCTTATATTTGTGCTTATTAACCTTTTAAAAATATTTTCAGGAATTTTTCCTTTCTTGTTCTTTTGGTATTATTGAGCTGTTTGTTTGCTTTACCTCCTTAATTATGTATAGTTTGAGTATTACTCTATTTCTCTGTCTTAATGTTTATGCTAAAATATTTAGACAAATTTTTTTTTTTTGAGACAGGATCTTGCTCTATTGCCCAGGGTGGAATGCAGTGGTGCGATTTCAGGTCACTCTGCCTCCTGGGCTCAAGCGATCCACTCATATCAGCCTCCCGAGCAGCTGAGACTACAGGCATGTGTTACCATGCCTGGCTAACTTTTCGTACTTTTTTTTTTTTTTTTTTTTTTTTATAGAGACAGAATCTCACCATGTTGCCCAGGCTGGTCTCAAACTCCTGGACTCAAGTGATCCATCTGCCTTGGCCTCCCAAAGTGCTGGGATTACAGGCATGAGCCACTGTACCTGGTCTTTAAATGCACATTTAATTTTACAAGCTCTAAAGTTAATCAATACTTTTATGCTCCTCCTGTACACAAAAACGACCTTAGATTGCTTTAACTTCTATTATTCTCCTTCTACCTTGAATATTATTGTTATCTAATATTTTAGTTATGTTTTAGTTTTATCTCTGCAAAGCAAACGTTATTACTATTATTTTTGCACAGTTCACGTTTGTTTTGATTTAGCACATACTTGCCTTTTTATACTCCCTCCTCCTTTTTTAAAAATCTCAGACCTTGCTTGTGGACTTTCCCACCCACACAAACGTTCACATCTGCACAAATAACACTACTATCTTCCTTTAAAATTCAGTGGACTGTTGAACCCTTTGAAAGCCCATATGTAGGTCACACATTAAGAGCTCCTGACCTAACTAAAACTATCTTTAATATCATGATTTTTGGCATCTTACATATAAAGGATAGACTTTTTTGTCCACAAAGCTGTCGTCTGTAGAAATGGCCAATGAAAAATTCAGTGGGTGGATCAAATTGTTGCTCCACAGCACTGGCCCCTCCAAAGGAGATTTTCTGTCTGGGAAGACCCACCAACAGAACATTGGACACGACCACAGGGCAGGATAAGTCCTAAATGATTCCTCTGCACTGCCAGGAGCTGTTCTTTCCCATTCCTGCCCTTGGCCATTGGCAGCACTTGAATATCAGTTTGAAACAAAGTTAATGATTTCTGAGTTTCAGTTATACAACTTAAACATGATCTTGTGGATACAAACTTGTAGGACTAGGGAGGCAGCCTCTAGCTATAAGCAGCCTCTTGTTTTTTGCTTATTAGATTATTCAAGCTGTCCTGTGTCTTGCTAGAATGTTGGAGTTCATGGCCCATGCCTAAATCTTGATCAGCAGAAGCTACATGCAAAAAGATACTATATAAACATTAATGGAAAACAGGGAAGTTCAGTATCCTAAGAGAACACTCACATGCACCAAATGGCTACAGAATATTTTTCCAAAGCAAGAACAGCCTTGCACCTAACCTTATAACTGAGACAAACAGGATAAAGAACATGGGAGGAAGCTTCAAGAAGCAAACACAAGATATTGTATTGTACAAGAAATCTTTGGGAGTCCCAAAGATTTTTATGTATTTATTTGTTTATGCTCAAGCCACTAAAGTACTTACCTGAGTATGAAGATCTTGATTCTATTAGCACTTCTGATGATAGCAGAGTAGTGGACAGGGGGCAGCTTTGTGGTGTTCTGGTGATGATTGTACAGTGTCTTGGTATTAGTCATGAGGTGTGCCGAAAAAAAACTATAGATTTTGGAATCACATTAGCCTAGGTTCAAATGCTGGTTCTAATACTTCTTGGCTTTGCAAATGCTAGTGATTGCTTTAGCCTCTCTCAGCCTCGGCTTCCCAATTTGTCAGTGGGGAACAAACATATCTACCATGCAGACTTGTGAGGATTAGCTATAATGAAAGCAAAGGACTTTCAACCCCTACTCTATGGCAACTTCTCAGTAAAAGGTAGCAATTGTCATTATGTAACACTCATCCCATTAATAACTATTGCTTCATAATTTTCAGATTTATAAAAATTGTTTTTTACTTCCTCCACTCACCTCATAAATGGGCTGTAAAGGTAATTGTAGATGTATAAATGAGCTTGAGCACTTTGGTGAAATTTCAGACAATTCCTTTTAACAGAGTTCTTTAAGAATCCAGACAAAAACATGAAAATTCAAGTTCGTTACTAATAGATGAGTGGTTATTTTTAAATAATAATTTATTTCACTCAAACTTTAAAATACTACCAAATTTGACTATTTCTTTGATAATTTTTCCTCATATTTTGACATATATGGTATCTAGCTCTCCTCACAGCATTTTCAGTCCAAGTCCATAACTGGAAAAATGAAACACCTAAGGGAAGAATCTTATGAAATAATTGGCATCTTTTACATTTTGAGACTCTGTATTTGACTGTATCAGGGAATTACCTGCACTCCATGCTTTTCCTCGCTTCTGCTCGCAGCAGTTCTGAAGGGCTTAGGCTGAAGTCCATGTCCCTCTGTACAATTGCTATCCTTTTGCTGCAGGTATGTGCCCTGCTATCTAAGGTTTTGTGTTTGCATTTCCTCTCAGTTGAGTGCTCCAACCTATTCCCTTCAGCTGTTATGGTCAGGCTTAGTTTCTGAGATCAAATGAAAGGGACATTCTAGCCAAATAAATTCTATCCTGACCTTTCTACTCTTTACCCTGGTGCATATAGCTAGGAAATTCTAAAACCTTATAATTCCTATCATCCTTCCTCTTCAAGGCTGAGAACACAGCCAATTCTAACTAGCCAGCAGTCTGCCTCCTGTTCCCCTCAACCACTCCCTGACCTGTTCTCCTTCTGCAGAGACAAAGACATCTCTTACAGAAGGCACACCCAGCTTCAAATCATACTACCTCAAATTTTACTTTCAAAGTAGAATAAAATAAAATAAAAATAAAGAGAAAAAGAACCCAAGCTTATTTTTCTCTACCTTTCTATCATGTTTATTGATAAAACCAAGAAATGGGATCTAAAACCTAACAGACATTCAATAAATATTTATTATATGAATAAATAAACAGTGTAAGGTATGGGATGAAGTAAATTTTCTAAACCCTGACCATGATGGGTTCTGCGCAATGGCTAGTTTCGCATCCATTCCAACAACATTCTGTGGCGTCTTTCCAAATTGTAGAGGCTGGAAAGCTGAAAGCTGCATATCTCAGATTTCCCTGCTGCTGGTGTTCTAGATCTGGTTAAGGTTCTACCAACTTGATGCACTTGTATGAGATTTGGATTTGAAACTGAATTGAGTGGGGAGAGGAGCAGAGCATAAGGCATTCATTCTGTTGTAAATTGTGAGAAACAGTGCAAACTGGTTAGTGATTTCCTAATGTGATGGCTTGCTGAAAGCTCAGGTGGAAGCTTCCCTACCACTGGTAGAAATTCCTGGACTCTCAGGGTAGAGCTTTCTTCCACAACCTTTCCAGTGATTTTGTAAGTCACTCAACACATGATAATATCTCTATTTGGAAATAAACTGTTGTCTTCAGCCTAACTCTGCTCTAGCAGACACATCAAAGTTTATGACCTCTTTGATCTCCTTTTATTATTTAATCCCAATTTAAAATTTTTCTTGTGTAATATTATCTGGAACTTTTTTATTGTATTGGACTTAGAAAAATAAACACTTGGATATTTCCATTCACTCAGCCAATTTTTGTAATCAATATTTCTCCAGAGTCCAATAGACTCTTGGTACAACAAATAACACCTTGACATGAATACATGTATTTCATTATTTCACTATTCCAACCTGCTTGATGTAGAACTTTGAACCTCCTCCCCCTGCCATCCAAATCGAAACTTTCTCTAGTTTCTTTGTCTGTATTGTAAATCCACAGATGTTTCCTCTACCTGGTCATAAACAATTTTTTTGTGTTTTTCTAGTATGCAGTTTTTACTGATAGCCTCTGTCTTCCATGCTACTTGAGAATAACATCTATCATATGACTACTGCTTTCTACATGAGAATACTGATTCCTGACAAGGCAGGGGTTTCATGCACTTCCACAGCCAAAAGTTCAACTGACTGTACAATGCTGTATGATCCCTTGGTTATCACACTGTCTGAACAATACTGCTCCAAGAATAAAAGGAAGAATACATGTATTAGTTCGTTCTCATGCTGCAATGAAGAAATACCCAAGGCTGGGGAATTTATAAAGACAAGAGATTTCATTAACTCACAATTCCACTGTGCTGTGAGGGCTGCAGGAGACTTGCAATAATGAAAGAAGGCAAAAGAGAAGCAGGCACTTTCTTCACAGGGTGGCAGGACAGAGTGAGTGTAGCAGGGGAAATGCCAGTTATAAAACCATCAGATTTCTTGAGACTCACTCATTATCACAAGAACAGCATGGGGGAAACCACCCCATGATACAGTTACCTCCACCTGGTCCCACCCTTGACACGTGAGGATCATGGGGAGTATAATTCAAGGTGAGATTTGGGTAGGGACACAGAGCCAAACTATATTAATACCCTTCTTCCATAATCTATCACATGATTTGCAACCAAAGCGAAATGACTTATGCCCAAATCTCAGTATAATCAGAAAACGGCTCCCTTCACTGTATAAGGCTGAAATTTATGCATGATGTTTAGCGGGTGATACGGTTTGTCTGTTTCCCCACCCAAATCTCACATTGTAGCTCCCATAATTCCTATGTGTCATGGGAAGTACCCGGTGGGAGGTAACTGAATCATGAAGGCGGGTCTGTCCTGTGCTGTTCTCATGATAATGAATACGTCTCATGAGATCTGATAGTTTTATAAAGGGAGTTCCCTTGCACATCTCTCTCTCTTTGCTCTTCCTTTGCCTACCACCATGATTGTGAGGCCTCCCCAGCCATGTGGAACTCTGAGTCAATTAAACCCCTTTCCTTTATAAATTACCCAGTCTTGGGTATGTATTTATTAGCAGTGTGAGAATGGAGTAATACAGCAGGGGAGTATATATCAGTTATGTTCTGGTGCCTTCTACCTTCTCTACTCCCAGGCTTGTGCCACAACCTATTCTACAGCCAAAAATAAAGCCCTTGAGACACAATTAAATATTATTTCAGGCCCATTCCTCATTCATAAACTCCAGCAAACAACAGGTCCTGAACACCAACTAAAATCACCACTACTCATTTTTTTGAACATCCGTTCTGTGCTAGATGCCAGTGATCCTAAGGTGACTCCTATGTGGTCCCTGCCCTTAAGAAGTTCATCGTCTAGTGGAGATCAGTTACAGAGGCCACCTTCAAGGTGTGGCATCCTGTATACTGGAATCAGGAAAAACCTAACATTCAAAGAGCACTTTTTAGATTTGATCCCTAAACAAAACCAAACAAAATTAAGAAGTTCCTTTATTATTACATATGAAGTAAGGATATCTCAGAGAGAAACATCCTTTTTTGATGCCAAACATTAAAAAAAAAATGAAATGTAAGTCTACCTTCTAAAGCAAAGGGTTAGACCATCTGAGATAACACAGAAAATTGGTCTGTTTGTTCAGATGCTTAAGAATCAGAGGCGTTCTGCAAATTCAAGCTTTCATAATAATTTGAAGGACACAAATAATCATGAGGCAGAGCCAAAGCAGAGAGAAGTTCAGGACTGCCCATGCAGCTTCCCAGGGCCTCTCTTACTACAGACAGATGCACTTTGGTTCAGGTTACTTTATCTTGTATATGGAGACATATTACTTACATGGAAAGGTATTGTTTTGGTCATGAAAAATCTCCATTTAATGTTTAAATCATTATTTGGCTTACACGATATTTTCTGGAGAACTATGCCTCATAAATCCATGGATTCCAGCTTTGTTTGTTTGTTTTCTGTAAATAATCCTAGAAAGATCAGATATATCTTGCTGAAAGCTTTCTATTAATGATGAGTCCCCTGAAAGCAGATATCATTGTTTTCTAAGAAGTCTATCCACTGGGGAACCTTTTTTTTTTCCCAAAAACATCTCCCCAAACCCACCATAAAGGGAGAGAAAAAATTGGAAGCCTGATTCTTAAACATCTTCTTCCCACCACATATAGGACTTCCAAATCTAGGTGGCCAAAGACAGGTTCTGCTAGCACCAGTACATCACCCATCACCTACCTCCAGCATATAGAACAGGAAGTTAAGCATCATTGTGGCTGTTGCAGAAGATTGGGTGGTAGCAGGGAAGAAAGAGAGAGAGGTTGGATTATTATATTTTTACCCCTCTCCATGAGGAAGAGAGATGCTTTCCTTTTCTCACAAGTCAAGAGAATGGAACTCCAAAGAATCACTTAGTGTACATGCGTTCCCTGGAGTTTAAAGATAGAAGGATATGTTGCTCATGCTAAAACATGTCTAAAAATAAGAGGACTTCTAGAGTTCACATAGAGGGAGCAGAGGATATAGAAAGAGGGAGCTATACTCCCTCTATATTAAAATGATCTGGTTTTAAACAAAATTTGTTGGTATCTAAATATGGCTCGAAGTGCTATGGGGACATTCTTATATTTTATTCAGAGAAAAGAGGAGCCTACTGAGTGATTCAAATCAAAAGCTGTGAAAAATAATATACATGTTCTCTGCTTGCATCTGAAGGAAGTTTAGATTATCAAATAATAAATGTGTTAGACATGCACACCCAAATATCACTGCTTCACTAGTATGTATATTCAAGGTATGTGTGTGTGCATGTGTGTGTAACTGTGTATACATCTGTGTGAGGATATAAATGTCCTTATTCTCTCCACTTGGTGTTAGTGGGAATTAATCAATAATCCACATCATGCATGAGAAACTATATAGTCCAAAGACAAGAAGGAGCTTGGGAGAGGAACACTGTAATTTATTTTCCACTTATGAGAAAATGATTCCTTAAATGAGAAAATAAAGTGAGCATTGATTAAAAGTAAATGCTGGATAATTTGAGTTTTAATTGTGGAAAACTTAACAGAGCTCAATAAGCATTAAGACCCTTCATGACACAGGAGCATTATGGGTAAGGAAGAGCAGAAGGGATTCAGGCTGAAGATGATTTACCCGAAATCCTCAATAATCTTCAATGGAAATAAAATCCATGTTTTTTTTTTAACCATAAAAATGTGCTTCAAACAGATCTACAAATACTTTCATTTCATGCAAGCTTGATTAAAATGTTCATGTTTATATTTGTAAGTTGTTGGGTTTCTTTGTTTTTTGAAGAGCTTAGATTCCCTTATCCCATAAGATTCAACTATCGGGCTGGGTTCCAAGATGGCCAAATAGGAACAGCTCCAGTTTACAGCTCCCAGCATGAGCGATGCAGAAGACAGGGGATTTCTGCATTTCCAACTGAGGTACCAGGTTCATCTCACTGGGACTTGTCGGACAGTGGGTGCAGGACAGTGGATGTAGCCCACTGAGCATGTGCCAAAGCAGGGCAAGGCATCGCCTCACCCAGGAAGTGCAGGGGTCAGGGAATTCCCTTTCCTAGCCAAGGGAAGCTGTGACAGACGGCACCTGGAAAATTAGGTCACTGCCATCCTAATGCTGCACTTTTCCAATGGTCTTAGCAAACGGCACACCAGGAGATTATATCCCCTGCATGGCTCAGAGGGTCCCACTCCAACGGAGCCTCGCTCATTGCTAGCACAGCAGTCTGAGATTGAACTGCAAGGTGGCAGCGAGACTGGGGGTGGGGTGCCTGCCATTGCTGAGGCTTGAGTAGGTAAACAAAGCCGCCGGGAAGCTCGAACTGGGTGGAGCCCACCACAGCTCAAGGAGGCCTGCCTGCCTCTGTAGACTCCACTTCTGGGGGCAGAGCATAGCCAAACAAAAGGCAGCAGAAACCTCTGCAGACTTAAATGTCCCTGTCTGACAGTTTTGAAGAGAGTAGTGGTTCTCCCAGCATGCAGCTGGAGATCTGAGAATGGACAGACTGCCTCCTCAAGTGGGTCCCTGACCCCTGAGTAGCCTAACTGGGAGGCAGCCCCCAGTAGGGGCAGAGTGACACCTCACACGGCCAGGTACCCCTGTGAGACAAAGCTTCCAGAGGAAGGATCAGGCAGCAACATTTGCTGTTTAGCAATATTCGCTCTTCCGCAGCCTCCGCTGCTGATACCCAAGCAACCAGGGTCTGGAGTGTACCTCCAGCAAACTCCAAAAGATGTGCAGCTGAGGGTCTTTACTGTTAGAAGGAAAACTAACAAACAGAAAGGACATCCACACCAAAACCCCATCTGTACGTCACAATCATCAAAGACCAAAGGTAGATAAAATCACAAAGATGGGGAAAAAACAGAGCAGAAAAGCTGAAAATTCTAAAAATCAGAGCACCTCTGCCCCTCCAAAGGAATGCAGCTCCTCGCCAGCAACAGAACAAAGCTGGACAGAGAATGACTTTGATGAGTTGAGAGAAGTAGGCTTCAGATGATCAGACTTCTCCAAGGTAAAGGAGGAAGTTCTAACCCATCACAAAGAAGCTAAAAACCTTGAAAAAAGATTAGGTGAATGGCTCACTAGAATAACCAGTGTAGAGAAGTCCTTAAATGACCTGATGGAGCTGAAAAGCATGGCATGAGAACTACGTGATGAATGCACAAGCTTCAGTAGCCAATTTGATCAACTGGAAGAAAGTGTATCAGTGATTGAATATCAAATGAATGAAGTGAGAAGAGAAGTTTAGAGAAAAAAGAGTAAAAAGAAATGAACAAAGCATCCAAGAAATATGGGACTATGTGAAAAGACCAAATCTCCGTCTGATTGGTGTACCTGAAAGTGACAGGGAGAATGCAACCAAGTTGGAAAACACACTGCAGGATGTTATCCAGGAGAACTTCCTCAACCTAGCAAAGCAGGCCAACATTCACATTCAGGAAATACAGAGAATGGCACAAAGATATTCCTCGAGAAGAGCAACTCCAAGACAAGAATTGTCAGATTCACCAAAGTTGAAATGAAGGAAAAATGTTAAAGGCAGCCAGAGAGAAAGGTCGAGTTACCCACAAAGGAAAGCCAATCAGACTAACAGGGGATCTCTCAGCAGAAACTCTACAAGCCACAAGAGAGTGGGGGCCGATCTTCCACATTCTTAAAGAAAAGAATTTTTAATCCAGAATTTCATATCCAGCCAAACTAAGCTTCATAAGTGAAGGAGAAATAAAATTCTTTACAGACGAGCAAATGCTGAGAGATTTTGTCACCACCAGGCCTGCCCTACTAGAGCTTCTGAAGGAAGCACTCAACATGGAAAGGAACAACCAGTACCAGCCACTGCAAAAACATGCCAAATTGTAAACCCTATCAATGCTAGGAAGAAACTGCATCAACTAATGAGCAAAATAACCAGCTAACATCATAATGACAAGATCAAATTCACACATAACAATATTAACCTTAAATGTAAGTGGGCTAAATGCTCCAGTTAAAAGACACAGACTGGCAAATTGGATAAAGACTCAAGACCCATCAGTGTGCTGTATTCAGGAGACCCACCTCACGTGCAGAGACACACATTGGCTCAAAATAAAGGGATGGAGGAAGATCTATCAAGCAAATGGAAAACAAAAAAAGGCAGGGGTTGCAATCCTAGTCTCTGATAAAACAGACTTTAAAACAACAAAGATCAAAAGAGACAAAGAAGGCCATTACATAATGGTAAAGGGATCAATTCAACAAGAGGAGCTAACTATCCTAAATATTTATGCACCCAATACAGGAGCACCCAGATTAATAAAGCAAGTTCTGAGAGACCTACAAAGAGACATAGACTCCCACACAATAATAATGGGAGACTTTTACACCCCACTGTCAACATTAGACAGACCAACAAGACAGAAAGTTAACAAGGATATCCAGGAATTGAACTCAGCTCTGCACCAAGCAGACATAATAGACATCTACAGAATTCTCCACCCCAAATCAACAGAATATACATTCTTTACAGCACCACACCACACCTATTCCAAAATTGACCACATAGTTGGAAGTAAAGCACTCCTCAGCAAATGTAAAAGAACAGAAATTATAACAAACTGTCTCTCAGACCACAGTGCAATCAAACTAGAACTCAGGATTAAGAAACTCACTCAAAACCACTCAACTACATGGAAACTGAACAACCTGCTCCTGAATGACTACTGGGTAAATAATGAAATGAAGGCAGAAATGAAGATGTTCTTTGAAACCAATGAGAACAAAGACACAACATACCAGAATCTCTGGGACACATTTAAAGCCATGTGCAGAGGGAAATTTATAGCACTAAATGCCCACAAGAGAAAGCAGGGAAGATCTAAAATTGAAACTCTAACTTCACAATTAAAAGAACTAGAGAAGCAAGAGCAAACACATTCAAAAGCTAGCAGAAGGCAAGAAATAACTAAGATCAGAGCAGAACTGAAGGAGATAGAGACACAAAAAACCCTTCAAAAAAATCAATGAATCCAGGAGCCGGTTTTTTGAAAAGATCAACAAAATAGATAGACCACTAGCAAGACTAATAAAGAAGAAAAGAGAGAAGAATCAAATAGACGCAATAAAAAATGATAAAGGGGATATCACCACCGATCCCACAGAAATGCAAACTACCATCAGAGAATACTATAAACACCTCTATGCAAATAAACTAGAAAATCTAGAAGAAATGGATAAATTCCTTGACACATACACCCTCCCAAGACTAAACCAGGAAGAAGTTGAATCTCTGAATAGACCAATAACAGGCTCTGAAATTGAGGTAATAATTAATAGCTTACCATCCAAAAAAAGTCCAGGACCAGACGGATTCACAGCTGAATTCTACCAGAGGTACAAGGAGGAGCTGGTACCATTCCTTCTGAAACTATTCCAATCAACAGAAAAAGAGGGAATCCTCCCTAACTCATTTTATGAGGCCAGCATCATCCAGATACCAAAGCCTGGCAGAGGCACAACAAAAAAAAGAGAATGTTAGACCAATATCCCTGATAAGCATCAATGCAAAAATCCTCAATAAAATAGTGGCAAATCGAATCCAGCAGCACATAAAAAGCTTATCCACCACTGTTAAATCTGCTTCATCCCTGGGATGCAAGGCTGGTTCAACATATGAAAATCAATAAATGTAATCCAGCATATAAACACAACCAAAGACAAAAACCACATGATTATCTCAATAGATGCAGAAAAGGCCTTTGACAAAATTCAACAGCTCTTCATGCTAAAAACTCTCAATAAATTAGGTATTGATGGGATGTATCTCAAAATAATAAGAGCTATTTATTACAAACCCACAGCCAATATCATACTGAATGGGCAAAAACTGGAAGCATTCCCTTAGAAAACTGGCAGGAGGCAGGGATGCCCTCTCTCACCACTCCTATTCAACATAGTGTTGGAAGTTCTGGCCAGGGCAATCAGGCAGAAGAAAGAAATCAAGGGTATTCAATTAGGAAAAGAGGAAGTCAAATTGTCCCTGTTTGCAGTGACATGAATGTATATTTAAAAAACCCCATTGTCTCAGCCCAAAATCTCCTTAAGCTGATAAGCAACTTCAGCAAAGTCTCAGGATACAAAATCAACGTGCAAAAATCACAAGCATTCCTATACACCAATAACAGACAAACAGAGAGCCAAATCATGAGTGAACTCCCGTTCACAATTGCTTCAAAGAGAATAAAATACCTAGGAATCCAACTAACAAGGGATGTGAAGGACCTCTTCAAGGAGAACTACAAACCACTGCTCAACGAAATAAAAGAGGACACAAACAAATGGAAGAACATTCCATGCTCATGGATAGGAAGAATTAATATCGTGAAAATGGCCATACTGCCCAAGGTAATTTATAGATTCAATGTCATCCCCATCAAGCTACCAATGACTTTCTTCACAGAATTGGAAAAAACTGCTTTAAAGTTCATGTGGAACTGAAAAAGAGCCTGCATTGCCAAGTCAATCCTAAGCCAAAAGAACAAATCTGGAGGCATCACGCTACCTGACTTCAAACTATACTACAAGGCTACAGTAACCAAAACAGCATGGTACTGGTACCAAAACAGAGATATCAACCAATGGAACAGAACAGAGCCCTCAGAAATAATACCACACATCTACAACCAACTGATCTTTGACAAACCTGAGAAAAACAAGCAATGGGGAAAGGATTCCCTATTTAATAAATGGTGCTGGGAAAACTGGCTAGCCATATGTAGAAAGCTGAAACTGGATCCCTTTCTTACATCTTGTACAAAAATTAATTCGAGATGGATTAAAGATTTAAATTGTAGACCTAAAACCATAAAAACCCTAGAAGAAAACCTAGGCAATATCATTCAGGACATAGGCATGGGCAGGGACTTCACGTCTAAAACACCAAACACAATGGCAACAAAAGCCAAAATTGACAAATGGGATCTAATTAAACTAAAGAGCTTCTGCACAGCAAAAGATACTAACATCAGAGTAAACAGGCAACCGACAGAATGGGAGAAAATGTTTGCAATCTACTCATCTGACAAAAGGCTAATATCCAGAATCTACAAAGAACTCAAACAAATTTACAAGAAAAAACAAACAACCCCATCAAAAAGTGGGTGAAGGATATGAACAGACACTTCTCAAAAGAGGACATTTATGCAGCTCACAGACACATGAAAAAATGCTCATCATCACTGGCCATCAGAGAAATGCAAATCAAAACCACAATGAGATACCATCTCACACCAGTTAGAATGGTGATCATTAAAAAGTCAGGAAACAGCAGGTGCTGGAGAGGATGTGGAGAAATAGGAACACTTTTACACGTTGATGGGACTGTAAACTAGTTCAACCATTGTAGAAGACAGTGTGGCAATTCCTCAGGGATCTAGAACTAGAAATACCATTTGACCCAGCCATCCCATTACTGGGTATATACCCAAAGGATTATAAATCATGCTGCTATAAAGACACATGCACACATATGTTTATTGCGGCACTATTCACAATAGCAAAGACTTGGAACCAACCCAAATGTCCTTATGTGATAGACTGGATTAAGAAAATGTGGCACATACACACCATGGAATACTATGCAGCCATAAGAAAGGATGAGTTCATGTCCTTTGTAGGGACGTGGATGAAGCTGGAAACCATCATTCTCAGCAAACTATTGCAAGGACAAAAAACCAAACATCACATGTTCTCACTCATAGGTGGGAATTGAACAATGAGAACACCTGGACACAGGAAGGGGAACATCACACACCAGGGCCTGTCGTGGGGTGGAGGGAGGGAGGAGGGATATCATTAGGAGATATACCTAATGTAAATGACGAGTTAATGGGTGCAGCACACCAACATGGCACATGTATACATATGTAACAAACCTGCACGTTGTGCACATGTACCCTAGAACTTAAAGTAAAAAAAAAAAAAAAAAAAATTCACCTATCAGCATAAAGGTACCTCTCCCTGAAACAGACTCCTGTCACCTCCATTTCACTGTCAGACTTTCTGTGACTGCTCAGAGAATTCCAACATAAAATAATTTTCTTCTGCAAGAAGACCCTAGAAAAATCTATTTACAGAGTAACAAGAAAAGTTCTAATTAATTCTGCAGAAATTGACCAAAGAACCAAGCCCAAGTGACAGAAATAAAAATGTCTTTCTATGTCTCAAAATGGATAACTGATAAAGAGCTGATAGATCTTGATGTAGAACACTTTCATTTAGGTTTATCTGCAAGACCCTATTGATGTCAATAATGACTAGTAAGCCAGGGAAGCAAATCCTACAGATTTAGATACTGCTGATTTACTTTCTTCAAAACAACACAGGATAGAAAGATAAACTATAAAAGTGCATAAATTTAAGGAAAATACTTTCAATCCAATATACTATAAGAAAAATCAGAAAGAAAAGAGAGAAAGGATTTAATGTTTTCTGTTTCTTTTTATCTGGTCATCCTTCTCTCATAAAATGGAATTTCATTTTTAATATATTGAATAGGAGGTAAATAATTATGTAATTTACTATTAGTTTCCTAGCTTCTCAGATTACTTTTGTAATAATACCTTTTAATCATAAAAATTCATAAAATAGGCATTCCATTGCAGAAACTTTCATAAAGGCTTATCATCTGATAATCATTTAAATATGCATTCTTATATTGAAACTATGCAAACAACAACCAAAAAGCTATTGTGCAACGCAGAATTTATGGTTTTTGATTAACGGGTAAGCAAATGTAGCTGAAGCAGATTATAATATGAAATCACATATTGGCTGAACAGATGTTTAAATAGAGGTAACATCTGAAGTTCTCTACTTATCATTCACAACTGAAATCTAACAACATAAAAAAGTCTCCAGAGAAAAATCACTTTTTTGAATGTTGTGATCTCTATGTCCATCATATACATAGGAGTTTTTCTTTAAAGAAAGTGGAAAATGTTTAAATGAGCTGTTAAACAGAGAGATAATGTTTTAATGAAGTAGGACATTGGCTAGATGAAGACCATCCAACAGGTCTATGTTAAAATCCATTTTTGGATCTTCCTCTGCTTGGATTCCTTTATTTGCTGATGGCATTGCCTTCAACCCAGCTACTCTCCCCAGAATGGTGTTCATGCTTTTCAAGTGCTTTATTGACCCTAATAGGGAAACACTAGATTTTTCTCTCTTATTCAAATATGCTTTAATCCTTGTAGCTTGTTCTCTTCCAAAAAAGTTTGCACAAATGTTGAATGTTTCAGAATACATCAGAGTTCTGGTGTTTGTAAAAGTGAAAATGTGAGATGTAGGTAAAAAGAGCAGCAAGGTTAAAGTTATTTTGCCTTCCCTAAAGCATTGCATATGAACTGGATTACAACAAATAATTATTTGCTGTGTAGAAGAGAAGACATAAAAACAGTAGGAATGAACATCACCCCTCTAATTGGATGAACCCTGTAGTACATACACTGTACACATAGGCAAACATTTGCTAAATACCCATGCTTATATGTCTATCTGTGCGTATACATATATGCATGTGTCATATGGGTCTCACAGAACTGATAACCTCAGGTTTTATTCAATGGTTATTAAATATTTGCTTGTCAAAGTTTCCTGGTGCTGCAGCAATCAGACCTTTTCCATTCTACATTGCTTAAAAAACTCTAGGCCAGGACTATGATTATAGAATTCACGTGTATGAGTAGTAAAGAGTTAATACTCCCAAGGAGAGAGCACTCATTCCCTCTTTTCATGTTTATTTCTTGAGTGCTCACTGTGTGCCAGATATTAATGGAGACGCTGAATAGGCCAACATGAAGAAGATATGCAAGTCTGCAGAGAGGACACCAGCAGCCTGATTGAAATTATAATAACTAGGCACTGAGTCACCACAGAGGGAGTCAGCCCCCTGCTGACCCCATAAGAAAACATCAAACTAAAAGTTACAGCAGATTAAAATAGCAGGACTAAAATACTTTTCTAATCATCCTTGATTAGAGAATGTTGAGCAATCTGTGCATGAAGAGCAATCCGTGGTCAAACCCAAGTTTGTTCTTGTATATTCATAATTAGTTGTAATGTTTATTTAACTGTTTGGTAAATTCAGTTCATATACCAGTGTGATGAAGTTATCTCCAAGATAACTCTTTTTTGTCCTAAACCTTAAGGAAAGAATATCATGAGGGTTTTGGTTTTAATACAAATATTTAAATGCACGTGGCTCTAATAATAACTGTTATGACTCTCATGCGTAACCAGAAACGGACCACCTTTGACTGGGTCTACATTTACCCTGAGTATTGGTAGAGAGGAAAGAGGTTAACCTATTGGCTTCCTAAAAAAGGGTGGTCATAAAATGAGTCAATGCCTAATAGAGGAGATCAATAAAGTGCTGGTGTGGATGGTGATAATAACAGTTTACAGATGCTCTGAAGCCCATGAGTCATCATCATCAATTTAGCTCCACATGTGTGTAGGCAGAAAATAGGATTCAGACAGGCCTCTAAGGGAAAGATCTATCATATTGATCGAGTGCAGCAGGCAGAAAGATGGGCTTTCAGGTCTCATGTCTGACACTGTTATGATGCAGTAAAGGGCGATCAATAGAGACCTCCCATCTGACTGGACTGCCCGTTTATGGGAACATGGCCTGGCATTATGACTTCCTTCCCTGCACTTTAGTCTGATGCTCAGCATGCAGTCACCTGCAGCCAGTCCAACCTGCAGGGTGGGTTTCAGCTTGCCTCAAGGCCACCCTCCTACTTTGTGCTTTATGCTGATATGTAGCACCTGCTTTGTTCTTTGAGCTTGAGTTTCTCAAGTTTGTCAGCAAATTTAATTCCCATTTCTTGTAGAAATGAGGCTCTACCCTTAGTGTCTGTTATTCCTATTTCCGGCCTGGGCTTTGAAACCTGACTTCTGAACTCCAGTCAGCCATCTGGGTTTCTGCTCAAAGACTATCATGTATGTCTCCCTACATGCACTTCTAAATGTCTCCTATGTGAATTTTCCATCACTAAGTTCTTGTCACTGGTTTGAGGACTACTGTTGCTTCAAGTTGGAATACAGATGCTAATTGCTTACCTCGTATCACTTGCATTTTAGGGCTGTTCTCACCAGATGCTGAATTCTGTGTAGCAATCTAGATGGCTGCTCAGCTTCTGAAAATAGATTGTTTCTCCTTTTGCACCCTTCTGTCTTCCCAAAACTGATGTAGTTAACTGGGCCAAACCTAGTCCTATCATAAAATATGGTAAGAGCTGTAAAAGATACAAACTGATCCTTGGCTTTAAGAAGGACCATTAATAACAGCCACTTCAATTTAATATAATCATTAATTCAATGAATATCTTTCATTGGCCACTGCAAACTAAGTGTTGGAGTCAGAGCAAGAACAACAACAAAAAAGAGACAATATTCTCATTATCATGGAATTTTCCTTTTTTAGGCATTCATGTGTGCATACATGCATGTGTATGTGTTGTTGCTGCTGTCAGAAATAGCGGGCAGACAATAAAAACCAGTATCAGGTTATAAACAGCTCGGTGTAGAGAATTTAAAGGAGTGAAATGATAGAACTAGTTTAAATTGGGCCATTGGGAAGCCTCTGTGGAGGTGACATTTGAATTGGAAACAGAGATAAAAGAGCCAACCACTGTATGATCAGACAGAACATGTTTCCAGAAGGGGGAAAAGCTGGGCAAAGGCCCAAAACCAGAAATAAGCCTGAATATCTGAGACCCAGGCAGATGCTCAGTGTGGCTGGAGATAATGGGCAGAAAAGAATTGATTGGAATGAAGCTAGCAACGTTGGCGAAGCCAGATCTTACGTGGCTTTGTGAACCATAATAAGTAGTTTGAGTTTAATTTAAATACAGTGGGAGAATATCTGTGGGTTTTAAGGAGAGGAGTAACCTGATCTGAGTTATATTTGAAAAATGAACACAGTGCTTCTGGGCAGATAGTGGATTTATGTGGAAGGCCAGAGAGGCAGCTGGGAGACTTGTTAGGAGGCTCTCAGAGTAGTTAAACAAGAGGAGTCGTGGTTTGGAGTGGGCTATGTAAGTGCAAATGGAGAAAAGTAGAGGTAGAATCTGCAGGACGTGCAGAAGAATTTGATGTGGGAGAATGAGTCTTCGATTTGATATGAGCAAAAGAGCTGATGGTGGTGCCATATTCTGAGTATGAGGAAGACTGAAGGGAAAAGCAGATTTGAAGGAGAAAAGTTGAACATGATGTTCAGGGCTGTGAAAGTTTGAGTTGCCTGTTAGATATAATGTAAATGACAGGTAAGCTATAGAGAGTATGAATCTGAAGCGCTAGGGTTGGAGATGGAGAACTGGGAGCCATCAGCATAGCAATGGTATTTACAGGCTTGGTAGTGGAGGAGGTCACAGAGGAGAGTGTGGATAGAGACGGGAAGGCGCCAGGAGAGACTCCCTGAAGAAGTCCAATATCTTCAAGCCTAGAATAGGAAAAGGAGCCAGAAAGGAGGCTGAGAAGTAGCCAGAAATTTTAAGAGAAATCCACTTAATAAGACTTTACCCTGTGTGAGGTCATACGCCAGCCTTCTATACAGGTTAACCACTTTAATCTTCACTTCAAATTCCAGAACTCTTTAGAAAGTGAAGTCTGGCATTGGGCTGTCTCTGCTAGAACCCAAGCATCCCCACTTGCTAGTGTATGACTGTGAGCACGTTCATTAACCTCCCTGTGACTCAGTTTCCTCATCTATAAAATGGGGTTATAAATATCTACCTCATAAGCTTGAGGGTTGGATTAAATGAACTAACATACATAAAGTCCCCAGAACAGTCTCTGGCACGTAGTGAGCACACCAATAAATGTGATCTAGCAGTTGCTAAATAGCTATTATTATCTGAATCTTATACTCAGATGGGGCTTGGAGAAGTTTATTTTCAGGTATAGCGCATGGTAGAGCTAGGGTTGAAACAACTTTGTTTGATCCCAAAGGATGTAGTATTTCTACTTTCCCTGTATTTAGACCCTTTACAATAAGAATAAATTGACTTATGACCAAGCCATCATTTTTGCCGGCCATAGTATCACAGCATAGAAAACCAATATATCATTTCAGATATGCATTTCAACCTTCATTCTCTCCAAGGAAATATTTTTATAAGAGATACTGACTGTTAGCCAAAGTCCCTAGATTTACTTTCTGTCTTGTCTGTAGAGTGGCTAAGGAAACTTTTCCACCCCCTAAAAGGGTAGTCAGAGTTAAACTGAGGCAAAAATGTCCACATAACTAACAACCAAATAATCAGTCCTCATGTAAATATATAACATGTTGATTATTATTGTAAATGTCAAAAATATTTTTAAAAGCAGATTTTATTAATAATCACTATTTAGACTAAATGAGGGAATCAGTCTTAACAAAGTAATATTTTTAAAGGAAACCTAGTTCTATTAATTTCAATTAAATAAAGCAACTCAAGTTAGGCTAATTAAGTGTTGTCAAGCAAAGGAGTTGGGAAGCTACTTCAATAAATAGAGAAGAATGATTTGTATTTAACATATTGGTTGTTTATCCATTAATTGGTGTTTTAAATTGTTTGAAGGCAATTTGTTCTTTTCAGTAAATTAAATGTTCCTCTATGCAAGTATTAGGCTATTTTATTGGCAACTTTTTTATAAAGCAAAGTTAGCTTCAGCTTAATCTCTTAGCAAATTAATGAAGGTTTTTTCCTTTAAGAGATTCTAAAGCTACTGGTGTTACAATTAGGTTCTATTACTAATTTTTAAAGAAGAGAAGAATTTCTCTGTTCATAATTCCAATATCCAATTACAATAAATTATGCAAAAAGACTGTTGCTACTTTGGAAGAAACTGTGAGGAACATCTGCCACCCTAAGCGCCAAGAGGTCTGACTATGATATAACATCTTAGGGTTCAATTTCATTTGAAAGTCTTAATTCTGTCTAAGTATACCACTGTGCATTACACTGTGTGTAATGTCAGAATTAAGACTTTAAATGTTAGAAGGAAGGAAGAGAAGGAGGAAAGGAGGGATAGAAGGAAGACAGAATCTCCATGATTAGAGTTTGGTTTGGAAGCCTAGTTTCTTTCTGAAAAAGGTCAATCACCATGGACTGGCTCAACCCTGAAAAGTTTCCAAAGTTAGGCTGATGTGCTCTGTTGAAATTCACCCAAGAATTGTACACCTTATTGCTGAGAAGTCACACCAGATGTCCTGTCCAAGGACTAATAACGCTTATTCCTGTAGGCTACATCCATATGTGAGGAAACAGAAGAGAGCATTTCAGAGCTAGTTAGTCAACTTTAAGTTATGCTCAGTGCACTGTATCGGGAATACAAAAGCATTTTCCAGATGGCATCATAAAGTTAGTTCATTTTTGCAAAGCACCATCTCATTTTTGAGAAATAGCCGCTTGTTTTTCATTCCCCTTGGTTGTTTCAGAATTGCTTTTTCTTGCCATAAATGCAATACTTAAACTAGAGGGCTGGTTAGAATATTTGCTGTATATTATAAAAACTGCCTAACAGACTATGAGTGTTCAAATATGAATTGACAAGGAGATTGATAATACATGGTCTTAACCACTGGCCAGGCCATCAAGGAGACAAAGAGCCAGATGGATATTGGGATTCTACTTTCACTGTTAATGATATAACCTTGGGTAATTCACTTAATTACACTGTGTTTCAGTGTCTACATATGCATGAGAGCTATTCTAACTCTCAGAAATTCCTTTGTGAGTCATCTAAGAACCACCTATTATTTGAGTTGTTTCTCTACCTACTTATCTATGTGAACTCTCTACTGTAGCCAAATTATCCCACTCACTTTCTTCCAAATACTCTGTATGCAACTCCAAATTTGTGTCCTTCATCAAGCTCTTTTCTTGGCCTAGAATGCTCTTTCTCTTCTCTGTCTAGCCAAATCCTGCCGTCTTTTGAGGCATCAATCAACTGTCCTTCTCAGTAAGGATATTCATGTATCTGTGCTACTCTATAAAGGGATTTACACATGTAATCACATTTAGTCATTAGAACAGCTTTATAAAGTAACTATTATTGTGCTCATTTTACAGAAGAGAGTATGGTACTTGAATAAAATGCTATACTGTCCCAAGGTCCAAAGGCGCCGTCAGGACTTAGATTAGAGCTCAGATTTCTTGGTTGCTGAAACCTGAATTCCTTCCACTACTCCACTCAGTCTCCTAGGGATATTTTCGTGTCATTTGTTGCAATTATTGTTATTATTGTTATTTTATACTCTTTTAATGCAAAGGCTCATGTCTCCTTACAGAAATAGTAAATGCCTTGAAAAAAGGAATACTATCTTTGTATTTCCTACACCAGAATGTAAACTCCACAGGGGCTGAGAATTTGACTTGGTTATTCACTGCTCCTACTTCAGTATGTAGAACAGTCCCAGACATAGTAGACACACAATAAATACTTACTGAATAAATTTCACTATGTCTCTTATGGCATCTGGGTTTGCATATAAACATTCCCAATAAATACTTGTTCTTCTGGCACAATAAGATTGTCCCCTCATAAAGATTTCTAGATTAAAATCTTCTTAGATATAAAAAAAAACACTTTTTCTTTATAGCTTTCCACGTCTGTTGTCCCTCTTCTGCTACTAATCTTGTCTTCTCAACCATGACTATTGTCAAATCATTCACCGAATATTTACATTACTCTTGGTTTTTCATGCTGACACCAAACATTGTCACATTTGACTCTAAATAATACAGAATGAGAATCACATCCTGAGTATTTATCCTCAATAAAAATCTGCTTACTAGATATTATTTATTGAGCAGTAATTATTTCCACACTAAGCACTTCATTTATATTAATTCTTATATAAGGACAAATATTCTGAACCCCATTTTACAAGTTAGAAAAATGATGCTCAGAGAAATTAAGCAACTTGCTGAGGACCACATAGATAATAAAATGATGAGCTAGAATTAAAGCCGGGGCTTCAAACCACTGAATTCTACTACATCCAAGTGGCTTGTGATGTTCCGGGAGAAGAGGCTAATATCCTTGCCAGCTGGCATGGCCAAATTAGACAAGTCCTGACAGTCAAGTCAGATATTGTGAATTATGAGACTGCATTTTTGAGGGCTGACTATTGGGAAAACTTCAGAATTATCAATGGCCCCACAAATATCAATTGTTTCTGTTCGTTTTCTTGACTTAATCTCAAAATTATTAAACATTCAACTAAAATTCCAGTTCCAAGTGATGCTATTTAGTTAGTGAGAATAGCTTCTATTCATTAGTGGAAGAAAGTCATTAATATGTAACATTATTATCTCTAACTTTACCCTAGTAAAGGCCAGTTGGTATTTATTAACATTTGGAATACAGATATTTTGCTAAGCTTACTTAACAAGACTGCATCAGTTAATGTTGACGTTAGTTTCGGTTTGGCACTGAGTCACAGCTCTTTGTTATTTCAAGGAGTAAGAATAAGTGAACTAGTAGTGTTTCAGTGAATATTAAAATGTGAAAAGCAAAACACAGTGAAAAACATGACTTCTAAGTATTTGCAATAACTCATAGTTTTTTTTTATAATTTTGGAGATGGTGAGAGTCTAGTTGTCCTTCTGTCTTCTAAAATAAACTGTATTTGGAACTTTGGCTTAAGCCTATTTTTAATTCATTTTGGTAAGTACTACTACAAGCTTTATCAGTACAAGTGCCTTTCAAAACACAACATAATCAGACAAACAGAATGTTATAGGTTGCAAATAAAAGAATTTAGATACTGTTTCTTTCTGTGCTACCTACCATATCCAACACTGGATAAATTGCTCAGAAAACAAATGTTAGTGTATTCAGCTTTAAGTCAAGGTTAATGCATAACTCAAAGAATTTTAAAGGGATCTATAAACCCACAAAGTGCTTAGAATTCTTTCAATCAAATCACATTGTAAACATTGGGTAAAGGACTGAGAGACTGTCATATGCTACTATTTTCTGTATTTTGACTTCTGTGTATATGGTAATAGGTGCACAGCAAGCAGTGAATTTAATTCATAATACCTGTTATGTAGTTCAATCCCAGAAAATAGAGGGAAAAAACTGGAGTGTAGCTTAGGAAATAGTATTGTTGTTGAGGCTCTTAGGAAACAGTATTATTGTTGAGGCTCTGTTGTGATATTAGGAAATCAGTAGCCTTTCACACACTCGAGCAAGGAAGCTGACTGTTAGTGTAGGACTCCAAAGTCTCTTGATCTACAGGCTTTAAATCATTGCTTAGGAAAAAAAAATAAACAATATATTCTTGTACTAGCAAATCAGGAATTAATGATAAATTATTTAGATGACTGCAAATTGCCTGTGGTTTTCACCTTGAGTATATGCACTACAAGCAGATGACTGGGTTTTTGTTGTTGTTGTTGTTGTTGTTTCTGAGACGGAGTCTTGCTCTGTCACCCAGGCTGGAGTGCAGTGGCGCGATCTCGGCTCACTGCAACCTCTGCCTCCCAGGTTCAAGCAATTCTCTTGCCCCACCCTCCCAAGTAGCTGGGATTACAGGCATGTGCCACCACGCCTGGCTAATTTTTGTATTTTTACTAGAGACGGGGTTTCACCATATTGGCCAGGCTGATTTCAAATTCCTGACCTCGTGATCTTCCCGCCTCGGCCTCCCAAAGTGCTGAGATTAGAGGCATGAGCCTGAGCCACCGTGCCCGGCCCAGGTGATTGTTTTCAGAGGATGTTTGGAGTTCTTTATTAGCAGACAGGATGCATTCATTAAGTATTCACTAAACGTGTATTGAACACCTACTATGTGTTCAGCTCTGTAGAGAGTGCTGAGATGAGTCATATATGGTCCCTACCTTTAAGGAACTCATCATCTAATGGAAGAGAGAGATATATCGACTGCCAACTGCAGGATGCATCCCAATATCATTCTTTCTCAGAGAGACCACACACGGAAGAAATAATGTGGGAAACATGGAAATATACTCAAAAGTCAGACAGAAGGAGGGTTATAGAATTAAAACCTATTAAATAATAATAACATTTAGAAAATACAGAATTGGATATATGGGAATCTTGTTGCAGAAGGAGGGGAAGCAAAGAGTTGGACTGAGGTTAGAGATAATGAGGGAACATGATGTGGCCAATGAGAGAAGCAGGGAGAGTTGTGGAGGAGAAAGTGTAGTGTAGTTGTGGAGGAGAAAGTGTAGTGGGGAGAAAGTGTACTAGACAAAGCAGGCCTCCGCTCCTGAAAGAAGCCAGTGACAGCAGAACACAGAGTCTCCCACCCATATGAACCTCTGGGAGAGCCAGCAGAAACCTCAATCTTTTCCCCAAGGGGTCACAGGACGAGTGGCTACAGGAAAGGCCATGGCCAATGCTTATAGCCTTGCTTACTCTTCCTCATTTTGCCTTCATATGGCCTTGATCTGGCCTATCTAGTGGGGTGATACGTGACAGAAATACCACAAAAAACATGAAATGTATCCTCTGTTTGCTTTAATCCTACAACAGTCTCTGCACTTAGCTAAGAGACATAAGGATGACTTTGTCCCATGGTGGAGTGGCGAGGATACTCCAAACTCCAAAACTGTATATTCTTAATTGTAAGTTCAAAAGCTTTGATCTAAGTGGGAGTTATAAGGATTTGGAATAAAATATTACAGAAGCTGGTTACTTCCTCTTCCTACCAATGCTATAATGTTTTAGTTTGAGTCTGCTGCTGGGATAGGGAGGAGTTATTTAATCTGGCTGAGTTTAAATTTTAAATGACTGAGAAAACACTGAGTAGTGTATCACCCTAGAGAAGTCTGCAGAAATAGAATTCAAGGTAGAAATTAAGTCCAATTTTAGAAAAACAGAGAGAGCAACATTTTTGCGCACAAGAATTTGTGAGTTGGGAAAGTTGCCTCCCCCAAACCTACTTTCATAATTTATAAAGATATTTCCTTTTAAACTAACTTCTGGGGATTTGTGTGTGAAAAAAATTACTGCATTATAGGTGTTAAAAAGTGCTTTAGGAGCCCTGTATGATTTGACTTGAACTTTTCTTTCTATAAATTCTTATTTGCTAAAGCTTAAAGGCCCTCACCAGAGTTATTTTTCTTTGGCTTTGTAATAATTTGCATCTGAATCTTGATTCCTTGCCCTGTGAAACACCGTGATTTGGGGAATTAATGGTGTTCTGAATAATATATTTAGGATGCCCAGGTAGGCTTAAATAGGAATCCTATCTGGATAGTCACACTGGGTTCTCTCCAGGAGGTAGGCATACCTGGGAACTCTTGAGAAGGGTGGACCAACTGTCTGTTTCCATGGGGAATTATCTACATCAACACTCCTGAGAAAGAACTTATCCTAAAGGAAAAGAATACAGATTAACAAGATGTCTCTCTGGACTCACGTCTGAGTCACAAGATTAGGGACTGCAATCAAGAGTGGAAAAAATCTTGAAGAATTGACTCACTAAAGCTTCCGTCAGACATTGACAGCTCAATGGAGCATTGCTTTGCAGCCCCTGTAATGGTAATCATATGAAAGCATTTGCCCCACCCCAGGGTGACCGTGGGAACCTGGAGAAGTTAAGAAATGAATGTAATAGACTGAACTGCAAGCTGTGGCAGTCTGGGTCTGGAAGGAGAAGAAGCTGTAGAAGATATTTTCCTTCAGTAGCTTCTCCACAGCCATGGTGGGAGATGGCAGAAACAGCCAGCATCACTTCTGGGAGGTGGACCACAGAAGAGAAAAAGAAACAACAGACCCAATAGGGTAGGTAAAGGATGCCCTCCTTCACTCAGGAGAAACAGTTCTTTCCTTCTCAGTCTCCTCTGAGAGGAATTTGAAGAGATAGAGTTGGGGGTTGAGAATAGGCTGGAGTGGCTATAGAGTGAGTGGGGACAAAGTCAAGGAACTTCTGTGTGTGTGTGTGTGTGTGTGTGTGTGTGTGTGTGTGTGTGTTTGCATGTCTGTTTATTGTCACTGTAAATCTATTGTTTACCCCTAAGATCTGGCCTGGTTAAACAACAACAACAAAGGTCTGCTTCAGTTTTTGGGAGGACCTTCTAAGTAGATTTCTGAATTAGGCCTCTCTTCAATTGTCTGGGGTCCCTTTCACATGAAGACTTTTCTGAAGTGGTCCTAACTCCATCACTTAAAGTGCTGTTCTAGCTTACAGGTCCACCAACGGAGGACCTAGATGGTTAGTTGTGATTTCTGAGGGGAGTGGTGGTGGTCATTATTGTCATTTTCCAGATGATGGGTAATCAATGTAGACAAAGGCTCTCCCTGGCAAAGTGACAAGAGTATAAGGAATCAGGAGGTGTTAATTAGCCTTTCGTGGCTCAGCTTCTTCATCTGTGAAACTGAGGTGATTCTTACAGTGTAGTGTGCAACAGAATCATCTGCAGAACTAAAAACAAAAAGAGCAGCTACTTGAGCTTCATAAATACCAAGTTAGAATAACTGCAGGTGAATTTCAAAAGAGCTCCATAGGCATGTCCACCCCACTGGTTAAGGACCACTGAACCATATTTTTCTCCAGGTTCCCTTTCACCTTTGAAATGCTATTGTTCCTCATAAATTTGTATATAATGTTTGTGGAAGATTAAATAGGCACAGTACATATTAAAATTTGTGAGACTTTTAACTTTTTTTAAATAGAAATTTATCCCAAAGAAATTAGGTAATGCACACAAACATGTGTAGTCCAGAATAATTATTCTTGATTATGAAAGCAAACCATTGAGACAACACCAACAATTAACAATAAGATCTTATTTATGAGATAAATTGTGGTATATCCCTAAAACAAGTTACAATTAGTCAATGAAAATTTAATTTTAAGAGACTAATTAATGATATGGAAAATGTTCATAATATATTTGTAAAATAAAAGCAAATTAAAAAATATATGCAAGTGTGGTTGTATATGGTTATAAGTGTGTGAAAATTTATGCTGAATGAAAGATGCTAGACACAAAAGAGTATACATGGTGTGACTCCACTTATGTAAAACTCTAAAAATGACAAATCCAATCTATAGTGGAAAAAAGAACAGTGGTTGCCTGAAACAAAGTAGACATTAGAACTGGACACAAGGCAACTTTTCGAAGTGATGGGAATGCTTTTTATTTTGGTCCTGATGGTGGTTACATGGGCATATAATTTGAAAACTTAAAGTGGGTACATTGTATGGTCTGAAAATTATTCTTCAATTAAAAATATATTTTCTTTCAACTATGTAAAAATGAATATCTAGAAAATTTTTTTGTATAAATACCTAAATTCTAAGCTGCTAAAACAAGTAAACTACTGAAACAAAATGAGGTGAACACTATTCCTTCCATTTTTTACAACTATATGTGCCTGTGCTTTTAAAAAAATACTGGACATATGTAAATATAAATACAAATGGTGGTTATTATGTTTGATGGTGGAATTAGAATTTTTATTATACTTTTCTATGGCTTTTTTTCAAAATTTCTAAAATGAACATGTTATAATTTTTACTAGAAGAAAATAATCATTTTTAAATGTCTGTTTAGAAGATGTTAAGCTGAACACAAAAGCACTGGAAGAACAGATGAACCAAGAGTTTCATTGTTAAGTTATTCTTATCTCTAATAAAATGTGACCTTTATTAAAAAGAAAAAAAAAAACCAGCAGCAGCAATAACAACGTGGGCGAAAAGTGACCGGGTGGGAATGTGCACTGGAGTTATTGAGGGAGCCAAATACACATTCAAAGCTCGTGGGCATGTGGGAATGTCTGTTTCCTTTCATTGAGATGGGCGGAATCTTGGCCAGTTGTAGCAGAATCTCTGGCCTATTTTTGTTCAAGAACTAAGGCCTGTTGCCTTCCCCAGCTGGCGCCCCCCTGTTGTCAGCCCACTGTACTCCAACGTTTCCTGGGTCTGTACAGAGCACAGGTCTGTACATCTCATAGCACAGGTCTGTAAATCCTACACCACAGCCAACTGTTCACAGTGCCCTGGGCAATGGGGAAAAAAAGAAAAGAAAAGAAACACCAGCACTAACCAAGGGACATGCCAGAGATAAAGGAAATGACACAGGCAGTTGCTCTGGAATAAATAAGCAGAGGGGAAAAATGTGGCTGGGAACCTCAACAAGGATGCAGGAGAGGAAGTAAACAAGCAAACAAAGCTCAAGGCTGAGATGTCCTGGAACAAAAGCCCAGCACCTAGGGGAGGATAAAAATCTCACCAGGACCACAGGAAATAGAGAACTTCCTTGGTAGAATCAACTTGACAAATATCCTACAGAGCCATCGATTGTGAAGTCCTGGTCAGCTCTCTGGGTCTGTTCGCTCCTGAAGAATGGGGTGGCTTAAATCCAGGTGGCTGCTTAACAGGATAAACTCAGAAGTGTCCAGACCTAGATGCCAAGTCTAGCACTCCCAGTTGTGATGTAGGGGGTACAATTCTCATAGAATACAAAGAAAGGTGTCCCCCTGGGGTGGCATACATGCTAAGGGTCACTTCCTAAACCTCATCCATAAAATGAGGTTAATCATACCTGCCTCAGATTCTGTAGTACAGGTCAATGACATGATTATGGATTACCCAGTTTCTCCGGGGCCCACTAACTTCTCGTCTAATTGAGATTGCAGTAATAGTTTTGTTGTCTTTTTCCCCTTCCTGTTAGGCTTTGTTAGGAGAATACTCAAGTCTGCTTACACTTAAATTTTTGGAGATTTTTCTAATGACTTAACGCTTTAGAATTTTATTTACTCTTCCCTCCTTTCCTAGAATCCAGACACGGCCTCATCAGATAAGACTAGAAACAGCTCCAGGTCAAAGACAACTCCTCTGTAGTTAGAATTATCACTTCCCTTCAGCCCCGATACTTGATTATCAGATCAAAACTCTGGTGTCCGACTCATCTTTCCTTAGAAGGAGTTCTTGGCTAAGAAACTTCTCAGCCTCTCATGTAAATGGGTTTCTGTTGGACACAAATTTTGGCTATAGGTGCAAGTTTGTTGAACAGTGCCTGCCTATTTCATACTAAGCTCTCAGGAAAAGGAAAAGTAGATCTCACTGTCCACTTGGAAATGATGGTCATGTGAATGAAAGACCAGGGTGAATGCTCTCTTCCCACAGACCAATCATCTTTTCAGATGTTTGAACCTACAAGGATCCTGAGAGATTTTAAGGGATGAGGGACTAAAAGAAAAGGATGCATTTTGTTTTTGTTTAGGTTTTTTTTTCAACACTTAGTTAATAGTCAAATAGGGGCTCTCAGATTTCTTAGCATATTTCAACTATTTCCACCCAGAACTAGCCTCTAGTTAAAATACGTTATTAAGCACTGATTTTATGGGAAGAGAATACTTAGAAAGTTTAAATTATTTTTAAATTATGGTTCTTAACAAACCCAGTAAGGAGGCATGCACTTAAACCTATTGGGAGGTAATATAGGTAAAAATCTAACATTTTATTGCTCCCCAATTAACTTTGAGAATAATACCCCATCTTACATAATCATCTAATTTTCAAATTGCAGAGATATCCAGCTGTGTCCAGTCCCTGTAAAGTCCCTCCAGCCCAGTACTGTGAGTTCCCGAAGAGCAGCCATGAGATTGTTCAGGTTATGGCTCTGCCCATCCCAATGTCCAGCCCAAAGCAAGTGTTCAATAAATGCCATTATTCAATCATCCCTGCTTCTTTTGCGGAGCTTGGAAGTGAGTATGTTGGATGGGGCAGGGATAGCCTTTCCCAGATGTCTCTGCCTGCTCCAGAGAAGCCTAATATAGAGAGAAATCCAAGATACTTTCAAAAGGGCAAAGAGTTGTAAAATCTTTAGATGTGCAGAGCTGCAGAAAATCTGAATTACTTCTGGCTGTAATATAAGGTAAAATAACAATTGTCATGCAATGTCAACGAAGTAGAAAAATGGCCAGAAATGGAGAAAAATAAGGTTCACATGCAAGGGCCAGAGGCATTCAAAGAAGTGATGCAAAATACTGCAATTTACACAGAAGAAGAGTTTAGAATTGACAGTCATGAGATGGAAAGATTGGTCCAACACGAATTCTAAAAGGATGTAGAATTCTTAGTCATCT
This sequence comes from Homo sapiens, assembly GCF_000001405.40. Lineage (NCBI taxonomy): Eukaryota > Metazoa > Chordata > Mammalia > Primates > Hominidae > Homo > Homo sapiens. Next base: position 103,798,676 of record NC_000011.10, on the reverse strand, counting down.
CAAGATGGCAGTCAGTAACATGCTGCTGCTGCTGTTTTTTTAAATGTAATATGACACTCACCTATATTTACAGGATCAGTGACCCCAGAAGAAATGCTTCCAATGCACTTAGAAATAATTATATATTTATTGAAGGCTCGCATTCTGTTTGTGGATGAGCATCTAAGCAAAGTGAGAAAGAGCTGTCCAGTCGCAAACACACACACACACACACACACACACACACACACACACACACACACAGATACAGATTTAGAACAACAAATCTAAGACTAGAACTGATAGGGAGTTTCTATTGTTCTGCCCAGGAAAGTGATGGCTGAGAGATGATTTAATATGTTTCTCCAGTCTATAAAGGGTCACTATCTGGTGGTTTATGACCATCTGTTCTTTACTTTCCCCAAGGATGGAAAGGAGGAAATGAGCTTAAACTTTAAGAAAATAAATTTAGGCTAGACCAAAGGGACTGCCAGACTGAGGTCTGTGTAATGTTGCAAACCCGTGGTTGTGGCATTTCCTCCTCTGACCTCAACTGGGACAGACAGATATTTACCCATCTGGATGAATTCTACATAGTCCAGCTGTGATAAATCCTTGAATCTTCTCAGACTTTTAAAAATGACTGAATGTCACTTTGATATAACTTATTCCATTCTGCCTTAAAGCTTTGATTTTGCTGGAAATCCTTTTCTATATCCTGAGTAAAGAGTTATCTGTTGATGCTACTGACCCACCAGTAATGGTAATGAACTGTTCATTGATGTACTGCTAAGATGTGAGCTCATTCATTCACATCTTTTTGCCCTGTTGCCCGAATATCATACAGTGCTGATTCTACAATAAAATTGAAAGCATCCTCTTGCTGGAATCTTTCCATACCTTGAGGCCTGAATAAAACCCAAAGGTCTTAGCAGAGAGTACTAGGCTTTCTGCGAGCTGGCTCAGTTTATCTGCTGACATTCATGTCCTGCCTTTCTTCCTCGCTCAGGTAACAGATATGTAGGGCCATCACTTCCAAGTATACATGGCACCTCACCACCCTATGCCTTTTCAAATGCATTCCCTCTCCTCAGAATTCTGTTACCTCCCTTGCCCATGTGGTAGACTAGAAATTTTTTAGTTCTTCACTCAAATGTTTCAGCATTTCTGAAAGGTTTTCTGTCTTTCCTGGGGAAACATACATGTTCCTTCTCCCATAAAACCACAGTTCCTTGAGTACTTATGCATCCACAGAGAATTTAACATGTCTTATTGTGGCCTTGAAGTATGTCTTTCCATGAAGCTATAGTAGACTTGAAAGCAAAAATAGAGATCATTTTTCATCTCCTATAGCCAGTTACCCAATAAATATTTCCATCAATGACAGAGTTAATATACTCTGAAGTGTCTTTCTTGCCTCTCTGCTCCTGCTCTGTTGGTGAGTTTACCTGCCAAACTCTACTGCCCAACTCCTCCCCTGCCCAATATTATATAGAAATCTGAAATAATAAGAAGAATGAATAAATGAATGGTATGTAAACTATTGTAAAATTGCTCTCTAGCATTAAAAGTAGCAAATTGTTACCATAGGTAAAAACTAAACTTTTAGCCATAGTAACAGAAAAAATACCTTGATGATTGCTTTAATTCTATTTCTATTTGTAGATTTTCTATTTGATGATTGCTTTACTTTTATTTCTATTTGGTTCTAGTTCAAAACTAATTAATGGTTTACATTACATAGTATGTTTGGATTAATAGTGTTAACAAATGAATATCTGCTGATGATAGAAACTGGTATGTACATTTGTAATGTTTTCCTGCCCTTTGTTGACATAACTGATAGCCCAGCTTCACCCAACTCTCTATATATACTCAAACATAATAATCTTCTGTGGAAACTAAAAGATGTGTATTAGTACCAGTGAAGCAGCCCTTTCTGAAGCGCTTTTTGGAAGCAAAGAGAAAAGTGACTCCATTCAGTAAAATAAAAATAAAATGTTCAATGCTACCTCTATTTTAATTCAACTTACTTTAATTACATCAGTATGCAATCTCCATTATATAGAACTCTCAGTCCTGGATGCCTGGGAAAATATAATGGCAAATTTATAAGAAGCTTGCAATCTAGAATGAAGGAGAAGACATCCACACAAATAAGTGTAATAAGATGGAATTTACAATTGGAGAGGAATTGAGAGAGTGTGGCAGGGGTCCAGTGGAGGATAGGCAGAGGTTTCATGGAGGGCCTGGCCTTTAAAACTGGTTTCTGAGGCTGGAATCGATTTCCACAGGAGAAGTTGGGCAGTGGAGTTCGGCAGGTTAATTCACACACAGAGCAGGGGCAAAGAGGACAAGAAAGACACAGGAGAGTATGTTTTTAGGAAAGCCAGGATTGCAGTCTGACAGATGGCTAGGGTACGTATAGTTCAGCCTGAAGAAAAGATAAGCTAGAGTATTGATCAGGAGGATGAGGACCATGTGCTTAACTCTGTCACTGATGGAGAGATGCTGAAGGTATTGATTAGGAGAGTGTTCAGCAGCATGTGGATGTCCTGAAATAGGAGAAAAGATGTTGAAGATACTGCTTACTGCAACCTTTGGGAGAGGCAACAAGCACCTAGATGGTAGGAGGGAGTGGTGGGAATGATAATGAGGAAATCAAGTCAAGGTGTTTTGTAAAGAAAACATGTCATCTGCAGGATTTGGCAACTGATTGGATAAAATGTGAAAAAGAACGAAGAGTAAGAACCAAGAAGAATCTGAGGTTTCTATCTGGATTCTAGGGAGAAAGGTGCCACAAATTAAACAGCATGGAAACCAGAGGTGAAGAGAGAATCATTGAGGTTTAGGTACACGAGTCAAGTGCAAATGAAACATACACATGGAACACATTTCTAAGGATGGGCCTCTCCGGGAGCCCAGGAAGGAGGTTTCGAATAGAAATCTGAGAATCATCTCATAAACATGAATCCCAAAGTACAGATTTTCCTTTCACTTATATGATCTGTTGGAGGACCCTGCATCTTGTGGGAGGCACAAGTTATTTCTCTTTTGTTGACTGTGAACTAGGTCAACATTTTCAGCCCTATAAGATATGTATTATGGGCATTAAAGGAAATACACTTATGAAGGCTTTAAAATATATTAAATGCTCTGTAAATGCAAAATGTAAAGTGAAAATTATAGCTGTGTTCTGATCATGAGCAAGTAGGAAACAGTAGCCTACAGGATACAATGCAAGCTAAAAAGAGAAGGAATTATCCACAGTGGTGTGTATGCACCTGTGTGTGCGTGAGAGCGAGGGAGACAGAAAAAGAGGGAATGGGAATTTGTTTTCAGTACTCAAGGTGAAAGCATATCAATTTTCCTTCAATTCTGAGGATTGGGAAAAGTTCATATTTTCTGAAGGTTTACTTTCATATGCTATCGTCGTTGTAATTTGACACCTACAAAATAGTGTTCAGATGTACACAATAAACTTGCTCTTTTGAAAAGCTGGTTTTTTTTTTTTCGTTTTCTTCTTTCTAGTAGCTCTTCAGCTTGACATAAGACTTAATACCCAGGTGAGAAATGATAAAGAACATCTTACAAACTAAAGAAACTCAAGAAAAAGACTTTTATTCCTATTATTTGTCCTCTGCTCTTCCGGGTATTTTTTATTTTTTCCAATTCTAAAAGTCTCAAGGTTAACATCCTTTCATAAACCAGAGCAGAATCGTGGCTATATTCAGTGTTATTCAGATCTTTATGTTGCTTTTCACCATCATTGTATAAGATATGTGTATCATATATTTCCTTTAACTACCAACAAGATGTTGCTTTACTTACCCCTAGAAATTGATCTGCCTTTCATTAATTTAAATTTAATTACCATGTTAATTATTATAACTTTAAAAATACTTTTCTATATACAAACTATGAAAGTCTCTTGGCCATGAACCTTTCTTATAGGCTTTAACAAAAAAAAAACCTGTGTTGTAGTAGAGGTGCCTTGCTGGCACTTTTAACATGATCTTCTATTTATGATTATGTACCTTTAATGGATTAAACAGATACTTCATCAATGAAGACAATTCATTTAACAATTTCTCATGTGAATAGGATCACTTGGCCTTGTAAATATTTCTTGCACTGCTGTGAAAGCCACGCAGATTGTGAAATTTTCCCTAAGTATGTGATAATAAAAATGATGGCAATGGTGATTAGTCTGGAAGCAATTTTAAAATGTCTGATAACAATTCTCCAGTGACTTTGAATGACCCAGAATGAATTTCCAGTTCTCACACTCGACTTAAGAACACTGTTCTAGCACTGTCATCTGGACAACCCACAATCTTTCCAAAACCACAACTATCAGCAAAACAACCACTGTACTCCTTTTCTCTAAAAACACAACCTCTTTTCTGGCTCAAATAATTTTTCTTAAGTTTAAATATTATATCATTATTACTTATAATTTCTTCAGAATATCTGATAATTATATCACAATACAACATTGAAAATAAAAAGCCAAAAAAAATGAGGTAAAGGATTCCTAAATAAAATGACTGGTTGCTTTTTCCTCGGTGTTAGGTAAAGTTATGTCCAAATATAATCACAACGCTACCCTGGACAATTTCATCTTATGATATCTGGCATGGCCCCTTAAATTTAAGACAATGGATAGTTGGGTAGGAAACACAATGGAGAAACATCTCAAAGTCACTTGAAATTCCCAGGGTTTATTTTTGCTGGAGGGAAGAAAATGTAGTAGACTACTTACTATGTAATCATTGGGCCATACAGAGGGCTTGCCAACAACATCTATGTTATTATAAGGATGAAAACTTTTTTTTTTTTTTTGGCTGGGCATAGTGGCTCATTCCTGTAATCCCAGCACTTTGGGAAGCCAAGGCAAATTACTTGAGGTCAGGAGTTCAAGACCAGCCTTCCCAACATAGTGAAACCCCATCTCTACTAAAAATACAAAAATTAGCCAGCCATGGTGGCAGGCGCCTGTAGTCCCAGCTATTCGGGAGGCTGAGGCAGGAGAATCGTTTGAACCCTGGAGGTGGAGGCTGCAGTGAGCTGAGATCGTGCCCCTGCACTCTAGCCTGGGCGATAGAGCAAGACTCTGTGTCAAAAAGAAAAAAAAAAAAAAGAAAACCTTTTTAAATTAAACCTTTTATTTTGAGATCATTGTAGATTCACATGCAATTGTAAGAAGTAATACAGTAATATGGAAAAATTCCATGTGCTCTTGACCTGGTGTTGCCCAGTGGTAACTTATTGCAAAAGTAGAGTACAATAGCACAACCAGGGTTTCAACCCTGAAAAGGTCAAGGTGCAGAGCATTTTCATCATTTTGGACTCATTTTTCCTTTTCATAGCCACACCCACTCCCTCCTCCCCACTTTCACTATCTCCTAAACCCTAACCACTAAACTCTTCTCCATATCTATAATTTTGTCATTTCCAGACTGTTATATAAACAGAATTACACAATATGTAACCTTTTGAGTTTGACTTTTTTTTCACTCCACACAATTCTCTAGAGGTTGTTATGTGTACCAATGATTCACTGCTTTTTATTATTAAGTAATATTCTATCATATGGACATACCACACTTTGTTTAACCATTTACCCACTGAAAGACATGTGAGGTTGTTTCCAGTATGGGACTACTATGAGTAATGCTTCTATAAACATTCATGCACAAGTTTTTGTGTGAACGTAATTCTTCATTTCTTGGAGATAAATGCCCAGAAGTGAACTTGTTGGGTTATATGGTATTTGCAGATTTCGTTTGTTAAGAAATGCCAAACTCTTCCAGAGTGCTTGTGCCATTTGACATCCACACTATCAATGTATGAGTGGTCCAGTGTCTCTGTATCCTCACCAGCATTTAGTGTTGTCACTAGATTTTTAATTTTTTTTATGTTAGCCCTCCTGATAGATGTGAATTGATATCTCATTGTTATTTTAGTTTCAACCCTCTGATGACTAATGATATTCTACATCTTTTCATGTGCTTATTTGCCATCTGTATATGCATTCTGGTGAAGCGTCTCTTCATTGCTTTCATCTGTTTTCAAATTGTATTGTTTGTTCCTTCAGTGGTTGAGTTCAAAGAGTTCCTTATATTTGAGACGTGAGTCCTTGTTGGATACGAAGTTTTCAAATATTTCTCTGTAGCTTGCCTTCTTATACTCTTAGCAGTGTCTCACAGGGCAAGAGTTTTTAACTTTGATAAAAGTATAATTTATTCATTTTTTTCTTTTATGGGTCATGCTTTTGGTGTCAAGTCTAATTATTTGACTAGCCCTAGATTCCAAAGATTTTCTCCTATATTTTCTTCTAAAAATTTTATAGTTTTATATTTTACAGTTAATTTCATGCTCAATTTTGAGTAATTTTTTTATGCACTTAAGTTGAGGTGGTTTTTTTGAGGTTTGAGGGTTTGTTGGGTTTTTCGTTTGTTTGTTTGTTTTGTGTGTGCGTGTGTTTTTGTTTTTTGCCTATGGAAGTTTAATTGCTCAAGTACCATTTATTGATAAGGCTATCTTTCCTCCAGTCAATTGCTTTACCACTTTTGTCAAAAAAATAGTTGGAAAGATTGAGTAGGTTTATTTCTGGATTCCTTGCTCTGATCCATTGATCTATGTTTATCTTTCTGCCAATATCGTGCAGTTTTGATTACTGTAGCTATAAGAAACGTCTTAAAATCAGGTAGACTAATTCATCCCACTTTCTTCTTAATCATTTTTTTTAAACTATTCCAGCTCTTTTGGTTTTTTGCATAAGTTTTAAAATAATCTTGTTTATACCTATAAAAAGTCTTGCAGGGAATTTGAGGGGAACTATGTTAAATCTGTAAACCAAGTCAGGAAAAGTCAACATTTTTATTATGTTGGGTCTTTCAATCCAGCAGCATTGTATGTTTGCCTACTTTATAGGTCTTCTGTAATTTTTTTCATCAGTACTTTCCAGTTTTCAGTGTAAATGTCCTGTGCATGTTTTCTCCAAATACACACTAAAGTATTTCATTTTTTGAACAATTGTAAATGTTACTTTTTTAACATTTTGGTGTCCATGTGTTAATTTCTAGTATATAGAATTACATTTGATTCTGTATATTGATCTATAGTGCAACCTTGCTTTATTCACTAACTAGTTCTTGAGTTTTTTTTAATACACTCTTTGAGATTTTTTTATATAGATGATAGTATCATCTACAAATAGAAGCAGTTTATTTCTTCCCCTTTGATTTGCATGCCTTTAATTTCCTTGTCTTGCCTTATTGCATTGGCTAGAACTTCTAGCATTATGTTGAATAAGAGTGGTAAGAGCTACATCCTTGCTTTGTTCCTGATCTTAGGAGGAAGGCATTCAGTTTTGCACCATTATGTATAATGTTAACTGAGGAGTTTTATATTTGCTCATTATCAAGCTGAGTAAGTTTTCCTTTATTTCTATTTTTCTAAGAGTTTTTATCATAAATGGGTGTTGAATTTTGTTGAAATGTTTTTCTGAATCCATTTATATAATTATGTGAGTTTTTTTCTTTAGCCTGCTAATATAGTGGATTACATAGGTTGATTTTTTCAAATGTTGAACCAGCCTTTCATCCTTGGAATCAACCCCATTTGGTCATGGTATATAATTGTTTTTGTATATTGCTGAATTCTGTTTGCTAATATTTTGTCAAGGATTTCAACACATCCATATACATGCAAAATATTCATCCCTGGTTTTCTTTCATTTTTATCTGGCTTCTTTTTGGTGTTTTTATCTGGTTTTGCTATCAGAGTAAAGATAGTTTCATAAAATGAATTGAGAAGTGTTCCTTCCTTTTATGTTTTGTAAAAGAGATTGTGTAGAATATAGAAAGGAAGCTTTTTGGTGATGTCTTGAAGAAATTGTTTGGAAGTATTTCACCATTGTTTTTGACACTGAGGATGGTATCCTTATAGCCACAAAATATAATGTAAAGAATAACAGAAGACACAATGGTGGTGTTGGGACTATCCCTTTTGGTGTTCCCCCACCCACACAAGGAGACATCTTTTTATAATGTACATCAAATGCACAATTTTTTGTTTTCCTTTCCTGTATCAAAGACGAGTGTGTTGTTCTTTCATGTGAGAAAAAATGAAAGTAGAAAGTGTTTAGCATTTTCTTTGTCTCACCTCCCCGAGTTCCCACTTATTGTTCAGGCTCCGTGAACGAATCCCATCGGACACTCAATTCACCCAAATGAAGTTTGCACAAAATGATGCCTCAGTACTCAGGCTTTGGGATGCTAATGTCTGAGTGACGTGCAGCCTTGAGTTTTTTTTCCTGCTCCAAATTTGCACTGGTGTGTGTGTGTGTGTGTGTGTAGAAGTGAGGGTTTTTAAAAAAAAAAAAATCCTAGGTTCCTCTAATTTGCATGAGATGTGATATTGTCAAATAGTTTCTTGGGCCTTTAATTATTCTCTTATTTGCCTGGGTTGGGCTCTTTCTACCCAGTGTCAGCAGTATCCCTTCTCACTTTCCTGTAGGGAAAAAATTATTCTTGGAGCCTTTTCATCTGCAATTACCCAAGCCTGCCAAGAAATGGCTTTTAGCAGACTGCAACAGAATCTCTGAATACAAATAAATTCAAGGACTTATCAAAAAGCATTCAAGTCATAGACCAGTTTCCATTTGAGAAGAAAAATAGCAATTAATGGAGAGTCTGAGTTCAAAATTCACTTGATGAGAGAATTATTTTTATATGTATGTATAAGCAGGGGATAACTACATTATATAAGCTGGGTTTTTCATTTTTTTCATGAAACAAAAGAAAATGAGAATAATAGTCTGCTTCTCCAAACATGAAAATAAAACAGTAAAAACAGAAAAATATATTTCCTTAAATTTTCTCTTTGTCCATGGTGTTTAAACTATGTCTATAATGTTGCCTTTACATTAAATGTTAATCTCCAGAGATGGTATCATTTTTATTGACTTTGACTCAGCATCCAAGTACAAATTATATGCCTCTGAATTTCTAACACACTGTTGAATAGCATCTCACTTTTATATAGGATATATGCCCAGCACTGAGAACTTATGAAAAGCACAAGTAATAATCTAGAAGGATGCCAAATGGGTCTCTGAAACAACCAACAAGATGTCTCAGTGCATCTGTTCTAGAGCAGTGGTGCTCACCATTTTCAAGCTAATCCAAAAATTAGTTGCAGACCTCCTAGAGATGGTTTGTAGTTAGCATTTGGCTTCCAAGAAACCACAAAGTGCTTACTATGGAAACTGCAAAGTATTCTAAGTGTTACACAAATCTTAATTTATGTTAACTTCACCAATGCTCCAAGAGGTTAGTGAAGATAAAATAAGTTTATCTTTACTATTGTTGAATTCATCTTACATATGAGAAAACTGAGAGGCAGAGAGATTGGGTAACTTAAGCAAGACCACCCAGCTAGAAAGTGACAGAGCCAGGGTTTGAACCCAGGCAGTCCTGGGCTCCAGAGTCTCTGTACTTAACCACATTGCTAAACTGTGTTTTCTTCCACAATAAATAAAACAGATTACAAATTCTTTCACACATTTAAATCAGTTGGTATCTTTAAATACACACATTTATAGTAATCTATGTATTGGAAAATATATATATATGTATATAATGTGTATAGTTTCATAGCTCTAATAATTCTGCCTTCCCCAACAGTGGCTGAAAACCAGTTCTCTAAAGATTAGAAATGTTCCTTTCAGGAGACTCTCTTAAACCTAATGCAGCACTTAGATACTTCACATTTAGACACGATTCTAATAAGCTTGACCACTTGGCTTTCAACCCCATAGCAGATTAGAAGCAGAATATATGAGTGAGTAAGGGTTTTGAATTAGAATGCATTAGTTCAAACCCTGGCACTGCCATTTTTTACCTAGCTTACATTACGTAAGTTAGTTAAATTACCTAAATCTCTGATTTCTTACATATCAATGGGCCATAATATGCCTACTCCCTGTATTACAAGGATTAAATGAGATAATGCATGTAAAGCACATTGGTAACATGCTGAATCCCCAATGATGACGGCTGGCAGTTGTCGTATAGGTAGTATGACAGCAGTAGTAATCGCAGGAATGGTAAAAAAATGTAACAGGGATTATTAATAGCCTGATAGCCTGATAGTCAAATAGCAAGATCAATGATTTTTTTTTTAACTTGGAAATATTCTTCTTCAGAATTCACACAGCTTTGGAAAATGTTTGTAAAGATTTTTTTTATTTTTAATAGATGGGGGTCTTGCTATGTTGCCCAAGCTGGTCTTGAACTCCTGGGGTGAAGTGATCTGCCTACCTCAGCCTCCCGAAGTGCTGGGATTATAGGGGAAGTCACCACGCCTGGCTGGTTAAAGAATTTTTAATAGTACCATTCTACAAACTGTTAAACAGAAATTTTTGAGGGGTTTTTGGATCCGTTTTTGATAAAGGATGTAGAAAATAGAAAAGAAATTCCTGTCACTGCTCCCAAACACAGAGAAAAAGTGTACTTTTCTCACATTCCCTGTCTGCTAGAGTGGCTGTTGTATCCACTGTCTGCAGTTTCTTCACATTATCCCCTCAGGTGGCATGTCAGACAATTTCTTTTGTAATTTCTCAAGATGAATATTTGGAATGCCAATCAAGACCATATATAAAGGACAGAGGATCATATCAGATTATTCTGTAAGCCAAAAACTAAATATCTAGTATTATTTATTACCAATCAAAAATATATTTGCAGAGAAGATATACTTGCAGGAATTATTCAAATATAAGATCTCAGTTGAGTTAAGAATGGAATCATTGCTATTCAGACACATCAATCGTTTTCAATGATATAGTTCCTTTAAAAATCCCCTCATCTTCATGACTATGTAAAATACATGCATTTTAGAAACAATCTTTATTAATGAGCCATAAATATAGTCTCCTCAGTGCTCCTGCAGCATTTGATAAGACAGTCTAGTGAAGAAAGATTCATACCTATGAATAGGCTTTCTAAAACCCTCATTATAGATGTTTTGTGATTAAATCTTGATAACTCCACCATTTATGAGAGCTGTATCAGCATGCCTATAAGCTGCTTCTGTATCCTGCTTCCTTTTCCAGTCAATCACTGACATGATTGTTAAAAAGGAAGCTGCAGAACTGAGCTTAAGGTGGAGAGCCAAACAATCCCACATATTAGGATAATGTGATTTTATTTAAAAAATTGTTTAATAGGAGAGTAAAGGACAGAATTCTGCAGCTAAAGACCAGGTGCTTATCAAAATGAAAAGGATTATCTTCAATTCTGATAAGTGACTGGCTTTTCTTCTCGCTAGTGAGGAAATCATAAACCCTTTTCTTCCCAGACCAGGTGGAAAAGTGCATTCCTCAGGTTTGGAAGAAGAAAAGTTGCTTCATTCTCAGGCTTTTTGTTTGTGCCTTAGAAGATAAAGCTTAATTTTTATACACAAACGCAAGAATTCCTCTCTCCTCATTCCTTACTGTGCATGCTTCCCTTGAACTTCAGGTCAGTATCAGCTTCCTATTGGGCCAGTTGATGGCCTGTATCTAATGAATGTGAAGGATATCACTGAAGCACTAGGATTCTATTGGGAGGACTGCTGGGCTGAGTCGAACAATTTGGGCTGTAACCATGTCCACCATATACTTGCTGTTTGGTGTTGGCAGTCTCATAAATATGAAGAATATTGAATAATATGGCCGCTATTGTGGCTAGTAAGGATAGTATAGACAGAAGAGATCATGGAGCTGACAATCTATAAAAGTTTCATGAAGAAATAAAAATTTGAGCTGAATCTGTAGCTTATGTGCAACTTAAAGTCACAATTGTGAGAATTTATATTCAGTGAGAATATTTTGAAATAAAAGGCTCATGATAAGAAAAAGGCTTAGAGAAAAAGATAAATGATCAGGAAATAATTATGAGTCAAATACAAGCATAATTCATTTTATTGCACCTGCTTTATTGTGCTTTTTCACAAATTGAAGGTTTCTGGCAACCCCATGTAGAGCAAGTCTATTGGTGCCATTTTTCCAACAGCCTGTGCTCACTTTGTGTCTCAGTATCACATTTTGGTAATTCTCACAATATTTCGAACTGTTTCATTATTATTATATATGTTATGGAGACCTGTAACTGGTGGTCTTTGAAGTCACTATTGAAATTATTTGGGGCACCATAAACCATGCCCATGTAAGACAGCAAACTTAATTGATAAATGTGTATGTGCTGACTGTTCCACCAACTGGTCACTCTCCCATCTCTCTCCCTCTCCTCTGGCTTTCCTATTCCGTGAGACACAACATCATTAAAATAGACCAATTAATAACCCTATGATGGCCTCTAAGTGTTCAAGTGAAAGGGGGAGACTCACATGTCTCACCTTTAAGTCAAAAGCTAGAAATAATTAAGCTCAGTGAGGAAGGCATGTTGAGAGCTAAACAGGCCAAAATCAAGACTTTTTGTACCAAACAGCCAAGTTATGAATTCAAAGGAAAAGTTCTTGAAGAAAATTAGAAGTGTTACTCCAGTAAACACATGAATAATAAGAAAGCAAAACAGCCTTATTGCTGATATGGAGAAAGTTTGAGCGTTCTGGATGGAAGTTCAAACAAACCACAATATTCTCTTAAGTCAAAACCTAATCTACATCAAGGCCCTAACTCTCTTCAATTCTGTGAAGCCTTAGAGAGATGAGGAAGCTACAGAAGAAAAGCTTGAAACTAGCAGAGGTAGGTCATGAGGTTCAAGAAAGAAGTCATCTCCATGACGTAAGAGTACAAGATGAAGCAACATGTGCTGATGTAGAAGCTGCAGCAAGTTATCCAGAAGATCTAGCTAAGATCATTGATGAAGGTGGATACGCTAAAAAACAGATTTTCAATGTAGCTAAAATGGCCTTCTATTGAAAGAAGATGCCATCTAGTATTTTCATAGCTAGAGAGAAATTAATTCCTGGCTTCAAAGCTTCAAAGGACAAACTGACTCTTTTGTTAGGGGTTAATGTAGCTGTTGATTTTAAGTTGACACCAATGCTCAACTTAAAGGGGATTTAAAAATTCTAAGATCCCTAAAAGGGGATTTAAAAATCCCAAGATGCATAAAAATTATGCTATATCTACTCTGCCTGTGTTCTAGAAATAGAACAAGAAAGACTGAATGATGGCACATCTGTTTACAGTATGGTTAACTGAATATTTTAAACCCACTGTTGAGACCCACCACTCAGAAAAAAAAGATACCTTTAAAATTCCTAAGATCACTTAAAGGGGATTTAAAAAATCCTAAAATCCCTAAAAATTATGCTATATCTACTCTACCTGTGTTCTAGAAATAGAAAAACAAAGGCTGAATGATGGCATATCTGTTTACAGTATGGTTAACTGAATATTTTAAGCCCACTGTTGAGACCCACTGCTCAGAAAAAAAAAAGATTCCTTTAAAAATATTTCTGCTCATCTACAATGCATCTAGTCATACAAAGAGCTCCAATGAAGATGTACAAAGATATGAATATTATCTGTATGCCTGCTAACATAATATCCATTCTGTAGCTTGTGGATCAAGCAGTAATATTGACTTTCAAGTTTTATTATTTAAGGAATACATTTTGTTAAACTATAGCTGCCACAGATAATGATTCTTCTGATGGACCTAAGCAAAGTAAATTAAAAACCTCTAAAAATATTTTATCATTCTAGATGCCATTAAGAATATTTAATTCATGGGAGGAGGTCAAAATATCAACATTAGCTGGATTTTGGAAAAAGTGGATTCCAACCCTCAGTGGACGACTTTGTGGAATTCAAGACTCCAATAGAGGAAGTCACCACAAATAGCAAAAGAACAAGAATTACCTGTGCAGCCTGAAGACGGGACTGAATTGCTGCAATTGTAACATCAAATGTTAAATCTGAACCAGACCATGTCCTGAAACAAAAGAGGAAGAATCTTTGGGGAGCTGTGCTGATGGTTTTGGATTTCTCCAAAGGAAGAATGCTTTGCCTGAGTCTTGTATCCTTGGAATTATTAGGAATGTTTGCCATTAAATAAGATCTGATTCATGTGAGTTTGAGTTGACAGCTCTACCCTATGTGTTATCTCAGAACTCTATACAGCAAACTATAGAATATTGTTGAGATAAATTAAATGAAACCTTTCCAAATGGAAAGATATATATCATTTTATAGATTGGAAAACTTAATACTAAAAAGTGATAGATTCAATACAATGGAATCTATTGTTTCTAAAATGTGCATTTGTGTTAGTTTATGTATGTATATAAAAATTGAAAAGCTAATTTTAAAAATACACATGAAAATAAAAGGGCCAAGAAGAACTGAGACATTCTTGTGGAAGATGTCAATTCTTGCTGTACAGATGCTAAGATTACTATAAGGCTTTAGTCATTAAGGCAGAGTGGTATTCCCTCAAAAATTGACACACCACTGAAACAGAATTGAAGGACAAAAAAGCCTCTACATAATTATAGACACTTAATTTATGATAACCATGTCACTGAAGTTCACATAGGACAGTTATTTCAATAAATATTATTGAGACTGTGCAAGTAAATAGATAAATTGGTATATAGGCAGACTCCTGTCCCACACAATCCATCAAAATCAGCTCATCTTAAATGGGTTATAAAAAGATGTATACATTGCACTGACCATATTATGATTAGGAACTTCTATTTGTTTAAAAAATGTGATTATGAGAGTAAGAGCAAGCTACAGATTGGCAGAAAACATGTGCATCTTAATGAACAACAAAGGGCTCATGCCGAGAATATATAAAGAAAAACAAACCATTCAGAAACAGACATCCCTATGAAAAAGTGGGCAAGAGAACTGAAGAGGCACTTCACAAAAGAAGATATCTAAATGGCCAATAACCATATGAAAAGGTACTGAACCCTTGTAGTAATCAGAAAACAATGCATATTAAAGCCATAACACGGTATTACTGCATAACATCAGAATGGCTAAAATGAAAAAGACTGACAATACCAAGAGCTGGAAAAAATGTGGAACAACTAGTACTCTCCAGTACTTAATGTGGAAGCATAAGTTTTTACAACTGCTCATGAAAATAATTTGATGTTATCTACTAATGTTGAATATCCTCATACCCTATGGCCTAGTAGTTCCACTCCTAGATATAATCCCAATAGAACAGTTTGTATGCATCAGAGTGTATATACAAGAATGTGTACAGCAACATTAGTTGGAATAGCCCCAAACTGAAAACAATGCAAATGCCCGTATATAATAGAATTAATGAATTGTGATAATACAACAGAATATCACAGAGCAATGATAGTGAATGTATTACTGTTACCTGCATGGATGGAACTCACCAAAATGATGAATGAAGAAACACACAGAAGAATACATACTGTATGATTCCATTTATATAAAGTTCCAAAATAGGTAAAACTAAAGTGTATGGGGGTGAATAATTGCATGGTAATTTACAAAGAAAACCTATGAGCCAAGTAAAGAGAATGAGGGGAAGAAAAGGAGTCACAATTCCCAAGAAGTGCTGGGGGAAAAGGGTGAGGGTCTAGGTTGACAATGCTCTATTTCTTGCTTGGATGGTGGTTATGTAAATATGCCCTATATAGTAATTCATTAATCTGTACATTCATTTTTAATGCAATTTCTTTATAATAATATGCCACCAATACTGTTTAAAAATTTGTTTTTAAGTTTGTGAAGAGCCCAGACAGTATATCAGCATCATTTTCTCCAGCTAGAAAAACATTTTGGAGAAATTCTGCTTAATATAAAGCAGGAATTCTCAAAGTTGTCACAACTGACATTTGGGGCTGAATAAGTCTTTGTTGTCAGGGGCTGTCCTATACACTGCAGTATGTTTAACATCAGCCCAGTTAAGAACCACTAAGATAAAGGAATTGACCTTTGGAGACGTTGCTTTTTGTGCTCTGGTTACATATTTTTTAGAGTTGTTTTCATGAAGTATTATTTTTCTTTTTTGGAGTTTTCTATTGCTTTACTTTTAGCATTCTGTTTCAGTTTTCTCTGGTAATTTATTATAAAATCCCCCGGGATAAATTTCTCTTTAATTTATTCTCTTGATATATGAACGCATGTGAATGTAGAGAAGCAGTGAAATTTCTCTTACAATTATTGTACATTTTATGTTGCAAAGTGTGGTAACATTGTTTAAGTGTTAAGATATTTTAAAATAGAAAGCAGTTATATTGTGAATCAGCTGATTTTACAGAGAATCTAATCCCAGGCAGATTATAAAGAAACCTCAGGGATTTACCCACCACTAATTCTGATAAGAAGTCCAGATCCAGGCAGGGCGCGGTGGCTCACGACTGTAATCCCAGCACTTTGGGAGACCCAGGCAGGAGGATCACCTGAGGTCGGCAGTTCAAGATCAGCCTAGCTAACATGGTGAAACCCTGTCTCTACTAAATATACAAAATTAGCTGGGTGTGGTGGCACATGCCTGTAATCCCAGCTACTCAGGAGGCTAAGGCAGGAGAATTGCATGAACCCGGGAGGTGGAGGTTGCAGTGAGCCGGGATGGCTCCACTGCACTCCAGCCTAGGCAACGGAGTGAGACTCTGTATCAAAAAAAAAAAAAAAGAAAAAAAATAAATCCAGATCCACAACAGACTCTCCCATGCCATTCCCTCCCCTAGCTTCCTCTCATTCCCCAACCCCTAGCTTCATACCTTCTTTTACTTCGACATTAACAAAGACAGAGTTTGGCAGTCATAACTCCACCAGTCATTTCAATTATAGTTTTCAGTGAGCCACATCAAGAACTAAAATTAAAGGGTAAAAACCATACTCAGCTGTGACATTTTTATTGCCTTATTTTAAGTCATTACCAGTAACTGGAATCTGTATACTTCACTGAACTTTCTAAAGCAAGTTCATTTACAGCACATTCAGTATACATTTTTGGGAAAATGAGTAACCAATTTTGCTAACTTTGTGCGTTTTAATTGGTTGGCAATTTCCAGACACAACTGCGGGACAAACAATGATAAGCCACCCGCTGCCAATAAGAGACACAAACAGAATTTCAGTATGACTGCATGTATTTCTTGTTTTTGTCAGATGAAAAGAAGACCAACCTCTAATTCTTACAGAATTCTCTTCCACATTTGTACTGCACAGTGGTCTTCTGGCTTTGCATTCCTCCTCCTCTCCTTACAGATATGCAGCAATACAGATATGTCAATTCAGTGCAAAACTACTGAATTGACAGTAAAGGGTAGGTGAGTTCAATATCTTGGATCATTGTAAGCATGCTGTTTCTTCATGGTCTATCTCCCTCCATTCCACTTCCAGCTCAGTCTGCTCACAGCTCTAGCCACAATCCTTGGGATATTTGGTCTTCCTGGTTACTTTCTATATGCTGCCAAATACCAATTCTAGAATGGCAGCTCCTTCCAGCCATTCAAATGCTGAATTCTGCCCAGCCTTCCTTCTTTTCACACACAGTTTGGGACAAACCTGTGAGACTGGTTACTCAGAGGTCATGCACTTCTGCTTTCATCCATCTTACTCTTTCATGGCATTCCTAGGGATTTTCTCTGTTTCTCAGATTTCTGATTTTTTTACGAATTTGTTTCAAAATAGTGATATAAAACTTAATAATTCATCCTGGCTAACACGGTGAAACCCCGTCTCTACTAAAAACACAAAAAAATCAGCCGGGCGTGGTCGCGGGCGCCTGTAGTCCCAGCTAGGGCGTGGTCGCGGGCGCCTGTAGTCCCAGTTACTCGAGAGGCTGAGGCAGGAGAATGGCGTGAACTCGGGAGGCGGAGCTTGCAGTGAGCTGAGATCGCGCCACTGCACCCCAGCCTGGGCGACAGGGCCAGACTCTGTCTCAAAAAAAAAAATAATAATAATAATAATAATCGACACTTATAAAGCATACTGTATGTCAGGAATGTTCTGAGTACTTTAATCTTCACAACAACCCTATGAAGTAGGTTATTCTATTATTATCATTTTACATATGAGGAAACTGAGGCACAGATAGTTTAAGTAGGTTGCCTAAGGACACAAGCTAGGAATTTATAGAGCCCAAGTTTGAACCCTGTACATTTCCAGGGGCACTTGTCATGCAGTCTGTGCTATTGATACTATCTGTATCCTTGTGTTTTATGTTATAATATATTATGATCCCATAGAGGAAAAAGGCTGTGTCTTCTGAATCTTGGTGTCCCTCCATCAGGAACTTAAAACAAGCTGAAAGATGTTCTGGCTGCTTGCCAAACCTTTTTTATTAATTGCTACAAAATATTGAAGTATTAAAAATTCCATTTATATTAGTGAATATAAATGAGTGATTTGCCAGAAGAATGTCCTTCCTTCCTCCCTCTTTCCATGTTTCAATTCAGTCACGATATAGCATTTTCTTTTTTTCTTTTTCTCTTCTTGTTTTCTCTCCTTTATTTTCTTTCTCCTCCTCTTCCTCCTCTTCCTCTTCCTCCTCCTACTCTTCCTTCTTCTCCTTCTTATTCTTCTTCTTCTTTCTTCTTCTCCCTCTCCTCCCTCTCTCTTTGTCCTGGAATATTTTCTCTCAATTGATTTCACATCCCTACAGTATCAACAACAGGACCTGAATGACTTAGTGCAATATTTCCCAAAATGTGTTTTGCAGATTGTTGCTAGTCGTAGTGTTAAGAAAGGTAGTGGTAGGAGGATGGGGTCAGTGGGAAAATAAATTTGAGAAATGTGGGAGTAAACAAATATACATAGATTTATATAGGGAAGCCATTAATAAGCCTGGAGCTGTTAATAAGCTGGTATACATTATGACTCTTTAAGAAGGGGAGACAGCCTGTAGAATTTTCCAGGTCTATGTGACAGCAGACTCTAACAATGGGATTTGAGAGTTACTCTGTCAGGAAAAAACATACATTCAAATTAAAGGGTATCAGTTCCAGAGTCATTGAGCCTGGGGTTTGAATTTTGTCTCTTCCATGAAATAATTGCATGACTTTGAGTAATGTATTGAACCATTATGGAAAAATCAACTTATTTCATAGGGCTATTGTACCAAATGAGTACCTGAATTACTTAATAAATAATTTTAAATTTTTATTTATTTTTACTCTATTTATTTTTAAATGACAATTTTATTAACCATGAAAGTACCTGAAACAAAAATCAGTGTATACTTATGAAAACAAGAGCTCACAGAGAAATGTGGGTTACTCAATCTTTCTTAACACCTTAATTTCTATAAGGACTGAGCTGGTAGGAAGCTGCCCTATTATGGCTAGATTAGGTCAACATGTCTGAACCAGTTATGGTTGTTAGGAGCCAAAAATAATAAAGAACGCACCACTGAAGGCAGCAGCCATGGTTTCCTGACTATCCCCCAAACCAGAGAAAATTATGTTGACTAGTCTTAACCTGGAGCCATTAGGAAGAATAACTAAACCAGGCTTATGTACTTAGATATGATTCAGGACTTTTCATAAGTTAAATTTTTGACATATTTTCAAAATAACCACTATGTATGACAGAGCTTTTGTCATCCCCTTGAACAAGGAAGAAGAATCTTAGTGTACCTGCAGGCAGCCCTGTGTAACCTCAGAAGAACAGACTTACAGGGCCTGGTTTGCAGTAATTTTTCTCACATTTTTCAGTTTTAAATTTTATTTAGTGGCTGTAATTTGTTTTTCACCACTTCAGACTTGCAAACTTTGGTGAAAGAGGTGGGCAGAAACCTTAAGTCATTTTCCCTTATGGTAGGGGTAAAACTGGGACTCCATGATGAATAAAGAATTGGATTTAAGGGTCTTATCTGAGGATAGCAAGCTCTCATGCTGATGCAAGTTCTACAGACCCATTTCATTATTTCATTTAAAACAGGTTACATTAATCTGTTTTTTGGTAGAAATACATAGATCTCAATGTCCATTTTCAAATAATGTTAATAAATAGAATTACTTGTTTTTGTTTTCTAAACTTTAAAGCAAAGTTTTCCTCTGCACATTAGACAACATCCATGTGTATGAGCACATCTGGTAGTATGATGGAGTGAGGCTGAACAAGAGCAAGGGAAAATGACACAGTCCAGTCAGTAATTCCCACAAGAGGAGCCTTTGACTTATATAATGTTGCAACTCTAACTTACATAACATTGTAAACTCTGACTTACATAACATTTCAAACTTGATGTGCCCAGCATCGTGCCTTAAAAAAAAGAGAGGGTCAAACTCTTTGAGTCTGGTGAGAAATGCCAGTAGGCAGAAGGCTGCTGCTGTGAGAAGCTGATAGCAATGAAAAAAATAAAATGAAACCCTGGAGGATAATATTTACTTCTTTGACAATCCAAGTTACCCTCTACTCCAGAAGTTGGCAAATTTTTCCTGTAAAAGGCCAGATAGTAAATATGTCAGATTTTGCAAATCATATAGCCCCCGTTGCAACTACTTAAGTCTACTGTTGTAGCACAAAAGCAGCCATTCACAAAACTGTAAGGAATGCGTGTTGCTACGTTCCAATGAAATTTTATTTATGGATGCTGAAGTTTGAGTTGCATATATTTCTTATGTGGTAGAAAATATTATTCTTCATTTGATTTTTAAAAATAATCTTAAAATGTGAAAATCATTCTTAGTTCTTGAGTCATCCAAAAACAGGTGGCAGGATGGATTTGGCCCATGGGCCATAATTTGTCAACCCCTACTAAACACTTGTGACTCAAAGTATGGTCCACAGACCAGCAGCATTGGCATCACCTGGTAGCCTACTAGAAATTTCGACTCTTTGGCTCCACTGCAAACATTTCATAATCAGAATCAGAATTTTACCAAGATAATTTATATGCATATTATTAGGGTAAGAACACTTAACATGAAATTTACCCTGTTAAAAAATAATTTCAGTGTGCAACACTGTATTGGTAATTATAGGTGTAATGTTGTCCAGCTGATATGTATACTTAATCATCTGGCATAACTGAAACGTTATACTTGATGAATAGCAACTTCTTACTTCTCCCTCCCTCAGCTCCTCATAACCACCATTCTACTCTCTGTTTCTATGAGCTTGCCTATTCTATATACCTCATATAAGTGGTATCATACAGTACCTGTTCCTCTGTGACTGGCTTATTTCACTTGGCATCATGTCCTCAAGCTTCATTTATATTGTTGTATATGACAGGATTCCCTATTTTTTCGAGGCAGAATTATATTCTACTGTATATATATACCGTGATGGACATTGAGTTTGTTTCCAAATCTTGTTTATTGTGACTAATGCTGCAATGAACATGGGAGTGCAAATATCTCTTCAATATTCTGATTTCAGATTTTTTTTTTTTTTTGAGACAGAGTCTTGCACTGTCGCCTGGACTGCAGGGCAATGGCATGATCTCGGCTCACTGCAACCTCTGCCTCCCAGGTTCAAGCGATTCTCCTGCCTCAGCCTCCCAAGTAACTGGGACTACAGGCGCCCACCACCACACCTGGCTAATTTTTTGTATTTTTAGTAGAGACAGGGTTTCATTCTGTTGGCCAGGCTAGTCTCAAACTCCTGACCTCATGATCAGCCCGCCTTGGCCTCCCAAAGTGCTGGGATTACAGGCCTGAGCCACTGCGCCCGGCCAATCTTTCAGAGATATACCCATAAATAGGATTGCTGGACCAAGAGGTATTTCTATGTTTAATTTTTTTAGGAACATCCATAATGTTTTCCATTGTAGCTGTAACATTTTATCGTACCTTATGTTATATTACACACAAAAAAAATCAAGTCAAAATGATTACAGGCTAAAACTTAAGGTTTAAACTGTAAAACTCCTAGAGAAAAACATAGGGAAAAAGTTTCATAACACTGGTCTTGGCAATGACTTCTTAATATGACACCAAAAGCAAAGGCAAGAAAAGCAAAAACAGACAAGTGGGAGACCACATCAAACTAAAAAAAAAAGTCTACACAGCAAGGAAACAATCAACACAGTGAAAAAAAAAAAGAAACCCAAGAAGTGGGAGAAAATGTTTCAAAACCATGCATCTTATAATAGGTAATATGCAAAATATATAAGGAACTTCTTCAACTCAATAACAAAAAGACAAAAGCCCAATTAGCAGATGAGAAAAAGACTTGAACAGACATTTATCCAAAGCAGACACAAATGGCCAACAGGTATGTGGAAAGATGTTCAATATCACCAGACATCAGGGAAATGGAAATCAAAACCACAATGAAATATTTACTTACACCTGTTAGGATAACAATTATCAAAAAAAAAAAAGATTATATGTTGGTGAGGATGTGAAGAAACTGGAATCTTGTACTGCTGGTGGGAATGTAAAAGGGTGCATCTAGGAGACTTTTCACCATTGGGAACCTCCTTCAAAATAATTTCTACCTACAATGACCGGCAACTTAAAAGGCAGTTACAGTAAAGACCAGTTACTTTCCTAGTCCCTGGATGATTACTCAAAATGTCACAGGAATCTGGCCTTATTATTTATTTAAAAGCCACTTTCTCATTCATTTCTTCTTTTGAGCCACTGATGCCTCACCAACTAGGTTGCTGGACACTACAAGTATTACCCGCATTATTTACAGACAGGAGAGTTAAGAGAACTAATTTACCTAAACCGACTCCAGTAATACATGGAAAAGCTGTGTCTCCTGACTTTGAGTTTGTTTCTCCTCAATTCCGTCTGGTAGCCAAATGGCCTTGAGCACAGAGACTGTTGCAAGAAAGGAAGGGAAGAAGGAGAGAAACAGGAAGTTAACATTGACTGAGCAATTAGTGTGTCAGGTACTATGCTAAGTGCTTTATAAATAATGATCTATTTTAATCTTCACAATAGATTAATGGAGACTATAAATATCATTCCATTTTAAAGATAAGAAACTGAGTGAGTCACAGATCGCACAAGTCTGCAAAGTTAGCAAATGATGTAGCAGTGTAGAGTGGTTTTTCTAATGCTAAAGCGTGTGTGTGTGTGTGTGTGTGTGTGTGTGTGTGTGTGTTTTGTCTGTTTCTTCTTATTGTAAAACATAACTCATTTGGTAAAACTGTCACTAAACCTGGCTTAATCTAGTACTTATATTTCTGTGTAGAAAAGGGAGAAATTGTAGGTAATTTTAACATATCAGTCAATGGAGTGTAACACCATCTCCCTGATTAGACAAATATAAATATCCGCTCCTAAAAAGGATTATTGCCCAGTAGTAATGTGGTAAAATTATTGCTGCTTGTAAAATGTCAGCCTCTTTCCTACATAGGGGTTGGCATAATTTAGTTAGCTTTTTTTTTAGCCTTTCATGAGAAATAACAGAAAGAATTGCATTGCCCAGCAAAGATTAAAGGCATCAAAGGATTGATGACGTCTATAAATATAAAACAAACCAATATTGCTGGCTGCCGCCTCCACCAAACAGAACCTGGAAATTAATAAGGCAATTGTTTCATCAGGAAGGAGACCACAGACCACAGGTCTTGGGTGAACAGAGAGGGAAAATGGGCACATTTCTGCTTCCCCTCTTCTAACCCTCCATGCCTGTTACTCTGGTTTCCTGGCCTATTCCATCCCTATCTTGGGCCCTATCCCCCAACTCAAATTCTCCCAGCTCTTTATCTTCTCTGAAGAATAACTGCAATCTTCTCAGATAAAAATGGCGGAGTGAAAGTATTTGTTTTCTTCTCTCCCTCTGTGGCCTATTTCTACACAAGGTACAACTGGGCATTTGAAGTTTATTCACCAATCTCCTCCTGGTACCTCTTCCTCCCCATGTCCCCCCCCACATACTCTGCCCAAGAACAGAAACCATGTTTGGTGTTTGTACTTTAAAATAATTATCAGTATAGTCATCATTTTTTAAAATAATGACAATAATAATAGCTATCATTGACTAAGTGCCCACTCTACATAGGTGCCATGTAATTTTCACAAAAAGCAGAGAAGTTAACTAAATTGACCAAGATCATGTGACAAGCAGAAGTAGCGTTGGGTTTGAGCCAAGCTCTGGTGGCCCCTTAAGGGCCTACTCTTTTCTGTCTGCCACACAACCTCCTGTGATCCTAGCTACCAAGTATGGAGAACCAACTGTGAGCCAGACACCATGTATTAGTTTGTTCTCACGCTGCTAATAAAGACATGACCCAGACTGGGTAATTTATAAAGAAAAAGTGGTTTAATGAGCTCACAGTTCCACATGGCTGGGGAAGCCTCACAATAATGGCAGAAGGCAAAAAGCATGTCTTACATGGCAGCAGGCAAGACAGAACAAGAGCCAAGCAAGAGGGGAAACCCCTTATAAAACCATTGTATCTCATGAGACTTATTCAGGAGAACAGTGTGGGGAAAACCACCCCCATGATTCAATTATCTCCCACCAGGTCCCTCCCACATGTGGGAATTATGGGAGCTACAATTCAAGATGAGATTTGAGTGGAGACACAGCTGGACCATATCACACCATAAAGGCATATATGTACATTTCTTCATTGTCACAGCACCTCTGTAAAGGAAATATACGGGTCCCACACAGTAGCGGTCCTTGGAAGCATTATTCACAGCTTTCCTTTCCCTTTCAGATGTCAGAATACATACAAGATATAGAATGTTATCGAATGTCAGTGAGAGGTGGCTCACGCCTGTAACCCCAGCACTTTGGGAAGCCGAGGTGGGTGGATAACCTGAGGTCAGGAGTTCAAGGCCAGCCTGACCAATGTGGTGAAACCCTATCTCTACTAAAAATACAAAAATTAGCCAGGCGTGGCGGCAGGTCCCTGTAGTCCCAGCTACTCCGCAGGCTGAGACAGGAGAACTGCTTGAACCCAGGAGGCAGAGGTTGCAGTGAGCTGAGATCGCGTCACTGCTCTCCAGCCTGGGTCACAGAGCGAGACTCTGTCTCAAAAAACAAACAAACAAATAAAAAAATCAGTCGAGCGTGGTGGCCGGTGCCTGGAATCCCAGCTACTGCGGAGGCTGAGGCAGGCCAACCACTTGAACCGGGGAGGCAGAGGTTGCAGTGACCGGAGATGGCGGCTGCACTCCAACCTGGGTGACAGAATGAGACTCTGTTTTAATAAATAAATAAATAAATAAATAAATGATAAGATGAAAAACTATGCAGCCACTAAAAATAACATATTTTTTAAATGTTAAGTTAAAAAGTAGCATTCAAAGTTGATTTAGGGAAAAAAGAGAAAAAATAGAAAAATGGCTTAAAACCCCTTTCCCACTTGCCCTGCGAATACTCACTGGCAGTGCTTGAGGCTTCATCATTTGCTTCCAGATAACTTTGCCACAAAATATCTTGCTTTTGTTACTATTTTCTCATCCCTCTAGTATATTGACTTTGGAAACAAAAGACATCCTTCTATTTATAGCATTCTGTTTTTAGTAGTGGGTGCTTCCTCTTACAAAACATAGTGGTTCTCTATCACTAAAAATGTCAAATCCTGGAGAACATAGCATTCCTACATGTGATGTCAACATTGTTCTCGAACAGTTGTTGGCTGAAGATTCATGTGATGAATCCAATTTTTCTGAAATAGATGATTCTGATGATTCAGATGATTCTTATGTTAGTTCTGTTTAAAAGTAACTCCAAGAACAATATTTTATTTTCACATTGAAAATCAGTCAGATTTGCTTCAGCCTCAACGAGCGTGTTCATGTAAAATTAAGTGTGCGCCGGCAGTGAGCTGCACTTTTTTTCTAAACGGGAAAAGAGTTAAAGGAAATATATGTCAACTTCCTTGTACATTTTTAAGTTTTCCAATGCATTTTTTTTTTTGAGACAGGGTCTCACTTTTTCACCCAGGCTGGTGTGCAGTGGCACGAATATGGCTTACTGCAGCCGTGACCTCCCAGGCTCAAGCAATCCTCCCACCACACCCTCCCAGGTAGCTGGGACTGCAGACGCATGCCACTGTGCCTGTCTAATTTTTGTATTTTTTGTAGAGATGGGGTTTCATCATGTTGTCCCGGCAGGTCTCAAACTCCTGGACTCAAGCGATCCATCCACCTCGACTTCCCGAAAGTGCTGGGATTACAGGCGTGAGTTACCACGCCTGGGCTTTCCAATGTATTTTTAAATTCTCTCCCTACCTCCCATTTCTCTCTCTCTGCTTCTTGATCTTTTAAGTAAAGAAAATGAATAGATAGAATAGAAATGATAACATTCTATCTCCTTTATGTATTCTGACATCTGAAGGGGAATGCTTGCGCTCTCTGCTACCTGGCCTCCTCCTCTGCTCTGCCAGTAAGTGCTTTTCCACTCTCCTGGATGAGCATTGCATGAGTCTGAACATGGTAAGGACTGATTGATTGATTGGTTGATTGGTTCATTCATTCGTTCATTTAGTTAGCTATTATCCCAAATCATATTTTAGAAAAATAAAAAAATTCACTTTACATTCAGGTCTTTACAGATTTTGAGAAATACTTCTCAAGCCAAATCTGTAATGATGATTAATATTGCTACTATACATTAAATTTTTTGATTCTGTAAAATTTAAAAAACAGACATGGACATAGTGAAGAAAATGGTAAATTTAATGTAATTTATTTTAAAGGTATACTTTTATATTTATATTAGTTTATGTAATATGTGATTTTAAAGATATGTGTTAAACTAAATTAAATAGTATGAATTAGCCAAAGACAACTTTTGAAGGGAGTGGTTATTCTAACTGGGAAAATAGAAACATCATCTTTTACTTGGAGTCGAGTTCTATTTGGAGTTGCTTTATACTCAGGCACCTTCTCTTACCTCTAAAATCTCCCATGGCCTTCGCCTCCCTCTATCTCTCCTTCAGTTTTCTCCATTGCATTTGTCATCCTTTCAAATTTTATATAGTTATGTGTATATTTGATTATTGGCCTCTTTTGTTATGTTCACTGCTATTTACTATATCCTAGATGAGTGACTATAATGTAGTAGGCAGTCAATAAATATTTACTGAATCAATTAATCTTAGTTAATGGTGCCACCATAAGCCTTCGGTTGATCAAGTTAGAAGCTTAGGAAACAGTCTTTAAACCTCCCTTTTCTTCAGTTCCTAGGCCAGTTTATCACCAAGCTGGGTAGGTGCCACCTTCAAAATATATCCCAAAGTCTTCTACATTTCTCCAAATCCAGTGCCACCTGAATCCAAACCACTTTCATCTCTTTCCTGGACTCTAATAGTGTCCAATTTTGTCTCTTTTCTTTCATTCTTGTCCTCCCTAAAACACATTCTCCACACAACAGCCAGAGAAGACTTCCAAAAAAATATTTATATCAGATTGAACCACTTCCCTATTTAAAATCCTTTAATAGCTTTTATTTGCTCTCAGAGTAAAGCCCTAACTCCTTACCAAGGCCTCAGATCCTGAGCCATACATCCTGCCTACCTCTCTGTCTCACTTTGTATCCTCCCCACCTTCTCAAGATGCTGCAGCCATGTTGACCTCATTCTATCCATAGGATAAACCAGGAGTTTTCCCACCCCTAGGCCATCGATCTCACTGTTGCCTCTACCTGGAAGGCTTTTTTTTCTGGCACTCTGAATGGCTGGCACATTTTTGTCCTTCAGGACTCAATTCAATTATCGGCTCCTCCAAAGGGTCTTCCTGCCCTGTTCAAAGGTAGGAATGAGATTTCATCACCCATATATTTCCTTCAGAGTCCTCATCAGAATTCATAATTATCTTGTTTAATTTATCACTTGTCTATAGTCTCTCGCACCCCTACAATAGTAACTGGCAAACATTTTTTTTTGTAAAGACCAGATGGTAAATATTTTAGACTTTGCAGGCCAAACAGTCTCTGTCAGAACTGCTAAATTCTGCCACTGTTTTGCAAAGGCAGCCATAGACAATATTTAAACAAATGGGTGTAGCTGTGTTCCAATAAAACTTTATGAACAATTTTTATAAAATTTGATCAAATTTTATAAAACTTGAATTTCATGTAAATTTCACATCACAAAGTATTATTTTAAAAAATTTATTTATTTATTTATTTTGAGAAGGAGTCTCACTCTGTCACCCAGGCTGGAGTGCAGTGGCACAATCTGGGCACACTGCAACCTCTGCCTCCTGGGTTCAAGTGATTCTCCTGCCTCAGCCTCCCGAATAGCTAGGATTACAGGTGCACAGCACCACATCCAGCTAATTTTTGTATTTTACCAGAGATGGGGTTTTGCTATGTTGGCCAGGCTGATTTTGAATTCCTGACCTCAAGTAACCTGCCTGTCTCAGCCTCCAAAACTGCTGGGATTACAGGCATGAGCCATCAAGCCTAGCTTAAAAATTCCTTTAAGTACTTAAAAATGAAAAAAAAAAAATCCTAGTTTGTGGGAGGTACAAAAACAGGTGGCAAGCCAGATTTGGCCCATGAGTTATAGTTTTCCAACTTGTGACCTATAATAGTAAATATCACGAAAGTTGGAACCTTGCTTATTTTTTTAATGGTATATCTTCAGACTTAGACTGATGTGTGACATATATATAGCAGCAGCTCAGAAACATATTTGTTAAAAGAATAAATTGATTAATGAATGAAGTAAGCAATTTCAAAGGAACACTTTACAAGTGAAATTGCAGATCTTCAGCTAAATTGAAGATCAGCTTCCTGGGTGAGCAACCTGGGCAGTCACAGAGGGCCCTGCAGTCAGAAGGGCCTCGTGCATGGTTTAATGCTCTGCTGTCCCTGTCTTGAAATGTTTAATACTTTTTGAAGAAGGAGTCCCATGTTTTCCTTGGGCACTGGGCCCCACAAATTATGCATCCAGTCTTAAACTTCTACATGCAATAACCAGGTGTGTAACACTAATATTCCTAATCCAGCAACAGCTAGAATGGGGACCCTGTGTGCTGCTAGTACAGAGTAGAATCTATTTCCAAAAAACGATCCTGGCAAAAAGTAGGCAGGAGACTAAATTTCCAAGCCAGTGGTAGAGGGTGTAGGTGGGTCCTGGCTTAGGGGACAGAAGAAGAATGTCAGGGTTTAGGCATACAGAGATTTGGCAGGGTGAAACAGTTGTCGGAGACCTTACTTGGGTTCCTTAGTTCTACACCTCCTCTGATTGAAATAAGGTAGGAAATAAGATGTTATACATTTATCTATTCATGTGCTTTCTTTTTCCTATAGATCCCCTGCCTTTGCTACGAATGATGCCAGAATGAGAACTATCCTGACTACCTCATGAGATTATTATAAGGCTGATTTAGATAATAATTAAATAATAGTTATGTAAGATAATGATTGTAAAGCTAAAGTATGCTACCACTTTTAGGACACTAATGAGACTAATGCATTTTGCTAAGCATTTTGCATGCATCATGTCACTCAATCCACACAACAACCAAACAGTAGGTCCGATTATGCTTCCATATAACCACTGAACAAATATAAAGCTCAGAGTGGTTATGTAACTTAATCTAGTAACATAGCTAGAAGTGGCAGACCTCAAATACAAGCTCGTGTCTCTGACTCCCAATTCATGTCTGTGATATGAATATCAATGATAAATCATGATGTTAATGTGGGATAGGAGATTTTATTGCTACTGCCTGGGGAGGGAACAGAAATGCCACTTATCTGCTAATCACCCTATGGAAAGAATAATAAAGCATGGAATGAACAAGCAAATAGCAAGAGCTCTTCAAAGAAAGTTGTCATTAACACTTTACAGAGAATAGAGGTAGGCTCCCCCAGGAAAAGTTTGCATAAATAGCCCTGGAGCAGCTGAGAAAGAGGAAATGAATGACATTCAATTAACTCCTAATTTGCTGTTGCAGTTTCTCCTGAACTGAGTTCACTCCAGAATTTACCAAGGGATCAGGCTGCTTAAGAACTAATTACAATGAATTCTCCATGAGCCTGCTGACAGTCTGTCCTTTCTATGTAAGTCCTGGGGTTGTTGCCAGCCAAAAAACCTTAGGCAAAGTTGTCTTCTTTTAGTAAAGGTTTTCCAGCCTCCCTTTAATTTTTACCAAGAAAAGCACAGCATATCAAGGCGTTAGACAGCTTTATTATTTCTCTTAATGTCAAGTTATCAAACCCCTTAGAAGCCTGGAGAGAGAGGCAGGTCATGGTGGCTCACACCTGCAATCCCAGCATTTTGGGAGGCCTAAATGGGCAGATGACTCGAGGCCAGGAGTTCAAGACCAGCCTGGCCAACATGTTGAAACCCTGTCTCTACTAAACATACAAAAATTAGCTGGGCCTGGTGGCGCATGCCCATAATCCCAGCTACTCAGGAGGCTGAGGCAGGAGAATCACTTGAACCTGAGAGGTGGAGGTTGAGTGAGCCGAGTTCATGCAGCCTGGGTGACAGAATAAGGCTCCATCTCAAAAAATAATAATAAAAGGACTCGAGGAGGACATAGGCTTGGTTCTATAAAGGAGAATTGTCTTGTTTCTTCAGTATCTTGGAATAAATTTGCTGGGACATCTGGGAAAAGCATTTCACTTCTTAGGGATTCATAAAAAATAAGGTGGCCTGTAAACTATGTGCTTAATGAGGAAGGGTGGCAGTACACAGAGTACAGGCAAATTATGTTGTCTACCTGTAGACCCTGTCCTCCCTTAGCTCAGTCCTCCACAGTCATGACACAAAGTGTACACCCATTCTCTCCCAAACTCATTTCCTGGCTAATCAGGCTATCACCTTCTCTGGCCTATCTTGTGCCTGTTAATTTGCACTCCTCACACTTTCCTCTTGCTGCCCTTCTTGACTGCTTTTCCAAAGTTATTCCCCACATTGCTACTTCCCCCCACAACTTCCATGCCTCACCAGGAAGCTGGCATCTCCAACGATGGTGCTTTCCTTACAGCCTTTTCAATGGCTATGGCTTCAGTTTCCATACTCCCTCTGTGTTGGGGGTGTCTGTCCTACTGGAATCTCACTGTGACTTCCAGACCATTGCTTTCCACACTCCTTCACCTTCACCCTCATTGTGAGATCAACCAATGATCCCCCTACCCATTTTTGTTCCAAGCCCCCTTCTAACCTACTGCTCACTCTCTCTATATATTCAAGAATTACATGTTTGAAGAAGTCAGTCTTCTTCTCCATCATCCTATATTATGTCAGTGTTCAACTGAATGAGATCACTTATGCCCAAATTCTTGCTATGGGCTAGAAATGCACAAGGTACATAAGGCTCACCCATGAAAGTTGTTAAAAATTCAAAATCCCTTGATTCACCCCAAACATTCTGAAAGAATCTTTTGGGATGGAGATTTAAAAGATGCTCTCTAGATAATTCTGCCCCACAGGCAGGCTTGGAAACCAATAGACTAGGCCAAACCCATAAAGGGCAGGAACGCTACTTTACCTTTGTATCTTCAGATGTAATAATAATAGCCAGAAATGGCTATTTAGGACAGGACACAATTCTATTGCATGGCAGGGACTCACTAAATGTGTGTTGAACTCAACTGAGTTGGGGAAATGAATGATATAACCAGAAGAACCCTAAGCTCACAATCCATTGATTTTATTTTTCATTTTGCCCTCTTCAGTTTAGAAATCTAGTAACATGACCATAGCCTGTATCTTTTCATTCCTTGGAAATACACCATCTTTAAATTCTTCAACTGAAAAAATTTCACTTACTAGACTTGACTCTCTAGTTTCACTTAGCAGTCATCTTTGAGACTTTTAAATTGAGTTGGTTCAGACCCACCCATTCCTGGTCTAATCCTGACCTGTGACTAGGAGCCTTCATTCCACCTATGAATGGAATGAGTTGTTTTGCTCTAGACCCAAGATTCTGAGTGCCTGGAGACAGGTCTGTGACTTGGAGGGTTCTATTACAGAGTCATGGCAGACACAATCTCTAGTAAAGCAAAATTTCCAATAATAGCCTTTACTATTTTGATCTTGTTCACATATAAGAACACCTGCTTCAGTTTCCCCTTTTGGTATCAAGATTCACCATGAGGCCTTAAGCAAATCCCTTGATCCTCACCAGATGGTAAATTGCCTCACTCATAAAAATGGCTATTATTTTTCCAAGAGCAATTATAGCAAAAGCAAAAATTGACAAATGAGATCTAATTATAAAAAGCTTCTGCAGAGCAAAAGAAACTATCAACAGAGTAAACAGACAACCTACAGAATGGGAGAAGATATTGGCAAACTATACGTCTGACAAAGGTCTGATATCCAGAATCTGTAAGGAACTTAAACACATTTACAAGCAAAAATCAAACAACCCCATTAAAAAGTAGACAAAGGACATGAACAGAGACTTTTCAAAAGAAGACATACATGCAGCCAACAAACATATGAAAATCTCTCAATATCACTAGAGAAATGCAAATCAAAACTGCAATGAAATACCATCTCACGCCTGTCAGAATGGCTATTTTTAAAAAGTCAAAAAATAACAGATGATGGTGACATTGCAGAGAAAAGGGAACGTTTATACACTGCTGATGGGAATGTAAATTAGTTCCACCATTTTGGAAAGCAGTGTAGTGATTCCTTAAAGAACTAAAAACAGAACTATCACTTGGCCCAGAAATCCCATTACTGGTTACATACCCAAAGAAATATAAATCATTCTACCATTAAGATACATGCACACGTATGTTCACTGGAGCACTATTCACAAGAGCAAAGACACAGAATCAACCTAAATGCCCATCAACAGTAGACTGGATAAAGAAATGCAGTACATATACATTATGAAATATTATGCAGCCATAAAAAAAGAACAAGATCATGTCCCCTGCAGGAATATGGATGAAGCTAGAGGCCATTATCCTTAGCAAACTAGTGTAGGAACAGAAAAACCAAATATCACATGCTCTCATTTATAAGCAGGAGCTAAATAATGAGAACCAATGGGCACAAAGAAGAGAACAACAGACACTGGAGCCTACTTGAGGGAGGAGGATGGCAGGAGGGAGAGGATCAGGAAAAATAACTGTCAGGTACTTTGCTTAGTACCTGGGTGACAATATATTTATATATATTTATTTATATATTTATATATATAAATATATATATATGGCTATTATTTTTTCATTAATGTTGTCAGGATTAATTGAGAGATTTGTGAAACCAAGATGCACAGTGCCTGGTGTATAGCAAGTGCCCAATACATGTTTACTGGCATGCCTGTCTTCCTTCCTTCCTTCCTCTCTTCTTTCCTTCCTTTCTTCTACCTTGTTTCTTTCTCCCTCGCATTTGAGGTCATTTCTAAAATATAAATATTATCATGATTGCTATACACAATAAGTTCATTTGTCATTTGTCATTGTTAACTTACAGTTAAGCAATACTGTAAGTAGGTATAACATTGGCCAAGATATTTTGGAATTATTTATTCATACAAAAATTATTACTAAAGAGAAAAAATTATTACTAAATTATTACTACAAAAATGTTATAACTAATACATTTTAGTAAAAAATTATTACTAAAGAGAAAAAATTCATAAAAGTAGAATTAACCTAATGTTAATTGCCCCTGACCAGAGAGAGGTGAAGCCATATTTAGATCTGGAGGAAGAAATAGAGAAAAGAGAAATAATTAGGTTGAAAACTGCTTCTTACTAAATCATAACTGTGCTTAAAATATTGGCAACTAGGGACAAAACCAAAGGCCTGTGCTCCTAGCCACCATCCTAAGTCCTGCAAGCATGGATCTCTATCAGAAGTAAGGATTTGGGAAGTTGAAGGGCAATGATTAGGTGACAGTGCCAGTGATGGCATCTGCCTCTCTCTCAGGGATTCACTCTTACTTGACAAAACAAGATATTTTAAAAATTATCTTTTCCATTCTCTGTCTCTTCCCTCCCAGTAAAGCAAAATGGTGCAAATGGTAGCCAGGGACACTGGAAGCAACTTCTTCACCTTTCCATTTCATTCTTTGTTGTACTTTCACAATGCACCTCTTCTGGGACTATTCCCATAACTAGCTATGCTGTAGGTCCTGGACAAACTTTTTCTCTCAACATTTATCTGTTTTGGCCTTTTCTGTGCTATTCTGGGAGTGTTCTGGATTTGTCTTTTTTTCCATACATCAATAGTGAAATTTAAGATTCCTGTGTGATCTTATAATTAATCAAGTTGGAAACCATGGCCTTCTTTGGTTCTAGGTAGTTAACCCTAGTTAGATAAGGAAGAATGTGTCTTTCCTGTATTCTAGCCTCTCTTATTAAAGTTCAACTTAAAGATCTGGGACCAAATCTCTAATTAATAACAAAATATCACCTTTACTTTCTTTTTCTCCCCTGGGCACGAATCTCCTTCAGGAACCTCTTATACAGGAAGGAAGATTAAAACAAGGCAAGACTTGGGTATTCCTGAGTCTTCTTTCTATCACTGTGTTAATGCCATGTCAAGATACCATCTTTTAGTATCACGTTTACAATTTTACCTCAAATTTTATGTCTTTACTGGAAACTCTATAACATAAACAATACTGTAAGTAGGTATAACATTGGCCAAGATATTTTGGAATTATTTATTCATACAAAAATTATTACTAAAGAGAAAAAATTATTACTAAATTATTACTACAAAAATTTTATAACTAATACATTTTAGTAAAAAATTATTACTAAAGAGAAAAAATTCATAAAAGTAGAATTGCAACTTCTGGATAAAGAAGACAGTTTGACTATAGCGTTAACTTTGCCCTCTAAAATCTCACTAAAATGACTATAAAAGAAAAAATAATGTCAGAGGATAAGAAATCATAAAATAAATATTTTATACTATGTAAAATAAAAATTTAAAGGGAATATTTTCCCAAATTACAGGACAAGAATTTCCAGATTTAAGGAACCCATTGTTTGCTCAACTCAGTGAATAAACATAAACCCATACTGAGCCACATCATCATGAAGTTTCCAAACAACAGGGAAAAGAAGAAAACTCCTTCAAAGAGCAAAAAATAGGCCCCAGGCAAATGATCAGGAATTAAAATGACTTCAGACTTCTTAATAGCACACTCAAATATTAGAAGGCAGTAGGTAAATGCCTTCAAATTCTGAAAGAAAATTATTTTTAAACTAGAATTCTATAGCCAGCCAAATTTTTAATCAGGTTGATGAGTAGAATACATAATTTTTGAGGAATGCAAAGTCTCCAACAAAATTGCCTTCCTGAATCCTTTCTCAGAAAGTTAATAGAGAATGTGTTCCATCCCAGGAAATTAAGTGGAAAGACAATAAGTGGGAGACATAGGATATAGAAAAGAAAAAATACAACATAGGCAAGAAGGCAGAGAATCTTCTGGATTATCATGAGAATTCCCAGAATGGCAGCTCAGCCTCAAGCCCAAAGACAAAGCCAGGATGGAGCAGGTCGGGAGAAACTGTTCTGGGAAGTAAAATTTAATCAACATCTCTAAATATTTTCAGAGGAGCTTAGCAAGGAGTAGGGGAGTGGATAAGTAACTTGTCTGTGGGAAAATAAGCAAAAATAAACAAAACGGGCAAAAAATTGTTAACTAAAGGGAAGATTAAAGGTGTTAGCGAAGTAGCAATGCAAACATCTTTTTAAGAGACCTAATCAACTAAAAGAGAAGAAAGTGGTTGCTCCTGGGAAGAGGTAAGTAGGGGAAAGACAGTTGTGCTATTTTCTTTTTTTAAACAATCTTGTAGAGTGAATTGACACTTTATGTGCCTATATAATAAAAAATTTTAAACTTAAACCAAAATATACTATATATTTCAATAAGAAGCCCAGTCCCAGAGTAGACAAGGAAAGTTCCAGGTATACTTGTGGTGTCACATTCTGAGCTGTCCTTGCTGGTACTTTCCTATCTGGTAACTAAAGGTTCCCCCATTTCAGCAAGGGATATTTATGAAAGTTATTGGGACTTCCAATGATAACTTATATAGTATTTGAATTATAACAAGTGTCTTAAAGTATGCACGCTTAATATTTTAAAAAATCACTTTGATATGAAAAATAATAAAACATTTTCACATATTTATAAATATATAAAATATTTATTAAAAATACCCAAAAATCTGGTACCAAAGTAGTCTTTCCCAGGAAGAGGAATTAAGAGGATAGGGCCTGGGAAGGAAGAGACTTCTTTTTCTTTTTTTTTCTTTTCATTTATTTATTTTATATATATATATTTTTTATTATACTCTAAGTTCTAGGGTACATGTGCACAACGTGCAGGTTTGTTACATATGTACACATGTACCACGTTGGTGTGCTGCACCCATTAACCCGTCATTTACATTAGGTATATCTCCTAATGCTATCCCTCCCCTCTACCCCAACCCCACAACAGGCCCCAATGTGTGATGTTCCCCTTCCTGTGTCCAAGTGTTCTCATTGTTCAATTCCCACCTGTGAGTGAGAACATGCGGTGTTTGGTTTTTTCTCCTTGCGATAGTTTGCTGAGAATGATGGTTTCCAGCTTCATCCATGTCCCTACAAAGGACATGAACTCATCATTTTTATGGCTGCCTAGTATTCCATGGTGTATATGTGCCACATTTTCTTAATCCAGTCTATCATTGTTGGACATTTGGGTTGGTTCCAAGTCTTTGCTATTGTGAATAGTGCCGCAATAAACATACGTGTGCATATGACTTTATAGCAGCATGATTTATAGTCCTTTGGGTATATACCCAGTAATGGGATGGCTGGATCAAATGGTATTTCTAGTTCTAGATCCCTGAGGAATCGCCACACTGACTTCCACAATGGTTGAACTAGTTTACAGTCCCACCAACAGTGTAAAAGTGTTCCTATTTCTCCACATCCTCTCCAGCACCTGTTGTTTCCTGACTTTTTAATGATTGCCATTCTAACTGGTGGGAGATGGTATCTCATTGTGGTTTTGATTTGCATTTCTCTGATGGCCAGTGATGATGAGCATTTTTTCATGTGTCTGTTGGCTGCATAAATGTCTTCTTTTGAGAAGTGTCTGTTCATATCCTTCCCCAATTTTTGATGGAGTTGTTTGTTTTTTTTTTCTTGTAAATTTGTTTGAGTTCTTTGTAGATTCTGGATATTAGCCCTTTGTCGGATGACTAGATTGGAAAATTTTCTCCCATTCTGTAGGTTGCCTGTTCACTCTGATGGTAGTTTCTTCTGCTGTGCAGAAGCTCTTTAGTTTAATTAGATCCCATTTGTCAATTTTGGCTTTTGTTGCCATTGCTTTTGGTGTTTTAGACATGAAGTCCTTGCCCATGCCTATGTCCTGAATGGTATTGCCTAGGTTATCTTCTAGGGTTTTTATGGTTTTAGGTCTAAGATTTAAGTCTTTAATCCATCTTGAATTAATTTTTGTATAAGGTATAAGGAAGGGATCCAGTTTCAGCCTTCTACATATGACTACCCAATTTTCCCAGCACCATTTGTTAAATAGGGAATAGTTTACCTATTTCTTATTTTTGTCAGGTTTGTCAAAGATCAGATGGTTGTAGATGTGTGGTATTATTTCTAAGGGCTCTGTCCTGTTCCATTGGTCTATATCTCTGTTTTGATACCAGTACCATGCTGTTTTGGTTACTGTAGCCTTGTAGTATAGTTTGAAGTCAGGTAGTGTGATGCCTCCAGCTTTGTTCTTTTGGCTTAGGATTTACTTGGCAATGCAGGCTCTTTTTTGGTTCCATATGAACTTTAAAGTAGTTTTTTCCAATTCTGTGAAGAAAATCATCAGTAGCTTGATGGGGATGGCATTGAATCTATAAATTATCTTGGGCAGTATAGCCATTTTCACGATATTGATTCTTCCTATCCATGAGCATGGAGTATTCTTCCATTTGTTTGTATCCTCTTTTATTTTGTTGAGCAGTGGTTTGTAGTTCTTGAAGAGGTCCTTCACATCCCTTGTAAGTTGGATTCCTAGGTATTTTATTCTCTTTGAAGCAATTGTGAATGGGAGTTCACTCATGATTTGGCTCTCTGTTTGTCTGTTATTGGTGTATGAGAATGCTTGTGATTTTTGGACATTGATTTTGTATCCTGAGACTTTGCTGAAGTTGCTTATCAGCTTAAGGAGATTTTGGGCTGAGACGATGGGGTTTTCTAGATATACAATCATGTCATCTGCAAACAGGGACAATTTGACTTCCTCTTTTCCTAATTGAATACCCTTTATTTCTTCCTCCTGCCTGATTGCCCTGACCAGAACTTCCAACACTATGTTGAATAGGAGTGGTGAGAGAGGGCATCCCTGTCTCGTGCCAGTTTTCAAAGGGAATGCTTCCAGTTTTTGCCCATTCAGTATGATATTGGCTGTGGGTTTGTCATAAATAGCTCTTATTATTTTGAGATACGTGCCATCAATACCTAATTTATTTAGAGTTTTTAGCATGAGGAGCTGTTGAATTTTGTAAAAGGCCTTTTCTGCATGTATTGAGATAATCATGTGGTTTTTGTCTTTGGTTGTGTTTATATGCTGGATTACATTTATTGATTTGCATATGTTGAACCAGCCTTGCATCCCAGGGATGAAGCCCACTTGATCATGGTGGATAAGCTTTTTGATGTGCTGCTGGATTCTGTTTGCCAGTATTTTATTGAGGATTTTTGCGTTGATGGTTCATCAAGGATATTAGTCTAAAATTCTCTTTTTTTGTTGTGTCTCTGCCAGGCTTTGGCATCAGGGTGATGCTGTCCTCAGAAAATGAGTTAGGGAGG
The DNA here is from genome assembly GCF_000001405.40 of Homo sapiens. NCBI lineage: Eukaryota > Metazoa > Chordata > Mammalia > Primates > Hominidae > Homo > Homo sapiens. Next base: position 103,760,059 of record NC_000011.10, on the reverse strand, counting down.
ATTCCCTCTTTTTCTCTTTTTCTCTTTTTTTTTTTTTTTTTTTTGAGATGGAGTCTCACTCTGTTGCCCAGGCTGGAGTGCAGTGGCGCAATCTCGGCTCCCTGCAAGCTCCGCCTCCTGGGTTCACACCATTCTCCTGCCTCAGCCTCCCGAGTACTTGGGACCACAGGCGCCCGCCACCACGCCTGGCTAATTTTTTGTATTTTTTAGTAGAGACAGGGTTTCACCGTGTTAGCCAGGATGGTCTCGATCTCCTGACCTCATGATCCACCCACCTCGGCCTCCCAAAGTGCTGGGATTACAGGCGTGAGCCACTGCACCCGGCCGATTCCCTCTTTTTCTATTGATTGGAATAGTTTCAGAAGGAATGGCAGCAGCTCCTCCTTGTACCTCTGGTAGAATTCAGCTGTGAATCCGTCTGGTCCTGGACTTTTTTTGGATGGTAAGCTATTAATTATTACCTCAATTTCAGAGCCTGTTATTGGTCTATTCAGAGATTCAACTTCTTCCTGATTTAGTCTTGGGAGGGTGTATGTGTCAAGGAATTTATCCATTTCTTCTAGATTTTCTAGTTTATTTGCATAGAGGTGTTTATAGTATTCTCCGATGGTAGTTTGTATTTCTGTGGGATCGGTGGTGACATCCACTTTATCATTTTTTATTGCATCTATTTGATTCTTCTCTCTTTTCTTCTTTATTAGTCTTGCTAGTGGTCTATCAATTTTGTTGATCTTTTCAAGAAACCAGCTCCTGGATTCATTGCTTTTTTGAAGGGTTTTTTGTGTCTCTATTTCCTTCAGTTCTGCTCTGATCTTAGTTATTTCTTGCCTTCTGCTAGCTTTTGAATGTGTTTGCTCTTGCTTCTCTAGTTCTTTTAATTGTGAAGTTAGGGTGTCAATTTTCGATCTTTCCTGCTTTCTCTTGTGAGCATTTAGTGCTATAAATTTTCCTCTGCACACTGCTTTAAATGTGTCCCAGAGATTCTGGTATGTTGTATCTTTGTTCTCATTGGTTTCAAAGAACATCTTTATTTCTGCCTTCATTTCATTATGTGCCGAGTAGTCATTCAGGAGCAGGTTGTTCAGTTTCCATGTAGTTGAGCGGTTTTGAGTGAGTTTCTTAATTCTGAGTTCTAGTTTGATTGCACTGTGGTCTGAGAGACAGTTTGTTATAATTTCTGTTCTTTTACATTTGCTGAGGAGAGCTTTACTTCCAACTATGTGGTCAATTTTGGAATAAGTGTGGTGTGGTGCTGAGAAGAGTGTATATTCTGTTGATTTGGGGTGGAGAGTTCTGTAGATGTCTGTTATGTCTGCTTGGTGCAGAGCTGAGTTCAATTCCTGGATATCCTTGTTAACTTTTTGTCTCATTGATCTGTTTAATGTTGACAGTGGGGTGTTAAAGTCTCCCACTATTATTGTGTGGGAGTCTAAGTCTCTTTGTAGGTCACTCAGGACTTGCTTTATGAATCTGGGTGCTCCTGTATTGGGTGCATATATATTTAGGATAGTTAGCTCTTCTTGTTGAATTGATCCCTTTACCATTATGCAATGGCCTTCTTTGTCTCTTTTGATCTTTGTTGGTTTAAAGTCCGTTTTATCAGAGACTAGGATTGCAACCCCTGCCTTTTTTTGTTTTCCATTTGCTTGGCAGATCTTCCTCCATCCCTTTATTTTGAGCCTATGTGTGTCTCTGCATGTGAGATGGGTTTTCTGAATACAGCACACCGATGGGTCTTGACTCTTTATCCAATTTGCCAGTCTGTGTCTTTTAATTGGAGCATTTAGCCCATTTACATTTAAGGTTAATATTGTTATGTTTGAATTTGATCCTGTCATTATGATGTTAGCTGGTTATTTTGCTTGTTAGTTGATGCTGTTGCTTCCTAGCATCGATGGTCTTTACAATTTGGCATGTTTTTGCAGTGGCTGGTACCGGTTATTCCTTTCCATGTTGAGTGCTTCCTTCAGGAGCTCTTGTAGGGCAGGTCTGGTGGTGACAAAAACTCTCAGCATTTGCTTCTGTGTAAAGGATTTTATTTCTCCTTCACTTCTGAAGCTTAGTTTGGCTGGATATGAAATTCTGGGTTGAAAATTCTTTTCTTTGAGAATGTGGAATATCGGCCCCCACTCTCTTCTGGCTTGTAGAGTTTCTGCTGAGAGATCAGCTGTTAGTCTGATGGGCTTCCCTTTGTGGGTAACCCAACCTTTCTCTCTGGCTGCCCTTAACATTTTTTCCTTCATTTCAACTTTGGTGAATCTGACAATTATGTGTCTTGGAGTTGCTCTTCTGGAGGATTATCTTTGTGGCATTCTCAAATTCAGAGACTTCTTTTTCACTGTATATCATTTGTAACAGGATTTTCTTTAACCAGGTTCATGAATTGCCTTTTAAAAATTACTGTAAAATGTAAATATAGGAGAAATTTAAAACGTAAACTAAAAAGAAATCCTAGATAAATACATCACTTCTCATGCACCTGGTAGGTACATTGACAGGTATGTTGCAGTAGAAACAGTACTGGGCTTGGAATAAGAGAACATTGATCCAGTCCTCATTTGCAAGCCATGGCGCTGTGGATGAGTACATTTAATCTCTCTGACAGTTCTTCATAAGTAAAAGTATAAAAATAATGTTCAAATCTCAGGAAAAATGAGATGATTTGAAGTAATTAACGGTACTTTAAAAACACTTGGCGAATTCTACAGCACTTTAAAAGCATAAGTGCAGGTTAAAGTTTAAATGTACATTGTAAAGCACAAACAAGCTTTGTAACATTCACCTGGCCAAACTGTTGTTGTTCTGTCTAGAGTAGACTAAAAGCAGAAAAATGCAGAGAAATACAGCCAAACTTTCCTAATTTTAAAATTGTTACAAGCTAAAACTCCACAAATATTGTTAACCTCACCATGCTTCCCATAGCAAGAGTGCCAAATGTGACAAAGGCAGTCTATGAAAGATTCATAAAACTGATAGTTTCTCCTCCTTTCTTTCCTAATAACTGTAGTAATTATAAATAACAATTTTCTAATAAGTAAATATTTTCAGAAATTTGAATAAAAACAGTTTGCCATTTGGCAGCCCCCAGATTATACATTTGCTCATAGGATCATTGTGAAAGAGAATTCAGTTTTGTTATACCATTAAAGCACTTTTATTATAGGTTATCCTCAGGGGTATGCAAATATATTTGTTACGTGGAACCACAAGGTTTAAAGAAGATGATACAAGTAAAAGATTCAGCATAGGTTTGATGAACAGTAAGCACCCTACAAACAGGAACTATTTAAACACTGATTGACATCTATTGGAAAAGCCATTTTAAGGGTTCCAGATGACTAAAGGAGTCTCCTAACAGGTTAGTATTCTATATCTGAAATACATATATGTGACATATGATATAGGAGCTGTTGGCAGCCAAGACTGCAGTGGGACTGTTTGGTGCAGTTGCAAAGATGAGGCATTTGATAAGGGAGGTGAATGTTACAAACACAAGTAACTATAATAAAAATCCATGTGGAGAAAAGGGCCGCTGGACATTAAAAAAATGATGTTCACTAGAAATTAAGAGAATGAGAGGTCATAGACATTTGAGATAATCAAAAATGCTTAATGAAAGAGATGGCATTTGAGATACATAGAAAGAAGATTGAAAGTAGCATCTGATTTGATAGATGCCACTGAGGGGAAGAGCCTCTAAAGGAACAACTTAATTCAAAAAAGCTGAAAGGTACAGAAAAGGCACATAGGTACCATAGAATATGTGATCCACAGCAGGGCCCAATAGGGGATAAGACTGAAAATGTAAATGTCCCTATATTTTCTTTGGACGCAAGTGTTACTTTATTCTTTATTCATAGGCATTGGTGATCCATCAAATGTATTTATAATTCTAGCTATAGAATTATATATGCAATTGAGAAGCATAATTAAAGAATACTTAGATTTGAGGAAGATAAATCTCACTGATATAAGCTTGGAAATTGTTTCTCCAACTGTCTACTCAGACTTTCACTTGGATGTTCATTGACATGTCAAATATAGCTAATCAAAAATGAAACTATTGATTTCTAACTTCTCCCCTCCCTGCCGCACTTACCTAGGCCTTTCCCACTCATTATTTGCAATACCATTCATTTAGGTCCTTAGGCTTGAAATCTCGGGGTCATTTTTAATTTCCCTTTTTTTCTCTCACATATAAGCGAACCCTTACAGAAAGTCCTATGAGATTTGTCCTCAAGATAGAGCCCCAGCCCAACCACTTTCACCATCTTCATTCCTCCCAGTCTAGTCAAAGCCACAATTATCTCTCCTGTGAAGTGCTGACCTCCTCATTGGTGGCTCCTCATTGAAGAGTCTATTCCTCACACTGAAACTACGTGATTCTTCACAATTGTAAATAAGATCACATTACTTCTGTACCAAGCCTTCCAATGTTTTCCCATCTCATTTAAAAAAGTACAGAGTCCTCATTATGGTCTACAAACCCCTCACCACTTGGCCCTCTTCAGCCTCATCTATCATTTCCCTATAAAATCATGCTGCTCTAGTCACACTGACCATGCTTTGCATTTTCTCCTCCTTTGGCCTCTAGTACTCTTCCTGCAGATAGGTCCATGACTGGGCCCTTCACTTAGATTCTTCATTCAGGTATCTGCTCCAGTGTACCCAAGACAGGCAGATAGATGCTCTCTGTACCCCCAAACAGATACTGGCATCCAACAGACAAGCATCCCATCTCTACACTCTTACTCTGCTTTATTTTTTTTAAACAATGCCCCTACTTGACATTATATAATTTACTTGTTTTCTTTCTTGTTTGCTTTTTGTCTTCCTCACTGAAAGTTACTTTCAGGAGGCAAGAACCTTGTTTATTTGTTTGTTTATTTCATTGCATTCCCTTTGCTGAGAACAGCACTTGGGACAGAGTGGGTATTTGATAAATACTTGTTGAGTGAATGGAGGAACAAGGAAGTGAATGAGTAAAAGGAATAGTAAATTTGGGTTCACTGTACTCAGAACTTAGCAAGTACCTTTACTGATACATGCTAATTTTAATTATGCTCTTAGAAAAGATCACTTATTCATTCTATATTCACTCCAGTTATTAATCATCCCAACTAATGAAGAAAAATAAAGCAGCTTTTTCTGTATAGAGTGGCCAGAGAACACCTCTCTGATAAGATGACATTTGTCTGGAAATGTGAAAGATTAAACAGGAGAATGCCACAGAGGAGGCAAAAGCTCTCCAGGTAGGGCCTTTCCAGTACAATGGCCTTAAGTTAGGAGTGTGCTTAGTGTCCTCGAAGACATAACAATGCTAATCTGTGCTCCTTCCGTTGCCTTAGTTCTCATGGTTTGGTGTCTTGTCCAGCTAGTTGTGAACCTTTCTTCTTGTAACCATAAACTTACTACAGAATTAGATTTTGCCTAATGACATTTGATTATATGCTGTTAATTTAAATATGTATTATATGCTTACATGTCACTATTACTTGTTGTTCAAGACAATATCAAGGAACGCCAAGGGTAATTTTGTCTACACATAATTTTTGTTTTAAGATCTGACTTTTGAATCAAACCTTTAGCTAGGACTCCGAAGTAATTACTGGGTAGCTGTGAACATAATGCACATCAGCACAAGACATAGCAATTCTTTTAAAAAGAAGGCATTGGTTTTCTTTAACAATTTTTTTAAAAGCATACCATGATTTCTTCTCGCAGCTCTGCATTCAAGTGCATTTCTGCATCCCTTCATGCGCTGGGAGGCATCTGAAGTAAATTAGAATTGGGACAGAAATCCTTAGGGTATGTAAAACTGTTGGAAATAGTTTGGCACTTAATTAAAAGTCAATTATGAGTTCTAAGAGCATCCAAATTCAACTAATAAAAATCATCATTGCAATCTGAAGTGGGTGAGAAAGGCAATGATAAGCAAGCATACTAATTTTAATTGTTTGGGTAAGATGTAATCTTTAAGACAGGACTCTAAAATAAATAAAAAATTTACTTAGATATATAGGGTCAGCCCCATTTTCCTTCTCATTGTTTTGGAAAATAGAGACATCTACACAAATTTCTAACTGACTGTGATAAACATCTACTGACCTTGGACAAGCATAGGGGAAATACCAAGGATGGAGTCTCTAGGGCTTAACTCAGGGGAGTGTAATAAGGTGCTCATGAGGCCAAAACCAAGGCTCTGCATGGTCAGCAGCCCTCCCCAGCTGTTATGGGTAAAGTTTAGCGTCCTTGATTTATTATTGTCACCTTTCCTCCCCATGTGATCATATGGCCTTTTCACAGAAAATCGTATCTAAGATCCTGCCTCTTCCTCATTGACACGTGTCAACTCTCTCCCACTCTTAAACCTAGCCCTTGGGACTTTCAAGGTGACTATTTGCCAATCATTAAGCCAATCTGTGCTTATATGGAAAGCTCTCTTTCCTAAAGTCTTCTTTCTTTTCTAGCCAATACACACTCTTCAAAAGTGACCTAGAAATCACACATCTACATATTTTTCTAGATAGAAGTGACTCGCCTGAAGACTAGTTCTTTTCATTTCACTATCTGGATAATTAATTCCACCACTGTGCATGACCTAGCCAAATTGCTCAGCCTATCCTACATGGCTTCTGTGTTCTGCGTTCTCCGTGTGTAAATTTCATCCCCAACTAACCCCTTTGTCCATCCAGGCGTAATAACTCTGGTTAGTACAGAGTTAGGGCTGTGTTTATACTGAATTTTAACCCCTAGATGTAGGACATGTGCTCTTCTTTTCAATATGGCCCCACCACTCCCTATTGTTTTACTCTGTTCTGCTTTCTTTCGTCCCCCTTAGAAGCTGCACTCCAGACAAATGGAAGGACTGCTGGTTCCTCACACTGTTACTTCTGTCAGACACCTCTGCACACACAATTCCTGCTCATTTTTCAAGGCCAAGATCCATTGCCATTACCTCTCTGAAGCCTTTTTAGATGGCCCCAAGAGAACTAAGTTCTCCCTTCTCTACCACCCATAGAACCTTCTGCTTCTATTTGAGGTCCACTTAACTCTTCTATATGAGTTTCCTGTGGCTACTGCTACAAATTGTCACAAACTATGTGGTATAAAACAACAGAGATTCATTATCTCACAATTCTTGAGACCAGAAGTCCAAACTGAGTATCATTAAGTTGAAATCGAGGTGTCAGCATGGCCACACTTACTGCAGAGGCTCTATGGGAGAAGGCATTCTTGCCTCCCCCAGCTTCTGGCAGCTGCCAGCATTCCCTGTCTTGTAGCTGCCAATCTCTGCTCTGTGGTCCATAGCCTCATCTCTTCTGTTTGTTTGTAGCTTCCGCTGCCACTCTCTAAACATGATTGTATTTAGGGTGGACCTGATTAATTCAGGATAATCCCTCCATATCAAGATTAAGCACATTCAAAGTCTTTGCTATTTAAGATAACATTCAAGATTCCAAGGATTAGGTCATGAACAATCTCTGGGGTGCATTATTTAGCCTACCACACCTTTCCTACATATATTCCAATTGATTATGCACTTGCTCAAATATACCACAGAGACTGGAAGCTACATGAAGTCAAGATCATAGCCTAGTTCTTCCAAAGGTTCTAGGATTTCATCTTTCATCTGGTATCTGGTAGTGGATAAAATCAGGAGTGTTATTTTTAGTATATAACAATAGGTGCAGAGTGTTTACCAACCAATCAGAAAAGATGCTGGCTGCAAAGATGTACGGGGATTAAGACTTTTAAAAAGTACTTCATTCATTCATTCATTCATTCATTATTCCTTGTTTTAGAGAGATGGAGTCTCATTCTGTCACCCAGGCTGAAATGTAGTTGTGCAATCATAGCTCACTGCAGCCTCAAACTCCTGGGCTTGTGTGATTCTTTCACCTCAGCCACCAAGTAGGAGGGGTTGAGCTTTTAGCTGTGGGATTCTGTGGAAATATGTGTGTGTGTTGGTGTAGGGAATTCCCAAGGAAGGGCTGGGGCTCCTGGAACTGTCTGAAGAAAACAGTGGGCACTCAGAGGGATCTGAGTTATGGCTGTTTACAAACTAGTAATGAAGAATTTGTGTATTTGTATGTTTTAACAGCTAAGATGTTGGCATTGTGTATGCTAGGTCAGTATCAGGCTGAAAGGAGACACTTATTTGTTGAATGGATGAATGGATTAATGAATGAATACATGAATAATGGAGTTGTTCTCATATAAAAAGTTTATTGGGGAGATATTTTAGGATATAAAGATGTATAATTGCCCTTCAGATCATGTGGTGGCCCATCCAGAGTAATTTCCATATTCTGTGGATTCATGGGGCCTCTGGTCCTGTTTCGCCAGACCTACATGCACATTTGTGATCACAAGAAGGACAACACAAAAGGAGCAGGGGGACCAATGGGAAAGCATCTAACTTCTGCTAGAAATCTACTTGACAGCACTTTCCTGATGTAGGATACAGGAGAATGGCATGGAAATAGTGATTGCTCTCATATGCATTGCTGAGGGAAATGAATCCCAGGGTCCGTGAGTGATGGCACCACACAATTAGGCTGCATCTCCTGGACATACAAGATCATTGCAAATGTGCAAGCAGTAGTATGAAAGGTCCAAAACAACAACGACAAAATCACTCAAAGAGGCTTTGGTAGAGTCCAAGCAGTGAATAAATCTAAGCCATTGAATAATGTTTCACATGTTTTGATATCAGAACTGTTACTAAAAATGCCAAAGGTCACAATGAGGAGTTAACTAAGGTTAACAGACTGAAGTGAGGACTTCCTTAAGATGCAGTGTCATCAAGGTGGGCAGGGAAAGCCCTTTGGTGTTACCAGAAAACCTTTTCTGCAGCTCTGTCTTTAACTCCTCACCTCTTCTATCCCCACATTCATTGAGTTGAAAATGCTAGCTTCATAAGCATCACTTGAGTACTGTCTCTTTGCAGGGGTCCCATTACCATCACCTCATTATCTCTCCCAGAGTAGCCTGCTCACTGGTGCCCAGACTCATCTGGTTCAAGCCTATCCCACCCGAGACTGAAAACTGCTCATCTTAAAGAACAGCTCTGAGCAATCAGTCATAAGTCAATTGTTCAAAAGTCTCAAGGGACTCCTCTCTGTAAGTTAGTGAAACACTAGTCTCTCACTTGGGCATGTAAAGCCATCTTTGCTAAAAAAAATTATATGCTGTCTCTCTGCCACACTTTTTTCTAGGTCTGGAAGTCCTCCCCAACAGCCTGAAGAAATTCCAGCCATCCTTCAACCTCCAAATGAACTAGCGCCTCCTTCATGCAGCATTCCCTGGTCTTTCTTCTCTGCTCTCAGACCCTGAATGTAAACTCTCCTTCTGAATGTCCATAGCATTTTAAAAATTTCTCTTGCTGACCTTAACCTTGCTCTCCCTTCCATTATACCCGTTTTTGTTAACAGCCCTTTTTTTCTCCTCTAGACCATGAGTTTCTTGAGAAACAAGACATGCTGTTTTGTTCCTGCTCCCTACACCCATGTCACCATCTTACCCTGACTCTGCTCAGACCTAGTGCTCAGATCAGACCATGTATGTTCACATGCGGCAAGCTGAATGAGCTGAGTGGCTTAGTACTGGTTGAAAGTTGTCCCTTGAAAAGTGAAGCACTACAGATTTCCTCCTTCTTGTACTTTGAACTCTTGAGGGCATGAGCTGTGTCCTAGTTGTTGATCCTTATGTGCTTTCATGTACCTGGTGCCTGGCATATGTTAGGCATCTGATCAATGTATGCTGAGTGAAGGAATGAATGAGTGAATGAATGAATGAATAAAAGAGGACTAGGTAAATATGAAAAATAGAGGTAGATAAGTATCAGAAGGGAACCCCAAGGGTGAAAAGGAGCATGAGGCTATAAAGGGTAAGGTAGTCCTCCAAAAATTAATTTCCTCTGCCTCCCAGTTTTTTAATGTTCCTTCCCAGGTTCACCATAAAGCTGATGGGAAAAGTCCAGTGTTACATCTTAGAAAGTGAGCCCTGCTGCTTAGAATTTACATAAAATACCTGGATGAAATTATTTCAATGTAGGCAGCCTGTTATGTCTGCAGAAATCCACGGCCTAGGGGGTCTAGGGCTCCACAGATGCTGCAAATGGTGCATCTGGCCCACACTGTAGCACCTGCTCAGCATCACACTGCTCTTGCCCTTCCTGAAGTTCAAAGCTGAGTGATAATGCCATACTGCAGGAACAGAATGACAAGAAAATCAACACCTGTGGCCTTGGTTGAATTTGGGGTACCCCATGTTGTCCAGGCTCACAGATTTTTACAAGATTATATACAGCAGTATAAAGCAGGAAGGAATAGGATCACTGGGGGATGATAACAGTGAAGGGTAATTTGTTCTGTCTGTTACAGGGGATAATTAATCTGACATAGTTCACAGTGTTACATTCGAATGAAGTAGCTTATGATTAAATGCATTTTCTTTTTAATTGAAGTAACCACAGAACAATTTACAAGCTGAAACTGTGACTATACCCCAGGAACACTTGTGCTATTATTAATCAATGAATTAGGACACCACTCAAGATCACTTTTTAGCATAGAGAAGGAGGCCTGGCCAGCCCCAGCTACTCCAGCCCTCCTAGCCCAAGTGTCATACTCACAGCATCTCTACAAGATAGGATAGAAGTGACATACTGTCCATTTGGCACACTGAAAGGCTGAAGCATGAGCAACGTGCCTGTTTATCCACCAGCAAATTCTGGGTATGAATATGCCAAGGGCATGCACAGGCCTAGAAGACTCAGTCACCACACAATTATTCATTCCCAAAACATTTATTATCTACTGTATCAGACACTTTCACTGGTGCTAAAGATACAACAATGAATAAAACAGACAAAATTCCTGCTTTGATGGTATTTATATACCATTGAACAAAATACATGAAACCCAAATAAGTACATAAATTATATAACACATGTTTGGCATCAATAAATCCAGTACATAAAAATAAAGCAAGATAAAAAAGTAAAGAGTGATAGAGGAGGTTCTTTAGGTATTAATAGATAGTTTAGTAAATGTGGGAACTCAAGGTATGACATGAAGCACTATGCAAGTGTCAGGGAATAGAACAGACAAATGATACTACAAGTGTAAGAGGTAAGTGAGATCACTGCAAATTACAATAATCAGGAACAATCCACTAAAGAAGTGAGCTAGACTTTTGAAGTATGACATGCACAGTGACTTAGAAGCTGGAGAGCAGAAACTGTTATGTGAACAGTAAGTAGAAAAAGTTTCACAGTACAAACATTAGGAGGTTAAAAAAATTAATCCTTCTATTAAGCTTATTTTCTTTCTGGAAACCATTCTTAAGATATTTACTTTAACATGTATGTGCCTTTGTGCTTGCACAAACACAGAGGCTAATGGTACATGATGCCAAACCAGTGTCTCAGATATGAAAGCTATTGATCTGAATAAAAGAAGAAATAAAGATTAACCTATTTCTCCTGTCTAATTAAAACCTTGTACTATATTTCAAAATTACTTAAAGAGGATATTTTAAACATTCTCACTACAGAGAATAAATACATGAGGTAAATAGCCTGATTTAATCATTCTACAATATATAAAGATGTCATAACATCCCATTGTACTCCTTAGATATAGACAATTTTTGTCAATTAAAAATTAAATTTTAAAAAAGAATTTACATGTTAAAAAACGGAATGAATAAGTGGATGGTTGAATGATATTTATAATTGATGACAATGCAGTGGCAATCACTAGAACAGTTTCTTCAGGTGGCATTATATATAATGAAATTCCTTGAACAGTTGCTGCGTCCCAATGCTTCACAGTACCTTATGGATCAAAGGAAGGGCAACTCCAGAGTCTGGAGCACTGATTGAGGCTATTGGGCAGCATTAGGAACACAATGTCTGAAACTTATCTGAGTTTCTCTTCGTCATAAAGAAATCAGGTTTGACTGGGTTGTTTTTCTTATGTATTATGTTTTGTACACAGTAACGTCTCTTAAAGTTAAGAGTTGTTAAAAGGAACTTAATTTTTAGCATTTCCATAATTTTTTGAAGATTTATATATGTGAGCTGGCTGTCAAGTCTTACCAACAAATTAAAATTCAAGAAAAGATGCACTTTGTGTAGAATGAGCTCCTGAGTTTGGGAGTCATATGATAAACGACTATTACTTGTATAATAAATAATAGCTAATCTCCAAAGATGGCTCCTTAATGAACCATGCTTTCTGCCATGAGTTTATAGGTCTCCTTTTTGTGAATGTGGATTACAACTCGCTGGTAACCAATAGAATTCAAGAAAAATGATATTGAGGAACGGTCATAAAAAGCCTTATGATTTCTCCTTTGATATCTTAGAACAATCATTTTGGACAGAGCCAGCCCCCCGTGTAAGAAGCCTGACTACCTTGAAGCTTTCTGCTCATAGGAAATCCAAGCTAGTTATGTAGAGAGGGAGCATAGAGAAGGAGGCCTGGCCAGCCACCTGCTTACTCCTGCCCTCCTGGCCCAGGTGCCAGATAGGTTGACTAAGAACCCACATTAATAATTTTAGATTTTTCTAACTTCTTCATGAAGGCATCGGGTGCTATGAACTTTCCTCTTACACTGCATTATCTGCATCCCAAATATTTTAGTAAGTTGTGTCTCTATTTCATTAATATCAAAGAATTTTTTATTTCTGCCATAATTTCATTTTTCACCCAAGAATTATTCAGGACCAAATTGTTTAATTTTCCTGTTTTGTGTAGTTTTAAGAGATCATAGTATTGATCTCTATTTTTATTGCACTGTGGTCCAAGAGTTTGCATGGTATGATTTTGATTTTTTAATGTATCGAGACTTGCTTTATGACTGAGCATGTGGTCAATCTTAAAATATGTTCTGTATGCAGTTGAGAAGAATGTATATTCTGTGTTTGTTGGGTGGAGTATCCTGGAGATGTATATTAGATCCAATTGATCATACCTAGATAAACTACAAAAAAAAAAAAAAAAAAAAAAAAAGAACAAAGCAACCCCAAACCTAGCAGAAAAAAAGAAATAACTAATACCTAAAATGAGAGAATAACTGAATGAAATCGAGATTTAAAAATCCATATAAGAGATCAATAAAACCAAGAGTTGGTTTTTCAAAAGAATAAACAAGATTGATAGACCAATGGCTAGATTAACAAAGAAAAAAAAGAAGAAGATTCAAATAAACACAACAGCAAATGACGTTAGAACTGGTGCTATAGAAATACAAAATATTCTTAGAGACCATTATGCATACCTCTATGCACACAAATTAGAAAATCTGGAGGAAATAGATAATTCCTGGAAACACAATCTGTAAGTGAAAATGTAAGTAGACCAATAACAAGTTCTGATATTGAGTCAGTAATTAAAAACCTACCAACCAAAAAAGCCCTGGACCAGATGGATTCAAAGACAAATTTTTCCAGATATAAAAGACCTAGTACCAATTCTACTGAAACTATTTCAAAAAAATAAAAAAGAAATTGCTCCTCCCTCACTCATTCTATTAGGTTAGCATCAGCCTAATACCAAAATCTGGAAGAGACACAGAGAAAAAAGAAAACTTCAGGCCAATATCCCTTATGATCATAGACACAAAAATCTTCAACAAAATACTAGCAAACTAAATCCAGCAGCACATCAAAAAGTTAATTCACCATGATCAAATAGGCTCTTATTCTTGGTAGGCAAAGGTAGTTCAGCCTATACAAATCAATAATTGTGATTCAAATAAACAGAACCAAAAAAAACACTATATGATCATTTCAATAGATGTAAAGAAAGCCTTTGATAAAATCCAAAATCCCTTCAGGATAAAGCCCTCAACAGACTAGGCATCAAAGAACATACTTCAGAATAATTAGAGCCAGCTATGAAAACTCATAGCCAACATCATACTAAATGGCCAAAACCTGGAACAATTCCCCTTGAAAACTAGAATGAGACAAGGATGCCTGTTCTCACCACTTCTCTTCAACATATCACTGAAAGTCCTAGCCAGAGCAATCAGACAAGATAAAGAAATAAAAGGTATCCAAATAGGAAAACAAAAAGTCAAACTCTCTCTTCTTGCTGGCAATATGATTCTATACTTTAAAAATTCTAAAAATTCTGTGAAAAAGGGTCCTAGAACTGATAAACAACTTCAGTAAATGTGCAGGATACAAAAGCAATGTACAAAAATCAGTAACATTTCTATACACCAATAACATCCTAGCTGAGAGCGAAATCAAAAACACAATTCCATTCACAATAACCACCAAAAAATTAAAGTAACTAGGAATACAACAAAAGAGGTGAAAAATATCTATAAAGAGAACTACAGAACATTGCTGAAAGAAATCAGAGACAACACAAATAAAAAAATATTTTATGCTCATGGAGTGGAAGAATTGACATCATTAAAACAACCATACTTTCCAAAGCAATTTACAGATTTACTGCCATTCCTATCAAAATACAAATGTCATTTTTCACAGAATTGGAAAAAAATATTCTAAAATGTGTATGGAGTCAATAAAGAGCCCAAATAGCCAAAGCAATCCTAAGCAAAAAGAACAAAGCCAGAGGCATCACATTAACCAACTTTGAACTATACTATAAGGCTACAATAACCAAAACAGCATAGCACTTGTACAAAGACAAACACATGGACAAATGGAACAGAATAGAAAACCCAAAAATAAAGCCACATATCTACAACCATCTGATCTTCAGCAAGGTTGAAAAAAATAAGCAATGAGGAAAATACTCCATATTCAATAAATGGTGCTGGGATAACTGGCTAGCCATATGCAGAAGAATGAAACTGAAACTTTACCTTTCACCATGTACAAAAATTAACCCAAGATGGGCTGAAGATTGAAATGTAAGACCTTAAAGTATAAAAATCCTAAAGAAAACCTAGGAAATACCTTCCTGAACATGAGTTTTAGCAAAGAATTTATGGCTAAGTCCCCAAAAGCAATTGCAGCAAAAATGAAAATCAACAAGTAGGATCTACTTAAACTGAAGAGCTTCTGCACAGCAAAAGAAACTGTCAACAGAGTAAACAGACAACCTACACAGACAACCTACACAGACAACACAGAGTATAAGAAAATATTCACAAACTGTGTATCTGACAAAAGTCTATTATCCAGAATCTACAAGAAACTTAAACACATCCACAAGAAAAAAAAGTAATCAAAAATGGACAAAGGACATGAACAGATACTTCTTAAAAGAAGTCAACAAGCATATAGAAAAACGTTCCACATCACCAATCATCAAAGATATGCAAATCGAAACCACAATGAGATACCACCTCACACCAGTCAGCATGGCAATTATTAAAAAGTGAAAAAGGAACAGATGCCAGCAAGGTTCTGAAGAGGGAATGCTTTTACACTGTGGGTGGTAATGCAAATTAGTTCAGCCACTGTGGAAAGCAGTTGGAAATTTCTCAAAAAACTTAAAACAGAACCATCATTCACCCCAGCAATCCCATTACTAGCTATATACCCAAAGGAAAATAAATCATTCCACCAAAAAGACACATGCGCTCATGTGTTCATCACAGTGCTATTCACAATATCAAAGACATGGAATCAACCTAGGTGTACATCAATGGTGGACTGGATAAAGAAAATGTGGTATGTATACACCATGAAATACTACGCAGGCATAAAAGGAATAAAATCATGTCCTGTGCAGTAACATCCTCAGCAAATTAACTCAGAAATAGAAAACCAAATACTACATGTTCTCACTTATAAGTGGGAGCTAAACACTGAGTACACATGGACATAAAGATGGGAACTATAGAAACTCGGGACTACTATAAGGGGTAGGAAGAGAAGGGGGTGTGTGCTGAAAAATTATCCACTGGGAACTGTGCTCAATACCTTGGTGACAGGATCATCCACACCCTAAATCTCAGCATCATGCAAAACACTCATGTGACAAACCTGCACATGTACCCTGTAAATCCAAAATAAGAATTCAAAAAAAAAATGTGTCCTAAGAAGCCACCTTGGTAATATTGCCTGGTGGAATATTCAGATGCCTCAAGCCACAGCCAAGTTCTAACTGTACCTATTTGAGACTCTAAATAAGAACCACCTAACTGAGCCTGTCCACCTACAATATAATTATATTAGGGTAATTTATTACTTTGTGTTACATAATACGTAATTACGACAACACTAAAGTAACGAGTTATCTATCTGAAACAATGTATGTAAAAACACTTAAAAATTTTTCACCATTATACAAATGTTAAGCAAATTTGGAAAAATAGTACAATAATTGTTTTTTTTCCTTGTTTTTATTTTATTTTATTTTATTATTATTATACTTTAAGTTTTAGGGTACACGTGCACAATGTGCGGGTTAGTTACATATGTATACGTGTGCCATACTGGTGTGCTGCACCCATTAACTCGTCATTTAGCATTAGGTATATCTCCTAATGCTATCCCTCCCCACTCCCCACACCCCACAACAGTCCCCAGAGTGTGATGTTCCCCTTCCTGTGTCCATGTGTTCTCATTGTTCAATTCCCACCTATGAGTGAGAATATGCGGTGTTTGGTTTTTTGTTCTTGCAATAGTTTACTGAGAATGATGATTTCCAGTTTCATCCATGTCCCTACAAAGGACATGAACTCATCATTTTTTATGGCTTTATAGTATTCCATGTTGTATATGTGCCACATTTTCTTAATCCAGTCTGTCATTGTTGGACACTTGGGTTGGTTCCAAGTCTTTGCTATTGTGAATAGTGCCGCAATAAACATACGTGCGCATGTGACTTTATAGCAGCATGATTTATAGTCCTTTGGGTATATACCCAGTAATGGGATGGCTGGATCAAATGGTATTTCTAGTTCTAGATCCCTGAGGAATCGCCACACTGACTTCCACAATGGTTGAACTAGTTTACAGTCCCACCAACAGTGTAAAAGTGTTCCTATTTCTCCACATCCTCTCCAGCACCTGTTGTTTCCTGACTTTTTAATGATTGCCATTCTAACTGGTGTGAGATGGTATCTCATTGTGGTTTTGATTTGCATCAAATCAAACCAGTGATGGCGAGTGATGGCGAGCATTTTTTCATGTGTTTTTTGGCTGCATAAATGTCTTCTTTTGAGAAGTGTCTGCTCATGTCCTTCGCCCACATTTTGATGGGGTTGTTTGTTTTTTTCTTGTAAATTTGTTTGAGTTCATTGTAGATTCTGGATATTAGCCCTTTGTCAGATGAGTAGGTTGCGAAAATTTTCTCCCATTTTGTAGGTTGCCTGTTCACTCTGACGGTAGTTTCTTTTGCTGTGCAGAAGCTATTTAGTTTAATTAGATCCCATTTGTCAAGTTTGGCTTTTGTTGCCATTGCTTTTGGTGTTTTAGACATGAAGTCCTTGCCCATGCCTATGTCCTGAATGGTAATGCCTAGGTATTCTTCTAGGGTTTTTATGGTTTTAGGTCTAACGTTTAAGTCTTTAATCCATCTTGAATTAATTTTTGTATAAGGTATAAGGAAGGGATCCAGTTTCAGCTTTCTACATATGGCTAGCCAGTTTTCCCAGCACCATTTATTAAATAGGGAATCCTTTTCCCATTGCTTATTTTTCTTAGGTTTGTCAAAGATCTGATAGTTGTAGATATGCTGCATTATTTCTGAGGGCTCTGTTCTGTTCCATTGCTCTATATCTCTGTTTTGGTACCTGTACCATGCTGTTTTGGTTACTGTAGCCTTGTAGTATAGTTTGAAGTCAGGTAGCATGATGCCTCCAGCTTTGTTCTTTTGGCTTAGGATTGACTTGGCGATGAGAGCTCTTTTTTGGTTCCATATGAACTTTACAGTAGTTTTTTCCAGTTCTGTGAAGAAAGTAATTGGTAGCTTGATGGGGATGGCATTGAATCTATAAATTACCTTGGGCAGTATGGCCATTTTCATGATATTGATTCTTCCTACCCATGAGCATGGAATGTTCTTCCATTTGTTTGTATCCTCTTTTATTTCATTGAGCAGTGGTTTGTAGTTCTCCTTGAAGAGGTCCTTCGTGTCCCTTGTAAGTTGGATTCCTAGGTATTTTATTCTCTTTGAAGCAATTGTGAATGGGAGTTCACTCATGATTTGGCTCTCTGTTTGTCTGTTATTGGTGTATAAGAGTGCTTGTGATTTTTGTACATTGATTTTGTATCCTGAGACTTTGCTGAAGTTGCTTATCAGCTTAAGGAGATTTTGGGCTGAGACAATGGGGTTTTCTAGATATACA
Organism: Homo sapiens; assembly: GCF_000001405.40. Taxonomy (NCBI): domain Eukaryota; kingdom Metazoa; phylum Chordata; class Mammalia; order Primates; family Hominidae; genus Homo; species Homo sapiens. The sequence goes on along the minus strand of NC_000011.10, from coordinate 103,741,762 downwards.
ATCATGTCATCTGCAAACAGGGACAATTTGACTTCCTCTTTTCCTAATTGAATACCCTTTATTTCCTTCTCCTGCCTAATTGCCCTGGCCAGAGCTTCCAACACTATGTTGAATAGGAGTGGTGAGAGAGGGCATCCCTGTCTTGTGCCAGTTTTCAAAGGGAATGCTTCCAGTTTTTGCCCATTCAGTATGATATTGGCTGTGGGTTTTTCATAGATAGCTCTTATTATTTTGAGATACATCCCAACAATACCTAATTTATTGAGAGTTTTTAGCATGAAGGGTTGTTGAATTTTGTCAAAGGCTTTTTCTGCATGTATTGAGATAATCATGTGGTTTTTGTCTTTGGTTCTGTTTATATGCTGGATTACATTTATTGATTTGCGTATATTGAACCAGCCTTGCATCCCAGGGTTGAAGCCCACTTGATCATGGTGTATACGCTTTTTGATGTGCTCCTGGATTTGGTTTGCCAGTATTTTATTGAGGATTTTTGCATCAATGTTCATCAAGGATATTGGTATAAAATTCTCTTTTTTGGTTGTGTCTCTGCCTGGCTTTGGTATCAGGATGATGCTGGCCTCATAAAATGAGTTAGGGAGGATTCCCTCTTTTTCTGTTGATTGGAATAGTTTCAGAAGGAATGGTACCAATTCCTCCTTGTACCTCAGGTACAATTCAGCTGTGAATCCATCTGGTCCTGGACTCTTTTTTGTTGGTAAGCTATTGATTATTGCCACAATTTCAGAGCCTGTTATTGGTCTATTCGGAGATTCAACTTCTTCCTGGTTTAGTCTTGGGAGGGTGTGTGTGTCGAGGAATTTATCCATTTCTTCTAGATTTTCTAGTTTATTTGTGTAGAGGTGTTTGTAGCATTCTCTGATGGTAGTTTGTATTTCTGTGGGATCGGTGGTGATATCCCCTTTATCATTTTTTATTGCGTCTATTTGATTCTTCTCTCTTTTCTTCTTTATTAGTCTTGCTAGTGGTCTATCAATTTTGTTGATCCTTTCAAAAAACCAGCTCCTGGATTCATTAATTTTTTGAAGGGTTTTTTGTTTCTCTATTTCCTTCAGTTCTGCTCTGATTTTAGTTATTTCTTGCCTTCTGCTAGCTTTTGAATGTGTTTGCTCTTGCTTTTCTAGTTCTTTTAATTGTGATGTTAGGGTGTCAATTTTGGATCTTTCCTGCTTTCTCTTGTGGGCATTTAGTGCTATAAATTTGCCTCTACACACTGCTTTGAATGTGTCCCAGAGATTCTGGTATGTTGTATCTTTGTTCTCATTGGTTTCAAAGAACATCTTTATTTCTGCCTTCATTTCATTATGTACCGAGTAGTCATTCAGGAGCAGGTTGTTCAGTTTCCATGTGGTTGAGTGGTTTTGAGTGAGTTTCCTAATCCTGAGTTCTAGTTTGATTGCACTGTGGTCTGAGAGACAGTTTGTTATAATTTCTGTTCTTTTACATTTGCTGAGGAGAGCTTTACTTCCAACTATGTGGTCAATTTTGGAATAGGTGTGGTGTGGTGCTGAAAAAAATGTATATTCTGTTGATTTGGGGTGGAGAGTTCTGTAGATGTCTATTAGGTCCGCTGGGTGCAGAGCTGAGTTCAATTCCTGGGTATCCTTGTTAACATTCTGTCTCGTTGATCCGTCTAATATTGACAGTGGGGTGTTAAAGTCTCCCATTATTATTGTGTGGCAGTCTAAGACTCTTTGTGGGTCTCTTAGGACTTGCTTTATGAATCTGGGTGCTCTTGTATTGGGTGCATATATATTTAGGATAGTTAGCTCTTCTTGTTGAATTGATCCCTTTACCATTATGTAATGGCCTTCTTTGTCTCTTTTGAACTTTGTCGTTTTAAAGTCTGTTTTATCAGAGACTAGGATTGCAACCCCTGCCTTTTTTTGTTTTCCATTTGCTTGGTAGATCTTCCTCCATCCTTTTATTTTGAGCCTCTATGTGTCTCTGCACATGAGATGGGTTTCCTGAATAGAGCACACTGATGGGTCTTGAGTCTTTATCCAATTTGCCAGTCTGTGTCTTTTAATTGGAGCCTTCCTCTGGAAGTTTTGTCTCAGAGGACTACCTAGCCGTGTGAGGTGTCAGTCTGCCCCTACTGGGGGGTGCCTCCCAGTTAGGCTGCTCGGGGGTGGGGGGTCAGGGACCCACTTGAAGAGGCATTCTGCCCGTTCTCAGATCTCCAGCTGTGTACTGGGAGAACCACTGCTCTCTTCAAAGCTGTCAGACAGGGACATTTAAGTCTGCGGAGGTTACTGCTGTCTTTTTGTTTGTCTGTGCCCTGCCCCCAGAGGTGGAGCCTACAGAGGCAGGCAGGCCTCCTTGAGCTGTGGTGGGCTCCACCCAGTTCGAGTTTCCTGGCTGCTTTGTTTACCTAAGCAAGCCTGGGAAATGGCGGGCACCCCTCCCCCAGCCTCGCTGCTGCCTTGCAGTTTGATCTCAGACTGCTGTGCTAGCCATCAGGAGACTCCGTGGGCGTCTCGCTGCCAGGACCTTCCCAGCCATGTGCGGGATATAATCTCGTGGTGCACCGTTTTTTAAGCCCGTCGGAAATGCGCAGTATTCGGGTGGGAGTGACCCCATTTTCCAGGTGCCCTCTGTCACCCCTTTCTTTGACTAGGAAAGGGAACTTCCTGACCCCTTGTGCTTCCCGAGTGAGGCAATGCCTCGCCCTGCTTCAGCTCGTGTACGGTATGCTGCACCCACTGTCCTGTGCCCACTGTCTGGCACTCCCTAGTGAGATGAACCTGGTACCTAGGATGGAAATGCAGAAATCACCCATCTTTTGTGTCGCTCACGCTGGGAGCTGTAGACTGGAGCTGTTCCTCTTTGGCCATCTTGGCTGCTTCCCACAATAATTGTTAAGTAGTCTTTAAGGTTTATAAATCCCTTTCATATGTATTATTTAATTTACTCCTCATGACAGCCATATAAGGTATCATCATTACTTTCCCTGTTTTGCATGTTGGGAATTGGGCCTCAAAAAGGAAAAATGATTTATTTGTCCAAGTTTACTCAGTAAGAATCAGAGCAAGTTTTCAGGCTTTGTTTCCCTGACTTCAAATACTAAGCCTTTTTATTCCCCAGGGCATGAACTCCCACTCAAGTTCAAGTGAAACTGCTTAGAAGTAGTATATATATATTTATAAGTATAGTGCAAACAGTTAGGTCCCAATGATACTTCATTGTCCAAATGCAATAACTAAAATTTTTTGAGAACTTCAAGCACTGTCTAAACACTTTGTGTGTACTGACTCATTTAATCCTTATGAGAATATTATGAGGTAGTCACCATCATCTTCATCATCTTCATTACCATCTTCTTCCCCATATTACAGAAACTAAGGCACAGAAGTGTTAGAGATAATGATGAGCATCTCAAATAGCTCATGGTAGATCTGGGATTTGGACCCAGGCAATCTGATGTAAAAGCCCCTGCCCTAAATCTCTACACTCTGCTTCCTATTACTGAGACTGGTCATAAACATCTGTCACTGGAACCATCCCTCTCAGACCTAGCACATGCACCAGAGCTCAAGGGTGAAATAGGAGTTTCAATGTAATCCATTGTTTTGGAACTCATAATCCAGAACCTATTGTGTAGTTTTGTTCCACCATTCATTCACTTACTCATTGAAACATTCACTCATTCATCCATTCAGTGGATACCTACAGATCTCTTACTGCATGCCAAGGTTTCTGCTGGGAGCTCTGCCAGCAACTGTGGGCCCTGGGCCTCTCCGCAAGAGTCTCTCCCATCCTGCCTCGTGATGTTAATCCACATACCTTCATGCTCTCTCTGTGGTGCCTCCAATCCTGCACACAGCATTCCAGGCATCTATGCACGGATACCCCCTTTCCACTTACACAAAGCCCTTTATATTCAGCAACATTCTATAGCTCCTCACAGCAAACCCTAGAGGATGGAGCAGTCATTGTTGCTGATTCCCACTTACAGATGAGAGAGTTCAACTTTTGCTTTTTTAGTTAAACCTCTGTATCAAGGTAACTCTCAGAAAAGTCTTCCAATAATTAAATATTACATTTGGAGAGTGAAACATCATTGGCTCTCAGCCACAGGGCTACAGGGGTGTTATGTATAATTGGATAACTAATAATAAACTACCAAAATTTGCCAGTAATTTTTTTCTAAAAAGAAATTTATGTGCGTTCCATGTTATCTCTGTAAGAACCTAGCTTTTACTTGCATTTCTATATGTTTTCTTTTGTAGAAGTAACAGTGCTATAACTGGTGGGTGCTAGGAATTGCTCCAACATGCAATCTCTCTGTACCACAGCCCAGGGGAAGCTGTTGTCAGGAATAGTAGCTTGTCCAAGGTCACATAGTGTCAGAACCGGGACTCAAATGAGGTCCCAATTCCCTAGACTATTGGTGATTTTTTTTTCCACTCCATGACATCCTGTCCCGCTTTCCTACCTCAACTCTGCCTTTTGGAATCCTACCCTGAAAACCTTGTTTTAACAGGGTGGGACCAGGGCCAGAAAAGGTCAGAACGAGTCCACTTACAATTTTTGGACACACTTCTGGAAAGGCTTCCCACAACACCAACAATGACTGCCAGGGCCTGCCAACAGCTCCCAAGTTCTAAGTTGCCAACCCTCACCAAAGATAGCACATGCTAGTCTAATTATTTCTTACCCTTTCAAAGCAAATATTCCTGAAGAAAGACTGGCCTATCACTTGTTAAAATGCATTGTGAGCATTTCTAGGCACTCTGACTAAAAAAAAAAATTTTAAAGCTCTGTCAGTTTCATGCAAATAGTGTGTAAGTTGAAAGCGTACTGTCAAATATTCGAGCCCTGAAGGGTTTGAGGCAAAACCAAGAGAAGCAATCAATGAGGAGATTTTTCATGGACCTTGGCTCATTTACATTCTGCTAATTTACTGAGACAAAGTGAAGCCTGGCAACTAATTGAGAAGGCTCTTGATGCTGGAATATTTTGTGTAAATGAAAACCTGCCAGTCTGGTTTTTTTTTTTTTTTTTTTGAGAAAAATATGCTTCTAAAGACAGAATTATTTAATATTATAGATGTTTAGATTTCTACATTTAAAAGTGTAAAAGTGGACATAAAACATCTTAATTAAATCGGTTTCTCTGCAAAGGACTGAGCAATGGCTTTTGGCTCCTGAAGGCTGGTATTAAATTTAGTGTCTCTTGCAGAACTGAAGTCTTTATGATACCACACTGCGGTAACTGTGAGTGTGGTTGCAAGTGTGAATTATTTGTGCTGAAGGCCTAGGGAATGCTGTTATAACTTAAACTGTTTTAGATCTACAAAGAGCAAATAACTGGAACAGATAAGATTTCCCATTGTCACATGCTGTGGCTTGGAACTCAGACACAGGGAGCCAGTTGGGAAGAGAAATAGGGAAACTTTCTTTATATCTTTTATCTTTCTGACCAAATGAAAGGTATAAACACAGGATTCTGAACTGACTAGCATGTTCATGCAAATGCAGGGAGCTAGGGGAACAAACCCAATGAAGATATTTTACAGTTTGGTATTTTTCGCTCCCCTTCAAATTTAAGGGCAAGACACTTTGCCTGGTATAGTGCCCTTTGGGTTTGGAAAGCACATATTGGGGCTTAATTGAATTGTTCCTTATAATAGTCTGGGACCACACATGTTAGTTACCTCTGCCCCATTAGGCCACAAGCTGGTCCATGATCACCCTTCTTAATTTGCATTTTTGGCTCCTGGTATCAACATCAGGACACTCATTCTGAGGCAGAATGCCAAAAACATAGACCCCAGACGCCCTAATCTAAGTGTTCTAGTTCTGTGATGGTATGAGATTGAGTTAGGCAGACAGAGGACTGGTGAACTGTATATGGATTCTGAAACTGTGAATTGTGCATCTTCTGAGTAATTGGTTTAGAAGCAATCAGGGGTTTAGCTAGAACAGTCGGGTTTCTGGTGTTGGCAGCAGGCTCTTGGAGTGCCTTCGTAATGTTTCATCCTCTTCACGTGTACAGGGCACAGTAAATCAGGTATTTGTAAGTCAGGGCTGCCTGTGCCAGAAGCATGTAAAAATAGCATGTATTGAGTACTACTGTGAGTCAGGCACAGTGCTAAGTGCTTTGCATACACAATCTTCTTCAATCCTTACTTTAGTCCTCTGTGATGTGTATTCTTGTTAACATCCCCAAAAGAAGACAGAAAGGCTAAATAATTTGTCCAGAGTGAAAGACCTGGTAACTGGCAGAGGCAGGATTTGACCCTGTCCGAACTTACCAAGTGCAATGAACAAAATACTACTTCCAGGTAGAAAGAAGAGAGTTGAACATCTAGGTAGAAAGAAGAGAGAAAGCCTCTAGGGATCAGGATGAGTCATGCAGCAGGTCACCGAGCAAGATGATTAAAACACTGGAATCAAGGAACAAATCTCCAAAGTCAGTTTCCAAGAAATGTAATTTAAATGTTTCATGCAATAGCATCTTACCTTTGATCATGATATTTTTCAAAGTTGACTACTGGAAACACAAATTAAAAAAAAAAAAGCTTTAAAGTTATCCATAGAAGATCAATGTAAAGTTGAAACTCACATGTACAACCTGTTAAGGCACAATGTCCTACTTTGTGGTTTTCACACCAGGCTTGGGAGACTGCAAACACTTATTAATCTTATGCATGTGGCTGGGTGCACAAAAGCCAGCCCATGCATTTGGCCTTTGGATAGGAAACCCACAACTCACACCAGGAGGACATATGTCCTAAAATTTCCTTGAAGAGAGGTAGGCAAATTCTTATTTCACAGGCTTTTGGAGCAACTGGGTTAAGTGATCCCTTCTGTCTGTCTCCTTGTTCTTCTGCCACAATGCCAATGGTCCAGGCTCTTCACAGGGGTAAGACAAATTCCTGAGTGCCCAATGGGCACTCTACACTGGAGATGGAATCAGGGCACCATCTTGGATCCAGTGAGCACCCTAGGAAAGTAAATCTCACTCAAAGATGAGAGGGCTGAGTTCCCTCCACCCTTCCTAGTCAGCTGCCTTGAATTGTCTATTGGCTACTTCTGGGATGTTTTTGTATTTCCTGGGCTGGTCTGATTTTCTGTTTGTTTGGTATTTTGTTGGTTTTGTTTTGATATTTATCTAGATGTCACTATGACAACTATTTATTATTACAAATATTGTGCATGTCAGTGAGGTGGGATTTAATGTTTATGGTCTTTCTATCCACTGTATGATCTGCTTCCCAAATTTAATTGCCCACTCTATGTTTAGAATTATGAGGCTAGTTGATTCCAAGCTCAATGTTAATTTAATCCTTTTTCTTCCCCTTTCTTACCTCTCTTTATTCTCAATAATATCGTATTTGTTTTTCATATCTGGCATTCACACCAAGCAATGTTTGACTCAACCAGATCTTAGATCTTATTCACCTTTAATAAGGGTTCAGCACCTAGCACAGTGTGTATACATAATAATTCTTCCCTCTCTCTCTCTCTGCAATTTTTAGCAACTGCAACTATAATTCATAAAGACATAGCCCTCTTCCTTTTAAGAGTTTCTTTCTGTGTTTTAACTTACTGATGAACTATAAAAGCCAGCTTACTATCTACCTAACTTCCACTTAAATACCATAAGCCCCACAAATTCAGGAAATTCCAAAGTTCAGGTTCCTGGGACAGCACTGAGTCTTGCCAAATGTATATCCTGTGCATTTGCTAACGCACTAACTATAGTCACACCTCTGTGTTGTTTTTTTGATTAGTTTGTCTGACTTTATTAAAGTATACCCCAAGGTAAGCAAAGTCAGCCCATCTGATCAACTAAACCCAAGTAATTAGAACTTTAGAATATGCAGTGTTATTTCTTCATTTTCATATTAAATGACTATTTTACTACAAAGTATCTACAATCAAGCTATTTCATTTGGCTGACCTAAAACTAAGAATGTCCTGAAATAGATGTTGATATTAAACACAGAAAAAGATAGGGTTATTTACTAAACTCCAATTTCTTTCTCACATATTTCTCTCTTTAAGGTATCCATAACTCTCCAAATATTTCTATCGCAGGTCTCCTCACATATCCTTGAACTTACCTTTTTACACACTAATGTATATGTGCCTCACTAGACAATAAACACATCAAGGGCAGAAATTGTATTTTATTTTATTTTTTGTATTCCTGGCATTCATCATTGTATGAATAAATAAATGTTAATTATTTAAATAAGAGACAAAGCTTTAAAGTCAATTTAGTTTTAAACTAATCTTATTCCTTGTCCCTGACTGACAGATATGCAAGATTTATCCTAGGTCATTTTCATGTTTCTTGAGCATGAAAAGGATGATGACATTTCTTGTAAAGAAGGAAGCAGAACTGCAAGCCACAAAATTGGGATCCTGTTCCACCTAATTTATAAAACTGCAGCAACTACAGCCCACACTGACCTTTTTTTCTCGGAATTCCTATTGTACTTGGAGACAATATCACCCAGTTTAGCACAGAATTCTTTTTCAATTATTTTTGTGTGTCTGCTACTTTTATCTCCTAAACTACACTACAAACTAAGACAGCAGGTACCTCTTAAATTGCTGGTGGATAACCAGGGTGACCAGCTCTTCCTGGTTTTAGCACATTCCGTATAATCCCTGAGTTTCAGACAAACCAGGGCAGTTGGCCACCCTTGTAGGGAATAGGTTGTTCAATTGAGTAAGTGACCAATTTTACAAGTTCTACTAATGATTGACTGTAGATTGTTTTGGTAATGTCTGTTGTCACTTCAAACTTCCTTCTGTTGCCATATGTGTGCCTACGGAAAACATGGATAAACATGCAAGATTGGAACTCTGAGAAAAACATTTTTTAAAAAATTTTTAGCTAGACATAATCTGCAGATTTGGGTTGACCCTTCACAAGGCATTCTTACTTATATGAAACCTAGGAAATCATCTAATCAAACTTTGATTGAGTAAAGTCTAGCAAGATGAACTGACCTAATTGTCATTAAAATTACAAAGGCTTTTAAGTATAACCTCCCAGGCCCATACTAACTCCTGCCCTTCTCATATTGTGTGCTTTGGGGCTAAATCCAAACTTAAACTTAAATCCAAAAGCACCAAAATCTGGCTCTTTTGAGTGCAAAGGAGTGTCCAGTAAAATATAAATTCATTATTTATATTTTATTTATCTCAAGATAGTTATTTAAATTACCCAGATCACCTCAAAATGTGGCTCTTTTGAGTGCAAAGGAGTGTCCAGTAAAATATAAATCCACAGAAATATTGTGGATTTACATGCAGTGTTATTTCTTCATTTTCATATTAATTGAAGAAAATATAAATCCACGGAAATATTGTGGATTTACATTTTACTGGACACTCCTTTGCACTCAAAAGAGCCACATTTTGAGGTGATCTGGGTAAATTAAATAACTCTCTTGAGATAAATATAAGCAAATCTGTAGCCAGTCAAACTTTCTCCTAAGATTGCCTACTTGTAGAGGTTACATTTTCTGTTCTAAAAGCAAGAAAGTAATTTCCAACAGCTGCCATTCACCTACATGGCAAGCGTTATCCTTTTAAGATTTCATCTTTCTACTATTAGATAAGCCCTGAGTAATCCTCCTGACATTCCATAGTGTTCATTCTAAGTCAATGAAACAGACAAGTATGCTAGACTAGTATTCCTCAAAGTGATAAATGGACCACCTGCATGAGAATTACCAAAGGCGCTTGTTAGAATGCCCTCCTAGACTTTCTGAGCCTGAATCTCAGGGGTAGAACCTAGAGAACCACATTTTAATTAGTACCCCAGGTGGCTGTTGTGCACAGTAAACTTTGAGAATAATTGTGCAAGAGGCTGAATAAGATGCCAAGCAGAAGCCAAGGGATGCTAATGACTTGCTATCTTGCTCAACTTGAATATCAGCTCCATATACATAGACTTAGTCTTATTCCTTATGTCATTTCCAAGGCCTAGAACAAGAGCTGACATTATAATAACAACGCAATGAAATGTCTGTTGAATAAATAAGTCCTGTAAAATCTCCTTGGAAGAAAAATGTGCTATTCCAACAAATTTTCAGAAATGTCAATCTAATAACCATATAGTACCTACAGAAAATTTGATAGCTATGTTATAGAATTAAAATTAAGTGTTATTTTCATATTCTTCTAACTTCAGACAGATTATTAGAAATTATGATTTGTGCCTAAAGTAACTAATTGCTTTATCCCAGGATTTGGGTGGACTTACCCTGATAATCGCCAACACGTTTTCACCTTCTGTGCCATAAGATTAAGCTTGAGAGGAAAACTTACCAGAGGGACTTTTTAGTTTGACCATCAGTGTGTCCACCATTGTTTGCATTTATAAAAGTGCCAATAGGCCAGACTGGTGCAAAAGCAACTTGTAGTGAGGAGCTATTGCAGAGTGTTTCTCAGCTTTACTTGCACATTGGAATCAGCTCCTCAAATATTTGGGCCCAAATTCCAGATATTCAGATTTAATTGATAGGGTGTGGCATGGGGCATTAGGATTTTTCCAGATAATTCTAACATGCAGCCAAGAGTTGAGAATGCCTGATTCAGGAAGAGTTTTTGTGGATAATAATATCATTGCTTATAGACTCTGTACCTTTTTCTTCTCTCATAAGGCAGATAGCTTGCTCTATACCATTCTATATGGATCTGATTCCCAACACTGCTGAGTATTTTTACCCTGCAATTATGCTACATCCTTATCCTTTATATAGTTGTGAACTTGAAATAAACTGTGATTTTACCTTGTAATCACAGGCAGATTATCTACTGGAGTATATTGGGAACATGAGAGATTAATACTTATTTTCCAACCTTTCCTTCTAATTAGTATTATCTGAGGAAAACATACCTGAATCCTCAGCTCCATTAGAGGAAAATAGAGCAAAGCAGATTCATCTGCAAGGGGATATAATATCCTTTAACAGACTTACTCTGACGTAGGCATGAATCATCTAACTAAAGATAATACACAATGCCTTTCTTCATAAATAAGATATACTGAAAAAATAGTTGAAATTAAATTTAGTTAGTATATATGCTATTGTTGGCTTTTTTTCATGTAGAAAATGGGAAAACTGTTTAACTACAATTGTATTAAATTGCTTTTGGAAAAATAAAAGATTAAAAATTTTTAAAAGTTAAAATAATAAACTTTAGAGAGCTCTTCCAAGTTGCTATAATTGTAGAACTATGACTGTTGCTACATAGAATACAAATCAATGTCATTTATTATTTATTCAGGGATAAAGAAAGCCTAGGAATTAGTTCTGGGACTGACAACAGATCTTAATTTATTCTTGACAATTCACTTTGTGGTATCCTTTTCCCCCTTGCTTTCCTGCCCCTTTGTCAGGATCTAGGTACTGTCTTTTGACAGGCACTAAAGGCCATGGGGCTCATCTGGCTCCGGGAAGCAAATCTCTGAGCTGGAAAGCTGAGGTGCAGCAAGCATAACTCTTTCTTTGCAGAATGAGCACAATCTATTTCCTTCTAGCCAGCAGGAGAGCAGTAGCAGATGCTGCCCTCATCTCCATTCAAGTGAGAGAAACATGCTTCCTGGAAATCTGGTTAGCTCTTTATAATCTATGCCAGTGTTATGAACTGAATGTTTATGTCCCCCCATAATTCATATAATGAAACCCTATCCCCCAATGTGATGGTATTTGGAGGTGGAGCTTTTGGGACTTAATTAGGATTAGATTAGGTCATGAAGGTAGGTCCCTCAATGTATTAGTGGTTTTATAAGAAAAGTAAGAGGGCATTCCTTCTCTCTCTCTCTCCCCCCACCCCCCTTCTTCCTCTCCACCTCCCCCTCCCTCCCTCCCTTCCTCCCTCTGTCTCTCTCCCCCTCCACTACATCTATGCACAAAGGAAAGGTCATGGGAGGATACAGCAAGAAGGCAGCCATCTGCAAGCCAGAAAAAGAGCCCTTGCTAGGAACTAAACCCTGTCAGAACCTTGATCTTGGACTTCTCAGTCCCAAGTACTTTGAACAATAAATTTATATTAAGCCTATGATATTTTGTGATAGCAGCCTGAGCTGATTAAGACATGAGTCCTTTCCAAAATTCAGATTCTTTCAGCTGAAGGCTCATATTTTTAGTTACACATTAACTAGTTCATATTTCATATTTTCCCATGTTTTTCACAAAAGCAACATGTCTGAGCATACTGATTTCATTTGTAATAGTCTATTTCATCACATAAGTTTTAATCTCCCAAGGAATTGAGATTAAAAAAAATTAAAGGCATTGCAGAGTATTTTCCCCAAATTCACCTCTTTGCTGGGTTTTGCTTTCTACTGTGAATGCAGAGTTTGGAGCCAGAAAAATACTGTTGCTGAATTAATCATTGTAAAGCCAACTTAGATACTATGCTGTAATAAAAGATCAAATTTTTATTACCATTGACATTAATCAGTTAGGTTAGTTTAATCTCCCATCATTTGAAGGAATTCTAGGACTTCTTTCTCTTGGATGGGAAAAGGAGTAAGCTAGAATTCCTAGTAATTACTAGCCTTCCTGCAGGCCAATAATCACTTAGGTCCTTTGAACAATTGAACAATGACTAGATATTCAACTAGTTTATTGAAAGATATCTAGATACATTAAGTCTTGGCTCTTAGCTCATATAAATACTTCTTTAAAATAGATTAACTTCAAAATAATAAAATAATCATTTAAAAAAGAAAGCAATCCAAGCTATCAACTGGGCTCTCTGGACTTTTCAGATTAGACAAGACTGTTATGTTTATGGGCCTCCACTCTAAAGAGCTTACTTTGAAGTTTCAGACACTTATCTCTGAAGCTTACAAATAGTTTAGGGTTGAGTTACCAAAACTAGAGGGAGAGTCGTTTACTATTTGTCCATAAATGGGTCTACATATTGGAAAATTATATTTCAGTAGAGAAAATAAATGGGTGCATATAGGCATGGGGAGCAAGTTCTCATCATTCATTGCGAGTTTCTTCACAGAAAAAGTGAAGAGGCAGGCAAAGGAGAGGTTTCAGGAGAAATTTCAGGAGATTCTGAATTAATCATCAATCATACAGAGTTATAAAAGAAAGATGGAGCAATGGTCAGGAAGCAACATTAAAGACCAGAATTCATGTCTCAAATGTCACTATGTGAGCTCAGCCAAATTGCTTTGTCATTTATTTGGGAGCCTCCATTGCCTCATCTGTAAAGGTGAATAATGGGTAACTCTCTAATCTACCTTATGACATTGACATAAGGTTTGACTGTGTCCCCACCCAAATCTCATTTTGAATTGTAACTCCCATAATCCCCACATGTCATGGAAGGGACCCAGTGGGAAACAATTGAATCATGGCATTGGGTTTTTCTGTGCTGTTCATGTGCTAGTGTATAAGTCTCATGAGATCTGATGGTTTTATAAAAGGTAGTTCCCCTGCACATACGCTCTTGTCTGCTGCCATTTAAGATGTGCGTTTACTCCTCCTTCACCTTCCACCATGATTGTGAGGCCTCCCCAGCCATGTGAAATTGTGAGTCCATTAAACCTCCTTTCCTTTATGAATTACCCAGGTATGTCATTATTAGCAGCATGAGGACAGACTAATACAGTAAATTGGTACTGGTAGAGTGGGGCACTGCTTTAAATATACCTGAAAATGTAGAAGTAACTTTGGAACTGGGTAACAGGCAGAGGTTGGAACAGTTTGGAGGGCTCAGAAGGAGATAGAAAAATATGGGAAAGTTTGGAACTTCCTAGAGACTTGGAGGGCTCAGAAGACAGAAAGATGTGAAAAAGTTTGGAACTTTCTAGAGACTTGTTGCATGGCTTCGACCAAAATGCTGATAGTAATATGGACAATGAAGTGCTGACGTGGTCTCAGAGGGAGATGAGGAACTTGTTGGGAAATGGAGCAAAGGTGACTCTTGTTATAATTTAGAAAAGAGACTGGTGGCATTTTGCACCTGCCTTAGAGATTTATGAAACTTTGAACTTGAAAGAGATGGTTTAGGGTATCTAGCAGAAATTTCTAAGCGGCAAAACATTCAAGAGGAAGCAGAGCATAAAAGTTTGGAAAATTTGCAGCCTGATGATGCAACAGAAAACAAAAACCCATTTTCTGGGGAGAAATTCAAGTCTCCTGCAGAAATTTGCATAAGTAACAAAGAGCCGAATGTTAATCACCAAGATAATGGAGAAAATGTCTCCAGGGTGTGTCAGAGACCTTTGCTGTAGGACTCCCATCACAGGTCCAGAGGCATAGGAGGAGAAAATGGTTTTCTGGGTCAGATCCAGGGCCTCCCTGCTGTGCATAGCCTAGGAATTTGGTGCCCTGCATCCGAGCTGCTCCAGCCATAGCTAAAAGGGGTCAAGGTACAACTCAGGCCATGGCTTCAGAGGGTGGAAGCCCCAAGCCTTAGCAGCTTCCACGTGGTGTGGAGCCTGCAGGTGCAGTGCACAGAAGTCAAGAATCGAGGTTTGGGAACCCTCACCTAGGTTTCAAAGGATGTATGGAAATGCCTGGATATCCAGGCAGAAGCTTGCTGCAAGGTCAGGGCCCCCATGGAGAACCTCTGCCAGGGCAGTGCAGAAGGGAAATGTGGGGTTGGAGCCCCCACACAGAGTCCCCACTAGGGCACAGCCTAGTGGAGGTATGAGAAGAGGGCTATCATCCTCCAGACCCCAGAATGGTAGATCCACCAACAGCTTGCACCCATGTGCCTTGGAAAGCCACAGACACTCAATGCCAGCCTGTGAAAGCAGCTGGGAGGGGGGGCTATACCCCACAAAGCCACAAGGAAGAGTGTCCTAAGGCTGTGGGAGCCCATCTCTTGCATCAGAGTGACCTGAATGTGAGACATGGAGTCAAAGGAGATCATTTTGGAGCTTTAAGATTTGACTGCTCTGCTGGATTTTGAACTTACATGGGGCCTGTAGCCCCTTTGTTTTGGCCAATGTCTCCAGTCTGGAATGGGTGTATTTACCCAATGCATGTACCCTCATTTTATCTAGAAAGTAACTAACTTGCTTTTGATTTTGCAGGTTCATAGGCAGAAAGGACTTGCTTTGTCTCAGATGAAACTTTGGAGTTGGACTCTTAAATTATGCTGAAATGAGTTAAGACTTTGGGGGACTGTTGGAAAAGCATGCTTGCATTTTGAGTTTTGAGGACATGAGATTTGAGAGGGACTGTGGCAAAATGATATGGTTTGGCTGTGTCCCCACCCAAATCTCATCTTAAATTGTAGCTCCCATAATATCACATGTCCTGGGAGGGACCCAGTGGGAAGTAATTGAATTATAGGGGCAGGTTTTCCCATTCTATTCTCATAATAGTGAATACGTCTCACAAGATCTGATAGTTTTACAAAGGGCAGTTCTGCACATACTTTCTTGCCTGCCACCATGGAAGACATGCCTTTGCTCCTCTTTCACCTTCCACCATGATTGTGAGGCCTCACCAGCAATGTGCAACTGTGAGACCATTAAAACTCCTTTCCTTTGTTAATTACCCAGCCTCGGGTATGTCTCTATTAGCAGCAGTATGAAAATAGACTAATACAGATGTTAAAGATAACAAGTATGACAGACCTTTAAAAACTTTCTTTTTAAAATTTCATTTCTTAAACTTTTATTTTAGGCTTAAAAGTATATGTGCAGGTTTGTTAAATAGGCAAACTGCATGTCACAGGGGTTTGGTGCACAGATTATTTCATCACTCCAGTAATAAGCATAGTACATGATAGGTAGCTTTTCTATCCTCACCTTCCTCTCATCCTTCACCCTTAAGTAGGCCCCAGTGTCTGTTGTTCACTTCTTTGTGTCCATGTGTACTCAATGTTTCCCTGCTACTAAATTACATTTTCTTTATCCAGTCTACCATTGATGGACATTTGGACTGATTCCATTCCCTACTATTGTGAATACTGCTGTGATACACATATGCATGCATGTGTCTTTATGGCACAACAATTTATATTTATTTGGGTATACACCCAATAAGGGGATTGCTGGGTCAAATGGTAGCTCTGTTTTAAGTGATAATCCCCATGTGTCAAGGGCAGGACGAGGTGGAGATAATTGAATCATGGGGTCAGTTTCCCCCATGTCATTCTCATGGTATTGAGTAAGTTATCATGGTATCTGGGTTTTATACCATGGGTTTTATAAGGGGCTTTCCCTTTCACTTGGCTCTCATTCTCTCTTGCCACCATATGAAGAGGTGCCTTCTGCCATGATTGTAAGTATCCTGAGGCCTCCCCAGCCATGTGAAACTGTGAGTCAATGAAACCTCTTTTTTTAATAAATTATTCAGTCTCAGGTATTTCTTCACAGCAGCATGAGAATCAACGAATACTTCTGGTACCAGTAAATTGGTACCAGAAGTAGGGTTCTGCTGTAAAGATACCTGAAAATGTGCAAGCAACTTTCTAACTGGATAACAGGCAGAGTTTGGAATAGTTTGGAGAGCTCAGAAGACAGGAAGATATGGGAAACTTTGGAACTTCCTAGAGACTTGTTGAATAGCTTTGATCAAAATGCTGATAGTAATATGGACAATGAAGTCCTGGCTGAGGTGAATTCAGATGGAGATGGGAAATTTGTTGGGAACTGGAGTAAAGGTGACTCTTGCTATGCTTTAGCAAAGAGACTGGCAGCTTTTTGCCCCTACCCTAGAGATCTGTGGAACTTTGAACTTGAGAGAGATGATTTAGGATATCTGGTGGAAGAAATTTCTAAGCAGCAAAGCATTCAAGATATGACAGAGCATAAAAGTTTGGAAAATTTGCAGCCTGATGATGAAGTAGAAAATAAAAACCCATTTTCTGTAGAGAAATTCAAGCCTGCTGCAGCAATTTGCAGAAATAATAAGGAACTGAATGGTAATCACTAATACAATGGGGAAAATATCTCCAGAGCATATCAAGACCTTCCCGGCAGTCCCTCCCATCACAGGCCCAGAGGCCTAGAAGGAAAAAATGGTTTAGTGGGCCAGGTCCAGGGCCCCCCTGCTCTGTGCAGCCTCAGGATATGGGGTCCTGCATTCCAGCTGCTTTAGCTCCAGCCATGGCTAAAAGGGGTCAAGGTAAAGCTTGTGCCATTACTTCAGAGGGTGCAAGCCCCAAGCTTTGGCAGATTCCACATGGTGTTGAGTCCGTGAATGCACAGAAGTCAAGAATTCTGGTTTGGGAACCTCCGCCTAGATTTCAGAGGATGTATGGAAACACCTGTATGTCCAGGCAGAAGTTTGCTGCAGGGGCAGGGCTCTCATGGAGAACTTCTGCCAGGACAGTGCAGAAGGGAAATGTGGGATTGAAACCCCCACACAGAGTCCCCATTAGGGCACTGCCTAGTGGAGCTGTGAGAAGAGGGCCACTGTCCTCCAAACCCCAAAATGGTAGATCCATTGACAGCTTGCACCATGCACCTGGAAAAGCCACAGACACTCAATGCCAGCCCACTAAAGTACCCATGGTGGGGGTCTGTACCCTGCAAAGCCACAGGGCTGGAGTGGCCCAAGGCCATAGGAGCCCACCTCTTGCATCAGTGTAACCTGGATGTGAGACACGGAGTCAGAGGAGATCATTTTGGAACTTTAAGGTTTAATGACTGCCCTATTGAATTTTGAACTTGCATGGGACCTGTGGCCCGTTTGTTTTAGCTATTTTCTCCCATTTGGAACAGGTGTATTTATCCAATGCCTGTACCCCTGTTGTATCTAGGAAGTGACTAACTTGTTTGTGATTTTACAGGTTCGTAGGAAGAAGGTCCTTGCCTTGTATCAGATAAGACTTTGGACTTTGACTTTTGGGTTAATGCTGGAATGAGTTAAGGCTTAGGGGGATTGTTGAAAGGCTGTGATTGTTTCAAATTGTGAGGACATGAGATTTGCGAGTGGCCAGGGGCAGAATGATATGGTTTGGCTCTGTGTCCCCACCCAAATCTCACCATGAATTGTAATAATCATCACATATCAAGAGCAGGACCAGATGGAGATAATTGAATCATCGTGACAGTTTCCCCCATGTTGTGATAGCGAGTGAGCTCTCACAAGATCCAATGGTTTTATAAGGGGTTTCCCCCTTCACTCAGTACTTATTCTCTCTCCTGCCACCCTGTGAAGAGGTGCCTTCTGCCTTGATTGTAAATTTCCTGAGGCCTCTCCAGCCATGCAGAACTGTGAGTCAATTAAACCTATTTTTCTTTTATAAATTACCCAGTCTTAGGTCTTTCATCATAGTAGCATGAGAATGGACTAATACAACGTGTGTGTGTTAAATCATCCCTGCATCCCTCATATG
The DNA here is from genome assembly GCF_000001405.40 of Homo sapiens. NCBI lineage: Eukaryota > Metazoa > Chordata > Mammalia > Primates > Hominidae > Homo > Homo sapiens. The sequence continues at coordinate 103,723,442 of NC_000011.10, read as the reverse complement.
AAACCCACTTGATCATGATGCATTATCTTTTTGATATGCTGTTGGATTTGGTTAGTTAGTATTTTGTTAAGGATTTTGGCATCTGTATTCATCAGGGATATTGGTCTGTAGTTTCCTTTTTATGTTATGTCCTTTCCTGGTTTTGGTATTAGAGTGATACTGGCTTCATTGAATGATTTAGGGAGGATTCCCTCTTTCTCTCTGTTGTGGAATAGTGTCGATAGGATTGATACCAATTCTTCTTTGATTATCTGATAGAATTCAGCTATGAATCCATCTAGTTCTGGACTTTTTTTGTTGGTAACTTTTTAATTACTATTTCAATGTCACCGTTTGCTATTGCTCTGTTCAGAGTATCTGTTTCCTCCTGGTTTAATCTAGAAAGACTGTATATTTCCAGGGGTTTATCCATCTCCTTTAGGTTTTCTAGTTTATGTGCATAAAGTTATTCATAGTAGCCTCAAATGATCTTTTGTATTTCTGTGGCATAGGTTGTAATATCTCCTGTTTCATATCTAATTTAGCCTGTTTGGATCTTTCTCTTCTTTTGTTGGTTAATCTCACTAAAGGGCCTATCAATTTTGCTTACCTTTTCAAAGAACCAGCTTTTTTCATTTGTCTTTTGTATTGTTTTTTGTTTGTTTGTGTTTTATTTGTTTGTATCAGTTTAGTTTAGTTATTCTCTGATCTTTGTTATTTCTTTTCTTCTGCTGGGTTTGGGACTGGTTTGTTCTTGTTTCTCTAGTTCCTTGAGGTGTGTCCATAGATTGTCTATTTTTGCTCTTTCAGACTTTTTGATGTAGACATTTAAGGCTTTGAGCTTTTCTCTTAGCAGTGCCTTTGCTGTATTCCAGAGACTTTGATAGGTTTTGATAGGATTTTTAAGGAACTAGAGAGACTGATGGGGTTTAGGAGGATATTTATTATTTAGGTCTACTGGTCTAGTTGGATTAATATTTAAAGGACTGAGTTTTGAACCAAGAGTTAAGTTATTTTTTAAGTATTTCATGAGGCGGGGGGAAATTTGTGCAGGGGAAACTATATTATAGAAGTGAGAAACAAAGACAGTTATTTAATTAATTGAGACATGTATTATTTTTTATTTTTTAAGGAAAAACATGTTTTACATCTTGAGGTTTTTTTTAGTGACTTTGTAGTTGTACAGTTAGAGAAACAGGGTTTTTATAATGTTTGGGAAAGGAGGAGAGATAAGTGTCACTATTACTGTTCAGTTCAAAGAATTTATTTTATATTTTATTTTATGTTTTTGAGATAGATCCTTGCTCTGTCAACCAGGCTGGAGTGCAGTGGCACAGTCTCAGCTCACTGCAACCTCCACCTCCTGGGTTTAAGCGATTTTACTGCCTCAGCCTCCCAAGTAGCTGGGATTACGAGCATGTGCTACCACACCTAGCTAATTTTTGTATTTTTAGTAGAGACAGGGTTTCACCATATTGGCCAGGCTGGTCTTGAACTCCTGGGCTCAAGGGGTCCACCCACCTTGGCCTCCCAAAGTGTTGGGATTACAGGCGTGAGCCACTGCACCCAGTCTCAAAGAATTTTTTAATGTTTATCTTGATTTCGTTGTTGACCCAACAATCATTCAGGAGCAGGTTATTTAATATTCATGTATTTGCACACTTTTGAGTGTCCTTTTAAAGTTAATTTTCAATTTTATTCCATTGTGGTCTGACAGAGTACTTGATATAATTCCAATTTTCTTAAACTTATTGAGACTTGTTTTGTGAGCTATCATATGGTCTATCTTCTAAAATGTTTCGTGTGCTGATGAATAGAATGTATATTCAGCTGTTGTTGGGCAGAACATTCTGTAAATATCTGTTAAGTCCATCTGTTCTAGGGTGTAGTTTAAATCCATTGTTTCTTTGTTGACTTTCTTTCTTGATGACCTGTCTAGTGCTGTCAGTAGAGCATTGAAGTCCTTCACTATTATTATGTTGCTGTCTATCTCATTTCTTAGGTGTAGTAGTAATTGTTTTATAAATTTGGGAGCTCTAGTGGTAGGTGCATATGTATTTTGGATTGTGACATTTTCCTGTTGGACTGATCCTTTTATCATTATATAATGTCACTCTTTGTCTTTTTTAACTGCTGTCACTTTAAAGTTTGTTTTGTCTGATATAAGAATAGCCAGTCCTGCTCATTTTGGGTGTTCATTTGCATGGATTATTTTTTTCCTTCACAACAGCTCTGTGCAGTTGGTCCTATTATTATTCCTGTTTATAGATAAGGAAACTGTTACTCAAAAAGGTTTAGTAAGTAGTGCTGGGTCCCAAGGCGAGGACATAGGGAAACCATGGCTGGAACACAGGTGTCTGGAAACTCCTAATCATAGTTTCCTCTGTGTCCCCTTCAGTGGGAAAAGTCACTTCATCTCCTAATCTTAAATGATCTTCCAAGCAAGAGGAGAGGAGGGAATATAAGTTTTATTTGTCCCATCCTTTTCAGAAGGTATCTAAGTCCTTTCTGTGTGTGTCTTCCAAAGACATGGTACCAGGACCTAGGGGAGCTGAGATTTAGAGCCTTGGGGTGCAAACTGAATTGTCGGGTCCCAGCTAGGAGTACCTGCCTGGAATTTGTAAGACTCTCACAACAGTGCCACATCCCTCAGTTTATCCATGCAACAGAAGGTAGAGGTGGTGGCAGTGGCAGCAGCAGCAGTAGCAGCAAATCTGTCCCCAGTTCACCACAGTACTGTTTTGCTATGAGTTTACCTTAAGTTTATGTGTGTCGTAATGTGTTAGACGAATTTCTTGAAGACAGCATATACTTGGTTGGTGAATTATTATCCATTCTGCCATCGTATCTTTTAAGTTGCACATTTAGGCCATTTACATTCAATGTTAGTATTGAGATGTGAGGTACTATTGTATTCATTGTGGTAGTTGTTGCCTGAATACCTTGGTTTATTATTATTATTTATTGTGTTTTTGTTTTCTAGGTTTTGTGAGATTTATCCTTTAAAGGGGTTCTATTTTGGTGTGTTTCAAGGAATAGTTTTGAGATTTAGAGCTCCTTTTAGCAGTTCTTGCAGTGCTGGCTTGGAAGTGGTGAATTCTCTCAGCAATTGTGTGTCTGAAAAAAGACTGTATCTTTCCTTCATATCTGAAACTTAGTTTCACTGGATACAAAATTCTTAGCTGATCATTGTTTTGTTTAAGGAGGCCAAAGATAGAGCCCCAATCCCTTCTAGCTTGTAGGGTTTCTGCTGAGAAACCTTCACTTAATATGATAGGTTTTTCTTTATAGGTTACCTGGTGCTTTTGCCTCACAGCCCTTAAGATTCTTTCCTTTGTCTTGACTTTAGATAACCTGATGACTATGTGCCTAGCAATGATCTTTTTGTGATAAATTTCCTAGGTGTTCTTTGAGCTTCTTGTATTTGGATGTCTAGATCTCTAGCAAGGCTGGGGAAGTTTTCCTCAATTATTCCCTTAAATATGTTTTCCAAACTTTTCGATTTCTCTTCTTCCTCAGGAACACCAATTATTCCTAGGTTTCGCTGTTTAACATAATCCCAAATTTCTGGGAGACTTTGACCATTTCATAAAATTCTGTTTACTTTAAACTCTTTGTTGGATTGGGTTACTTTCAAAACCTTGTCTTTGAGCTCTGAAGTTTTTTTTTTTCTGCTTGTTCGATTTCATTTCTAAGACTTTCCAGTGCACTTCATGTTTCTCTAAGTGTGTCCTTGATTTCCAGAAGTAGCATTTTATGTATGCTGTCTATTTCATTGAAGATTTTTCCCTTCATGTCTTGTAACATCCTTTTTTAAATTTCATTAATTTGGACTTCATCTTTCTCTGATGCCTCCTTGATTAGCTTAAAAATTGACCTTCTGAATTCTTTTTCTGGCAATTCAGGGATTTGTTCTTGGTTTGGATCCATTGCTGGTGAGCTAGTGTGATCTTTTGGGGGTTAAAGAACCTTTGTCATATTACCAGAATTATTTTTCTGGTTCCTTCTCTTTTCAGTAGACTATATCAGAGGGAAGACCTGGAACTCAAGGTCTGCTGTTCAGATTCTTTTGCCCCACAGGATTCTCCCTTAATGTAGCATGACATAATGGTAAAGGGCTCAATTCAACAAGACCTATCAAGCCTGAATATGTGTGTACCCAATGCGGGAGCACCAAGATTCATAAAACAGGTTATTAGAGACCTACAAAGTGACTTAAATAACCACACAATAACAGTGGAAGACATCAACACCCCACTGAAAGTATTAGGCAGACCATCAAGGCAGAAAATTAACAAAGATATTTTGGAACTGAATTCCACAGTTAACTAAATGGACCTAGTAGGTATCTACAGCAAGCTCTACCCCAGAATAACAGAATATACATTTCTGTTATCTGCATATGGCATATGCTCTAAAATGACCATGAAATTGGCTGTAAAACAATCCTCAGCACATTCAAAAAACCTAAATCATACCAACCACATTCTTGGACCACAGCACAATAAAAATAGCAATCAATACTGAGAAAATCTCTCAAAACCATAGAATTATATGGAAATTAAACAACCTGCTTGTGAATAACTTTTGAGTAAACAAGGAAATTATGGCAGAAATCAAGAAATTCTTCAAAAGTAATGAAAACACAGATACAACATACTAGAATCTCTGAGACACAGCTAAAGCAATGTTAAGAGGGAAGTTTATAGCACTAAACACCCAAAACAAAAAGTTAGAAAGATATCAAATTAACAACTTAGCATTACACCTAAAGGAACTAAATGAACAAACAACAACAACAACAACAAAAAAAGAGCAAACCAAACCCCAAGCTAATACAAGACAAGAAATAACCAAAATCAGAGGAGTACAGAATGAAATTGAGAGGTGAAAAACCATATAAAAGATCAACAGATCCAGGAATTTTTTTTTGATAGAATAAATAAGATTGATAGACTCCTTGCTGGACTAATAAAGAAAAAACAAAAAGATCCAAGTAAATACAATCAGAAATAATAAAGGTGACATTAAAACCAATCTTACATAAATACAAAAGCCCTTTGGGGACTATTTTTAACCCCTCTATGCACACAAAGTGCAACACATAGAACAAATGGATATATTCCTGGAAACATACAACTTCCCAATATTGAACCAGGAAAACATTGAAATCCTGAGTAGACCAATAATGACGTCTGAAATGGAATCAGTAATAAAAAACCTACCAACCAGAAATAGCCCAGGACCAGATGTCTGATAGAATTCAGTTGTGAATCTGTTTTCTCTTTGCTTGGTAGATTTTTCTCCATCCCTTTACTTTGAGCCTACAAGTGTCATTGCATGTGAGATGAGTCTCTTGAAGTTGGACCTTGCTTCTTTATTCAACTTGCCACTCTGAGCCTCTTAACAGGGGCTTTAGCCCATTTACATTCAAGGTTAATATTAATATGTGTGGATTGGATCCTGTCATCATCTTGTTAGGTGGTTGTTATGCAGACTTGATTGTGTAGTTCCTTTACATTGGCAATGGTCTATGTACTTTAGTGTGTTTTTCTGGTGGCCAGTAACCATCTTCCTTTTCCATATATATCTCTCCCTTAAAGACTTCTTGTAAGGCAGGTATGGTGGTAATAAATTCTTTTAGCATTTGCTCTTTGGAAAAGGATCATATTTCTCTTCTATTTACAAAGCTTAGTTTGGCTGGATATGAAATTCTTGGTTGAATTTTTTTTCTTTATGAATGCTAAATATAGGCCCGCAATCTCTTCTGGCTTGTAGGGTTTCTTCTAAAAGATCTGCTGTTAGCCTGCTTGGGTTCCCTTTGTAGGTGACCTGCCCCTTCTCTCTAATTGCCTTTAACATTTTTTCTTTCATTTCGATCTTAGAAAATTTGATGACTATGTGTCTTGGCGTAGTTCATTTCAGATAGTATCTCACAGGGGTTACTGCATTTCCTCAAATTGAATCTCGACCTCTCTAGCAAGGTTGGGGGATTTTTCATAGACAATATCCTCAAATATGTTTTTCAAGTTGCTTGCTTTCTCTCCTTCTCTTTCAAGAATTCCAATAAGTCATCAATTTGGTCTCTCTTCACAATTCCATATTCCTCAGAGGTTTTGTTCTTTCCTTTCTATTCTTTTTTCTTTATTGTCTGACTGAGTAATTTTACAGAACGAATCTTCGAGCTCTGAGATTCTTTCCTCAGCTGCTCTATTCTGCTGTTAATGCTTGTGATTGTATCATGAAATACTTGAAGTGAGTTTTCCAGCTCTGTCAAATCTGATTCTTTCTTAAAATAACCTTTTCAAATTTCAGTTCCTGTATTATTTTATTGTATTCCTTAGTATCCTTGGATTGGGTTTTGACTTTCTCCTGAATCTCAGTGATCTTCATTAATCCATATTCTGAACTCTATTTCTGACATTTTAGCCATTTCAGGCTGGTTAAGAACCATTGCTGGGGAAATAGTGCAGTCATTTGAAGGTAGGAAGCCTTTTTAAGTTGCCAGAGTTCTTTCTCTGTTTCTTTCTCACCTAGGTGTGCTGATGTTCCTTCAGTCTTTAAAGTTGCTGTCCTTTGGATTTTTTTTTTCTTTTCGCTTTTATCTTCTTTGATGCCCTTGGGGATTTTATTGTGGAATAAGGTTGACAGGCTTTGTTTCTGTAAGATTTAAGCGGGGAAGGCTCAACTCAGCACTCCTTGGCTGTGTGTCCTTACTCTGGGCTTCATTTTCTGGCCCCTCAAGATTAGGAACCTGTTGTACTTGAGGGACTGAGGTGTTCTTGGCCCACTGGCCACAATACTCTGACGTGGGGGAGGCAGTCAAAGCACTTACTCAGGGCAGTGGCAGCAGGATCTGTGCTCACTTGCATGTACGACTAGCCACAGCATCCCCACAGGGTGCACGCACATGAGCTGGGAGGGGTCACCAGCAGGAGTGGGGTGGTGGCATCCCTGTACCCACTAAACAGGTGGCAGCAGCCTAAAACTTGCAATCACTATATGAAGCACCTTGATTAATATAATTCTATAAAAATATTTCATTGCTTTACAATAATATGTTTAATATTAGAAAATTTGAAAATTACTGAAAAGTAAAAAGAAATTAAATTAACTTGTATGTTCATCATCTAGAGATAAGCACTTAATTTCCTTTACAATTTTTTTCTGTGCATGTTAAAATCGTGGTGAAATCATACACTTCAAAATTTTGCATTCTTGTTTTGATATTTAACATTACATCTTAAAATGTTTCCTGTCATGAAACGCTGCTTTTAATTTTGTGTATAACGGTCCATCATATGACTACATTGTAATTCATTTATCCACATTTACCTTGCTGATTCTCTTGGTTGTTTCCAGTTTATTTGTTAGTATAAATTACACAATGTGATCACTCTTGATATCCTTTCTGTGCATCTCTTATTATTTCCTAGGAATACTTTTTTAGGAAAATGCTATTCTAAAAAGCATAAAATACCTTACAGTTCTTGATATAGTCTCTAATAATATTCTTGAAAAAGCAAAATAGGCAGAATGTGTATTTAGATTCAAATTTAAGACCTACTACTTACTGAATGTGTGATTTAAGATAATTAACAGCTGCTCTAAGCTAAGCACATAAAACAATGTTCTAGAAACTCAACAAATATTTGCTCTCTTTTTGTCTCTGCCCAATTGTTACTTCAACTAGAGATTTACCTCAAAGCATTTTTGACAGCCCCAAATACAACTTATCCCATTCCTTACTAGCTGCTGTAATGGGATATTCGGTGTGGACACTTCAGGCTGAATCTCATGAGGGGGCCTGCATCTTGTTGGAACTACTGAGTGTTCGGAGCACTTTCTCAGCAAGATGGAGTCAGTCCTGTGGTTTTGTCATTTCACCCTGTGGCAACTGGATCTTGAGAAATAACTCACCACAGTCCAAAAAATTTACTTAGAAGCCAACATGTCAATTTATTCATTTATATGAGAAACATAATTATACTAAGGAAACCGAAAGGAACATTTTTGTCAGCTAGTCATTATAGTCTCTTTGCAACAGAAATTCTATCTGAGAGACTAAATTTACATCAGCAGCTCACTTTCTGGGACAAGAGTGGATTTGCCACTTTGGTTTATGGTTATGTGTTTCTCTCTCCCTTGCTAGCCTGCAGACACTTTAAAACATAGGACATCTATGTCAATATCTGCATTGACTAGCACAGTGCCTAACATATAGATAGTCAGTGCTAACTTTTTTTTAAGTATGTTGCTGTCTTAATTTGTTCATGCTTCTATAACAAAATACCCAAGACTGGGTCATTTAAAAGGAACAGAAATGTATTGTCTCACAGTTCTGGAGGCAAGGAATTTCAAGATAAATGTGCTGGCAGCTTAGGTGTCTGGTGAGGGCATCTCTCTGTTTTCAAGATGGCCCCCCTTAGTGTGCTCCCACATGGCAGAAGGGATGAACAGCTCCCTTACACCTTTCTTTAAAAACATTAATCCCATTCAGGATGGCTCTGCCCTCATGATTTAATTACCCCCTAAAGTCCTCACCTCCTAATACTATCACATTGGCAGTTAAGAATTTTGAAGAGACACATACATTCAAAGCATGGCAGTTGCCTGAAAGGCAGAAAGACAGGACAAAAGAAATAAGGAAAATTCAAGGGGTAGAATAACAGATTTCAACTACTCAGAAGTGGAGTACAATACTTAATTCAAACCAAAGGCCATTTAGAATCCCTAGCTACTCAATTTTCTCCATCATTCACTCATTTTATTTTTCAATTTCACCCTGGGGAAAACAGTTATTCATGTTAGGGTAAATCAATGTGCACACATATTTGCTATTGCTGGTTTCAGAAGTTTGTACTGAAAAAAAGAACAAGAAACAACATACACCCATCTGAATGAAAAGTTGTTGGATTTGAAATTTCCTGGATGAGTACTGGGAAGATTAGATTTAAAAAGAATCCACTCACTCTCCTTTAAGCAATGTTGAGAGATTGTACAATAGATGGAAATATGCATTTATGATTCATAGTCTTTGAAATGTAGATATAAATTATCAGGGCAGGCTGAGAGTCCTGAGTTAAGTGGAATGAAATTCTCAAAAACAAAGTTTCAAAGAAACAAATGAGAATTGCATTCTTCAAGGGTTTTTTTTTTTTTCCACATTACAGTACTGATCTTTGTATGCCTGAACTAGGAAAAACAGTGCATATTCATAGATAATACAAGACCCTTCCACAGAATGCAGCCCTGTGTGGAGTGTGTGAGACCGAAAGTGATATAGACATACCCAAGTCATGGTTTGTTCTAAGTTACAACTGCTGCTTTTCTATTACTTTAAATCCATCTCTATCTATTCAACCAACCAGTGGCTAAAAATAATTTTGAAAATTAAGTGGACATGAAGGTTAAATCAAGCATATTAACTCAATAGTAAATTTATAGGATAATGCATATTGCATAGCTGTAGACAATGAAAATTGGGAGAAAAGGACTGTTTATTGAGCAGCCTCTATGTACAGGTATAGTGATGGAGGCCTCACACAGTTGGCCTCACTTAGCCTTTATGTCACCCCATTTAAAATAGAGATTATTGTATTCATTTTACAAATCAAAAAGTGGTATCTCAGAATAATTGGTAATTGATGGATACGGCATTCTATCCTAGGTTCTGCCTGATTCCACAGCCTAGAATCAGATAGATAGAGATTTAGGTAGGAACTTATAAGAACTCTATAAACTTCTAGCAACATCTACATCTAACTGTGTGTCTTTGGTGAATTAAATATTTTTTTGAGTTCTTGTTTCTTCATGAATGAAACAACAGAAGCAGGCTGATTTCTAAGATTTCTGCTACTCTGACTATATGATGAGTGTGTGTATGTGTCTGTATCCATATGTGTGTTTGTGTCTATATTTATGCATGTATGTGCATTTATTTACAATACATATTCCTACATAAATGAAACAAGTATAAAACAGAAAAGTGTCTGGGCCGGGCGCGGTGGCTCATGCCTGTAATCCCAGCACTTTGGGAGGCCGAGGCTGGTGGATCACGAGGTCAGGAGATCGAGACCATCCTGGCTAACATGGTGAAACCCCATCTCTACTAAAAATACAAAAAATTAGCCGGGCGTGGTGGCGGGCGCCTGTAGTCCCAGCTACTCGGGAGGCTGAGGCAGGAGAATGGCGTGAACCCGGGAGGCGGAGCTTGCAGTGGGCCAAGATCGCGCCACTGCACTCCAGCCTGGGTGGCAGAGCGAGACTCTGTCTCAACAAAAACAGAAAAGTGTCTGTAATAAAAATACATGCTTAAATATGTGTATATTTGTATCATATATTCATATATGATGCATATGTAAAATTTATCACATACACATCCTTTAGGATTTACAATTTACTATGTGGCCAAACTAAGAACAAAGGTCCTAATTCTACAGCTGCTATCTAGGTCACAAAACCATTTCCTGTGACTCTCCAGTCATGTCTCTTCCTTCCTTTGGATGACTAGCAGATGGCTGAACTGAGTCTGGCTTGTCTGTGGGGGCGAATTTAATTGTTGGCCATTTGAGGCAAGTGTTGTTTTCCCTGTATCTTTGTTCAGCTCTTTGAAACTGAATAATGCAAGCACATTGAGAGACATTAACCAGCTTCATTAGTCCTCTCGCCAGATCTCCCCTCATAAGGGCGTTTTTCTGTCACTCACTGAACTATGTCCAGCTGCCCTTTAGCAACTTTGTCATGCGTCTATTGGGGTGAACTTGACCTTGACCTTGTCATGACATTGATCCTGGAAGTCCAGTGCTATTTGGAATTATGGGAAGAGAAGAACTCCATGATGCCAAGAAACACATGAAGAAAATTTTCAGGAGTCCCAATCTGTGGCTTGTGAGAAGAAGCTTTGAAACCATTTCTTTAGGTATCTGGAATCTAAACTAACATGAGCCTCATGTCAGTTTACCTATTTGAAAACAGAACAAAACAAAGAAAAGAACTCTAGGAAGGAAGTTAGCACACCTGAATTCCCATACTTCTTCTGGCTGGTGCAATGTAATCTTGAGCAAGGCAGGAATAGTGATCATGAGGGAGAACTTAGGAGCCTGACAAATTGTAGTTTTAATTCTGGTTTGACCATTTCCTAGTTTTGTGATCTTAGGTGAGTTACTCAGTATCTCTGAGCCTTTCTTCAAAGAAAGGATAATAATACTTACCCTACAACATTACTGTGATAATTCCAGGTAGTAATAGGATATTATAATGATATTGTGAACACTCAAAGGAAGCATTTTTTAATAAAATATTAAAATTAACTCTTGAACCATAGTAAGTATTTAAAATCTGTATGTTCAGTTCCATTTCACCTCAACCACTGGATCAGTCTTATGGAATACTTTGTATAAAAAGTCCATGGTAATTTTACATAAAACTGTATACCACCCTATAAAATTTATTCCACATGTATGTGTGTATCTGTGTGTGTATTACATTTCTGAAATATATAAACAGATACAGCTTTGTACACAGTAATTTATTGTGATACTATCATCAAAAAGTAAGATGTAGAAAAAAGGTTTTGATTTTAAAAAGATAATATAAAAAAGTTACACCTCACAGTGTGCTTCAAAATCATCTGTTAAGATATTACTTTCTTTCTCTTAATAAACATTTTTTGGCCAGTTTACCATTGGCATGAAGACTTTCATTGTCACCAAAGATATTTGAACATCATGCAACTCTTCTTCTTCAGACAACCCCAAGGCTGCAGTGGTTTTTTAGTCAACAACTGTGTGGCTTCTAATGAGGGGCAAGCCACACCCTAGCATCCTGACTAAGCAAAGGTTTTATTTGTTTGTTTCTTACTACAATATTGTTTCAGGGTAAAAAAAAATAACTTTATATGCACTGCTGATTCCAATTAGCAATTTACCTTATGTGGTTACCATATGTTAATCAATAGAAGATGCCCTTGATATAGCCTCAAGGACAAAAGTACAGTTAACAGCAGTGGTAGCATCTAAACGAAAGGGTGCCAATCTTCTCCCTAACCAGGGGAGAAATTAACATATGTATTAGGAAGTTTCTAGCTGATGAGATGACTGAACTATTATATATTTTTGTTTTTTAATTAGCAAATAATAATATTTATGCAGTACAGTGTGATGTTTTGATATATAAATATGTTATAGAATAATTAAATCAAGCTAATTAACAGATCCATCACCTCACATGCTTACCATTTGACATGGTTTGGCTGTGTCCCCACCCAAATCTCATCTTGGATTCTCACATGTTGTGTGAAGGACCTGGTGGGAGGTAACTGAATCATGGGGGCAGGTCTTTCCTGTGCTGTTCTCGTGATAGTGAATAAGTCTCATGAGATATGACAGTTTTAAAAAAGGGGAGTTTCCCTGCACAAGCTCTCTTCTCTTTTCTGCCGCCATGTGAGACATTGCCTTTCACCTTCCACCATGATTGTGAGGCCTCCCTGGCCACAAGGAACTATAATTTCAATAAATGTCTTTCTTTTGTAAATTGCCCAGTCTTGGGTATGTCTTTATCAGCAGTAAGAAAACAGACTAATATGTCATTATTTTGTGGTGCAAATATTTAAAATCTATCATCATAGTAATTTTAAATATACGTTACATATTATTAACTATAATCATCATGCTGTGAAATAGATATTTAAAACTTATTCCTTTTGCCTAATTGAAACTTTGAAACCTTGACTAATATCTTCTTTTCCCATCGCCCTTGCCCCACACCCTGCCTCCAGCTCCTGGCAGCCACCAGGAATCTACCCTCTACTTTTATGAGTTCAACGTTTTTAGATTCCACATATAAATGAGATCATGTGGGCCATTATATCTGATCTGAAAGAAAAAAAACATCTAACTGAGCCTGCACGTATGGATGACCTGTTAACAGTTTAGGGACAAGAACTGAAAGTAGGGAAAATAGCCTGGAGTTTAATATCTAAAATCCTAGGTTGGACAATATTCTAACTATGAGATCTTGGGAAAAATTACTGTGAGCCTCTGCTGCCTCAGCTGTAAAATGAGAGTAAAAACAATGCTTCCCTTTGGTGGTGATTTTGAAAAACAAAGGAGATAATTAATGAGAAATCATCATGTGAACAACAAAAAATCACTATATATAAATACAAATTATTGATGTACTTAAGCTTTCAGGAGACAGTTACGGGATGTGAGATCTATACCACAAGCAGAAAATAATGAACAAATCATAAGTACTGAGGTTCTGGGCAGTTTGTTATTGTTGCAAAAAGTAGTATCCAGTCACTCAGGAGTTCTGGATGGCTACTGTGGCTATTTGGACTGTAATGCAACCCTTGTGCCCTTCCTGGCAGAGCTGGGTGGGTTTTAGAGCAATTCCTAGCAAGGTCCAGGGCCTAGGCAATCCCTGGAGATTTTGAAGCAGCTCATCATTTATAGCAAAGGAAATTTTAAAGAGAAAAAGAAATATGGCCAAGGGTCAGGAGGTGGGGGTGGAGGGGTGTCCTAAGTGTCCATAAAGATGTCCTACCATCATTTCCTTTTTCACCCGTGTTTTACATGATCACCAGTCTTTTATACCTGGTTTCTTTTCTTCTTCACACTGTACCTACTATTTGGTCTATTTCATGCATTGCCATAATTTTGACTGCTATCTGCATAGAGATGCTTCCAAAATCCACATCTCTGCCCTGAGCTTGCCTTTCAGCCTGATATGATTTGGCTCTGTGTCCCCACCCAAATCTCATGTCAAACTGTAATCCCCACATGTTGAAGCAGAGGCTGGGTGGGAGGTGACTAAATCATGGAGCGGACTTCCCTCTTGCTGTTCTCATCATAGTGAATGAGTTCTCACGGTATCTGGTGGTTTAAATGTCTATGGCACTTCCCCTTTCTCTGTCTCTCTCTCTCCCCTGCTCTGCCATAGTAAGACATGCTTGCTTCCCTTTCACTTTCTGCCATGATTATAAGTTTCCTGAGGCCTACCAGTCATGTTTTCTGTTAAGCCTGTGGATCTGTCAGTCAATTAAACCTATTTTCTTCATAAATTACCCAGTCTCAGGTAGTTCTTTATAGCAGTGTGAGATCAGACTAATACACAGCCCAAACTACCTTTTGTGCATCTCCATATGGATGTCCCTGATACCGCAAGCCAGATCTGTTCAAGAACTCACTAGGTATCTTCCTTTTAATCCAACCCCTTCTCTGTGATCCAGTCTTAGTTGCTCTCTTGCTCTTCCACTCAGTCACCTCAGCTGTAAACATAAGTCATCTTTGATTCAATGCTAGTGCCACTCACACACTCCCAGAGTTTTCACCTCAGAAATGTCTCTTGATGCCGCATTTTCTTTCTTTTTAGTCCCTATATTGTAAACTCTCTTCATTCAACAGTTTCTTACAAGAGTTGCCTAGATAGCCCCTCTTCCACTTGTCCTTTAGGCTCAAATCAATCATCCATGTATCTCCCCATGTGCTATCTAAATAAACCATGACGACATCCCTCTGCCCTAAAATATCTGAGGTCTCATTTTATATGTTAATAGGATAGTCATCCTTTGTAACATGGCATTGATGCCATGTCGCCATTTGTTGCCAACCAAACTTTTGAGCCTCATCTATCACTTTATCGCATATTCTCTATAATCCAGTTTATGAGCTACTAATGCTTTCTCTCTAAACATCATACATGTTTATGGAGAAACAAAATTTCACACCTCCTGCCTTTGTTCTTACTATTTCCTCAGTCTAGAATGTCCTTTCCATCCTTCTTTGAAAGCTCGATCAACCTGAAAGACCCAATATAAACTAAACTTCATCAGCAAGTCCTTCAATCCACCCCCCACCACCAGAAATAATTACCAACATAGAATTTTGTTTGAAATATTTCAGACTATTGCTTCTCAAACTTCTATGTGCCTATCAATCAAATAGGTATGTTGTTAAAATACAGATTCTCACCCAGAAGGCTGAGATGGGACTTGAGAGTCTGATTTTTCTCCAGCTCCCAGATGATGTTGATGCCACTGATCCACAGAGCATACTTTAACCAGCAAGGAATTAGACCACTTAGTTGTATCCTGATTAGCAATGTAGTTAAGTACAAGTATGTTGGTCTTCCATACAATCTTTTAGGCTTTTTTTTTCAGGTCAGAAATATGTCTTATTCACTTTTCAAGACTTTTTTCCTGTGTTTTAAAAAAATGAATTGAACGGAATTGATTGGCATCACCTGAATGCTGACTAGGACATTGAAGATCCCATTTCGTCACTCATCTTTGTGAGAAAGACACTAATACGATAATGATATAACCACCTTCATTTTTGTATGCTTAGCAGATACTAGACCATGCATTCAGCACCATCATTAGTATTATCTCATTTATGATTTTTAACAACTGGAGGGTGTAGGTACTGTTATCATCCCTACTTAACACAGATTGAAAAACTTCCATAAGAGCCCAAGCTGGTAAGCTGTGGAGCTGAGCTAGATTTCAAATTCAGATCTGTCTGACTCCAAGTCAGTGTTCTGTCCTATAATGTTCTACAGTCACTCTCAATTAGCTGGTGAGACGTTAGAAGCTACAGGTGAAAATGGCTAGTCCCCAAAGTTCTACCAACTCAATAAGTGCACATAATTAGTAGGGAATTAGTTAGGAATAAAAGGATGTTCACAGCCTGGGAATTTCAATATGTGTCATCTAAAACTTCCCTAGGCACCTGACCTTTCCTGGCTGTAGGCATTACTCCCAAGACCAGTAATCCAGGAACCCAGATAATCAATCACCCACAGCACAGCTTCCTTGTTGCCATCACCATGGCTTTTCAGAGCATCTGTCACCATGCTTTGTCACACAAATAGAGAGTGCAGTCTTCAACTCCGTGAAAGTTTATTTCTCTGCTCTTTGCTAAAAACAGGGCTCTGTCTACTGCGAAAACTCAAATAGGATTTGGATATGATCTTGCAAAATTCAAATTAATGGGCTCAGATGAAAAGAGACAACGTAGAGACACATTTGATACTTCTTTGGAAACCCAGAAAGATCTAAAAATGCTAGTCCTAATAGTTTCTGTAGTAAACAGAGTCACTTAAAAGGTCACAGAAAGGTACATTTTGATCATTAGGAGACTATTCTGAGACATTTTGTTTATAGATGAACAAACAATGTGGCCAACCTTAGTTTTTCTCCAATTAACATAAAGTCAAATCATCACCCAAAGTCTTGGCTAAATGAATGTTAAGCTTATAAAATCAGGAAAACATAGTTTCCTTTCTGTTTTTTTCTCTCTACTTATTTTGGATGAAGCTATTTTGTATCACAGCCATTCATGCCACAATATAGGGATAAAATACAAAGTTAGAACACCTCTGTTTTGTTACTGATCAGACTTTTCCAAATGCCAAAGTTCAATAAACCATAAGCAATAGTCCACTGTCAATCACTAACTCATATTTTTGGAAAGCAGTGACTCTAACATAGGCTTAGATTTCTTAAAATTATTATCATAACGTTTGAAAACTAATGCCTACACATTCTATTTACTAAAAGAAAGAATTCTTTTTTATTTTAAAGCTGAAGTTACATTTTGACAACTCTGGCTTTAAGTCTGACTGAGAATTCCTATCTCATGATCCTACATTTCAAATGACTCCTGTTGCTAGAAGCATTGTTCTACATGGCCCAACACTGAGAAAAGATACAGATAATGTCTCAGTGCTTTTCACTTTAGAATGGGGACTACAGACTAGATGCTACAAATGTGCATCCAAAAGCACATCTGTAGCATCCTGTCAAAAGCAAGAAATTTTTATAAAGTCAAACAATACTTGCATTCCTTACGTAGATATCAAAAGACTAGGTGTATTCAATAATAACAAAGCTTACGAGTTGCTACTTTTAATTTACTGGGATAATTCCAAGATGTGAATGAACCTTTTAATAGCAGTTACACCTGGCATTCAATAAATATCTTCTGATGAATAAGTAAATAAATAAATTTAGTGTGTTGTTATAAACTATCTGTGAATGAACCTTTTAATAGCAGTTACACCTGGCATTCAATAAATATCTTCTGATGAATAAGTAAATAAATAAATTTAGTGTGTTGTTATAAACTATCTTATTTTCTAACTGTTCATATGTATATGTCACTTCTAACCAACTATACAGTAAGCTCCTTGAGGGCATAAATCTTATTTTTCATTCATTTATTCAGCAAATACTTATTGAACACATAATATTCCAAGCACGATTTCTTGGCACTGGAGACAAAGCAGATATAAACAGTCACAAATAACTGCCTTTGACAGTTGTACAGCCCTGTAGATGCATTAAAATTTATTGATTCATATACTGGCAATGGAGAATGTTATGATACTTAAATTATATTTCCATAAAGCTGTTAAAAAAATACTACTATCATGGGGTCCACTTTCTTGGAAATCTGTTTTAAAAGAATGTTTTTGTAGCTAGCACAGTGTGGGTATAAAATAAGGACTCAACAAATATTAGTCGATTGATTTCTTAGTTCATTTGAGACATTGGTAAATCAGCACATAATTGATGTGCATCTTAGGGGCTTCTGCTGATGAGCAGCATAGGCTAAGGCTCTGATGGAATTCAGGCTTTTGCTCGTATCTTGGCTTTGCTATTTATTGACCTTATAATGGGGATCATCACTCAATCTCTCAGATTCTCATTTTCCCATTCTAAATGGGCCATTGACAATAACTCTCACAGAGAATTAAATAAGAGAATGTGAAGGGAAAATAAGAGAGCAATATTCATGAAACAAGATTGACCATATTTTGCTAGTGGTTGATGATAAGTGATGGATGTGTGAAAGTTCATTGTGAGACTCTCTCTACTTTTGTGCATATTTGAATTATCTAATATAAAGTTAAACTGTAAAAATTACATATATGATACTGTAGGTTAAACTCTGTTACATAGAAGGCATTGGACAGAAGATAAGAATTATTATTGACCTAAGTGAATGTGTAATTTAAAAAAAAAGGCTTTCATTTTCCTCCTGAAAGTCAAGCCCTGGAAATTGCTTACTGCTTAAGTCTCTGCACTTTGCAGGTATTACAAATATTTTTATCACATATGATTTTCTTCTAAGATAGATGCAGAAGTGGAATCCAGTGGGTCTTTGTTCTCACAATACCATTCCAATAACTCTATTTCACCTCTCCTAGAGTGAACTCATATAAAATGGAGAGCAGTTCTTCACATTGTGTCACCAAATTTGTCTGACAGTCTGTCACAGTGCTGCCACCTTTTAATTCCTTATATGTAAGAGAAAGATCCAGAATAACTTCCGGTTTTTGTTTTTGTGTTTTCAAATATGTCTTCAACTTTGCCATTTGGGCTACATGTACAAAAAATACCACTGTTCCTTGATAAAATATTCAAAGAACTCCCCAGCCCCTGGAATCTGAGCCTTGCTGACCTCATTAGTTTACTGTCCTTCCATTAGGTTTAAAGGAAGAAGTAAAACGCCCACATATATTTTGTTGTTTATTTCATATTTTGCAAATATTTCAGAAGAATGAAATGTAGCAATTGCCTTGGCCCTTATATGGGGGCTGGAAAATGAAAACCACTGAAGGCTGAAACAGGCCAGGGAAGGAAAGGAACCAAAAGCAGGATGCGCTGCAGGCTGACCAGCTGTTACAGGGAAGATTAGAAGGTAAGGAAAGTAGTTCCATAGCCTGGGAACCTAGAAGGACTACCTGGATGGATGGAGTGGAGGGTGCCAGAAACCAAAATAGATTAAACTGAAAGGGCAAGAAACATTGTCATAACCAACTGGAGGAAGGAACCAGGCAGTGAAGGTGAGCAGAGCTTGTGTGGATATATGTGAGGATACAGTACATCATCCAACAAGGCCTTGGAGCCTCTCTCAGCAAAACTTTATTAAGCACCTACTCTGTGGCTGACACTGGGACAGTGATATACTAGTGGAAAGAATCAAATAGCTCCTGCCCTTTGGGAATTATATTCCAGCAGTTCAATTACACTATTACATAAGCAATGACAAAGTATCTTAAGGACTACGAGAGGAGAGTACAAGGTACCTAACCCATACTCAGGCAATCCCAAAAAAATTACACCTAAACACAATCCAGAAGTAAGAGTCATCAGAAGAGGAGACAGTGGTGGGAATATAGCAGTCAGATGCCTTCAGCTGTAAGGAATAGAAAACACAAACTGGCTCTAACAAGTACATTTGTTAGATGACACAAAGTCAATCCGAAGGCAGGGTGCGCCTCAGAGTTGAATGAGCTGCAGGTTAAGTGACGTCATTGAAGACGTGGGTCTTTGCCTTCTCTGCTTCACTATCTATGGCATTGGTTTCTTCCTATCTCCGTCTTCCTTCATAGGTGTAGGATGGTGGCCAGAGCATTTACTAGTACGTGCTTCTTTGTTCAAATTGAAGAGAGAGAAATAATAGCTTCCCATCATTCTCTCTTAACAGCAAGAAAGACCTTTCCCAGAAGCTTCAGGCAAACCTCCCCTGTATTGCATTTCCCAGAATTGTGTCATACAAACCAACCCACAGGCAGTATAGATTGAATTACCCTTAGGTCAGTTCTCCCATCACACTGCTGCTTCTCACTGAGGAACAAATAGAATCTATATTGGAGAATCCAACACAACAAAGTCTACCACAAGGTAGGAGGTGAAATAAAACATGCCAGGAAAAGGAATCGATATCTTCAAGCCCCTGGAGGTAAAGGAGAGCATGAGAAAGACAAACACAAGCAAACGGTGTATAAGGAAGAGGAAGCAGTTAGCATATTATCATTCCACAGTGCAGGAAACAGGCAGAGTAAGGGCATCACATGTGAGTGGACAATGGCCCCTATGAAATGTCCAGTTGTTTTTTATTCCCAACAGTTCTACTGCAGATGCTTAAGCATAAAGTTTCTAGGACTGAGTTTGAGCCAATATAGTTAGAAGGGTGAAGGTCAGAAGCTGGCAAATATGTTCCCATGAAAGGCTGTGTGGAACTGGGGGCATAATTAGAGCTGGCCCTGGGCCTGGTGGCAATAACAGAGCCCTAGGAGAAGATGGCTCTCCCATCTTTCTCTGGCGCCCAGCCCCAGCCTGGTGCCCCGAGACATTGTGGTATTAGAGGCACTGCCACCCAGCACCCAAGCACTTGGTGTTCTCAGGACAGGCACTGGCAGAGTAGCAGGGGAGAGGTGTTTTCAGGTGGCTCTGGGACAGTGTAGATCAGCAAGTGGGAGTTGCAGGAAAAGAGGAAAAGAATATGATGAGGGCTGCCTGGTGTCCACAGTGACTAATGTGTTTGTGGACTCAGGTGGGAATAAGTATAAATGCTTCTATGGGAGCTCAGTTCTTCAGTAGATGCCTGGGGGCATTATAATTTCTGCGTAAATGTGAAGCCAGGTGGCAGTAGATTAGATTAGTTTAGAACAGAGGAAAGTTCATGGTGTAGAGAGCAGCAGCAAGCAATCAGACTCCCCAAAGTATGTAATTTTAAAAATGTAGCAACGCAAATGTGCAATGATAGAATATATTGTTGCTCCCAATTATTCACTACCCTATTTTCTCTAGGAAGATTACCCACCCCTGCTAGGATCACCAGATTTAGCAAACAAAAAGTCAGGATGCTTATATTTCTGATGTACAACAAATAACATTTGTGCTCCATGCAATATTTGGGGCATACTTATACTAAAAACTCATTTGTTGGTTACTGAAATTCAAATTCAGCTGGAGGTCCAGCATTTTATCTGGCAATCCTAAGCCATACCCCCAGCCCTGAGACTTACTATTCCTGACATGGGAGCGGTATATGTTGCTGCCTCATTGACTTTGGACTTAAACATATGACACCCTTTGGACAAAGGAATGGAAGTGGATGTAACATACATACACCAATTCTGAGCAGAAGGTTCAAGAGGCACTAGAAGCTCTCTCCCTGTTGCTATCGGCCACAAAATAGCATGTCTCCAATAGGGACTGCTCCTTCAGTCTCAATCCTCAATACACAAAGGCACATGGACCTGCAACCAGTGGCACTTATGATGAGAGAAAAGAATGCTTAGGACTGAAAGGTTTTGGAGTCATGTGTTGTTCACAGCAAAATTACTGATACAGATGCCAAGAATGACTTCTAAGAAAATATATATGCTGTGAGTACATGAATGTAAAAGTAGGTTTTCCTTAACTCACAAAGTCTGTAGGTTTTTCTACTTATAATATTTTACCTATAGGAAAATTAATTTTTTCTTTCAATTTTAGGGTAAACATTTCATTCAGTTCTTTTCTTGGGGAGGAGGCATCAGTGGGAGCATATTCCTTTCAATTTTGTATAGGTAATCATCACAGGAATAATTTATGTGCTGCATAATATACAGTTTAATCAAAAATATGTATTCTGTAGATACTTTCTTTAAGACAGGTCCTATGTTACATGTGAATCATTAGCCTAAGTGGCTAGTTGTTATTTACTTTTAGCTCAGACCACAAGAAAAAAATCTACATCTTTCTATTTTGAAAACACATGTTTAATCAAGACCATCACCTAAACTATGATTTTTTAAAACTAAAGGTGAGATTACATTCAAACAAATTTGTAAACATTTTATGTAAGTATGCACTCAGCTTTAACGTTTACCATCTTCTGAGCAGCCACCTAGATCTCTCAGCATACAGGTGATGAAATTTTGTGTAATGGATAGACGTACACACACACACACACACACACACACACACACACACACACACATTCAGGTTTCTGCTTCCAAACCTTTTTTCTCTACTTCTAATACTCTACATTCTTCTTGGTTACATCTATGGCATTTCGTTGTTGACATACAATTGCTACGATTTCCCTCAATGCATTCATTCATTCTTCACCCAACTCTGCTTCCAGGAGGTGGCATGGCTGGACCAGGTACTCAGGTTAATACTAAATAAATGTTCTGCTGATCCTCGCAGACTTAATTTTTATCATCATTTGCCACAGTTCTGAGAAGGCTAGCCAAGAACTTGGCCTGATGTGTAAATGTGCAATCTCAACGATTTACAACATCAAATAATAAACCTCAATCTTTTCACTGGGAAATCAGTGTCTCCTACCCTTGTCTGCATGGTAGCTATGTGAACGTGCAATTGCAAAGACATTTGGGGGAAAAAAAATCATGGAAACATTTGCATCCCTTCAGTCAGAGCCATTTCTGCAGTTCTTACTGGAACATTCCTAAGGGTGAGCTTGCTGAATTTTGACAACAAGAAAATGTCAGCCAGAGAATGATATTTAACTCATTTGCACTGTAGTTTGCAGTGCACAAGGTGCCAATTAAAAAGCCAGAGGAGAGGCAGAAGAGCCTGTCTCTCAGCTTGGCTGGAGTAAGATATGATATTAATTATTAAAGGGACTCAAAATTAACAACAGCTAAGACAGAAGAAGTGCTACTTTCAAGTACAACAGGAGCTGAAATGCTGCACTGAGAATTGAGTTAAGCTGAAATGGTTTCTAGCTGCAACAAAAGGGAGTTAGAAAGCTGTCAAGAAATGTTCCCCAGCAGGGTTATTAAATGCCTAAATGATTACTGATGGAGGTTGTGAAATCTTGTTTTCTGGAGGTTTAAGAAACAAAAAGAATAGCCAAGTATTTTATAAGGCATTTACTGTGTGTGACAGTCCTGCATTAGACACTGTGATTCAGCCATGAACTAGAAGGCAAAGTTCTGGCCAACAGAAAGCTCACATTCCAGGACTGCAGTCTTTCCTTAGTCACAGAGGCGTCCATGTCCTCAGTCTGCCCACTATGCACCTATTAACTCATCAGATCTGCATCTCTAGATTCATCTCCTCTATGCCAGGTATTATACCAGTCAACACTTTATGTATTTCATCCTCATGACAACTCCACATGGTAAGAATTATTTTATTCATTTTACCAATTAAAAACTGAAACTAAATTAGATATGCAATTTAATTAAGATTACAAAGCCATGTGGGGTAGATTTGAGATTAGGTTTTTTAATTGCAAGACTAATACACTGTTTTTCCATCTCACCCTGCTACCTCTATTCTGTCTCCTCACCACTGGGGCTACCCAAGGCTTGGACATGCTATGTGTTATTCCCTCCTGCATCTATCATCTCATAAGGCAGGAGTATTTTTAGCAATGCTTCTTGGTATCATGAATGTTTAACTGGAGCCCAGATAGTGCCCAGATCTTTGTGCTTTCACCATTTAGTGATTCTAGTGGGAGGAAGTTCAACGGAGGTAAGCTGGTATGAAAGAGATCTGAAGGTGGCAGAACCTGTCACATCTCTCAAATTACATAGCATAGGGTGGGGTGGGGCGGGGGTAACTTCTGTGACTGTGGCCTAGCTCTGTATTATTGGAAGTGGTGAGAGAGAGATTAATTTAGGCCCTCTCCAAAAGACAAAGAAAAATATCCAAAAGTACATTTGTAAAATGGTTACTTGGAACTCAGAATGAGTATTTACAAAGAAGTTAAGCTAGTGGGATGATATCAATAAAAATGGCAGAGTGAAAAACTGGGTACCATAGCACATACCTGTAGTCCCAGCTACTCAGGAGCACAAGCAGTTCAAAGCCAGCCTGGGCAACGTAAGGAGACTCTGTCTCCAAAAAAAGAAGGAAGGAAGGAAGGAAGGAAGGAAGGAAGGAAGGAAGGAAGGAAGGAAGGAAGGAAGGGAGGGAAGGAGGGAAGGGAGGGAAGGAGGGAAGGAGGGAAGGAGGGAGGGAAGGAGGGAGGGAGGGAGGGAAAGAAGGAGGGAAAGGCCGAGTGAGGTCCTCTGAAACTTTTCTCCTCCATAAAAGCAATGGAAAAACATGACAAAAATTCTAAGAATCTACACTGGAAATTAACAAAAGGCTTTCTGCAAGCCAGAGAGATTTCATTGAAAAAATAGAGCAGAATACTAATAAGAACAGCATGCTTTGTGGCATTTAAACTCAACATATTTCCACCTTTCCCTCTCAGCTCCATGGGAGCTTAAAAGCCAACATCCTACAATCATGATGAAAACCGGCAGCCTGGCAGTCAGTGGAGAGGGCAGAATGAGGTTGGAGCACCTTCAAAGCCTCATTCGTGAGAATTTTCATTATGCGACCTGCTGGTGGATTCTGGAATACCAATTATTTAGCTGGACTCAGACATCTGCTGTACAACATTGTGTTTATGGTTAACAATGTATATTGTACACTTAAAAATTTGTTAAGAGAGTAGATCTCATGTTATGTGTTTTTTACCACAACAAAAAAGCACTCAGATTAGAAAGGAAGAAGCAAAGCTATCTGTATTTGCCATAATCTTATTTGTAGAAAATCTTAATGAATCCACAAAAAAATTAGGAAAGCTGGTAATCAAGTTCAGCAAAGTTGCAGGATACAGGGATTTCTGTACAATAGCAATGATCATTCTGAAAATGAAATATCAAGAAAATCTACTTACAGTAGCATCGAAAATAATAAATGCATCAAAAGAAGTAGAAGAGTGATTAAACTATGAATGATTAAAGACTACTTAAATAAATGTAAGTGTATCTCCTGCTCATAGATTAGAAGATAATATTGTTAAGATGACAATAGTCCCCAAATCAATGTACAGATTCAAATTCAATGTAATATTTATTAAAATCCCAGATGACTTCTTTGCAGAAATTTACAAGCTGACTCTAAAGTTCATATGAAAGTGCAAGTGACATAAGATAGCCAAAAATCTTGAAAAAGAACAAAGTTGGATAGCCCACACTTCCCAATTTCAAAACTGGCTACAAAACAATAATAATCAAGACTGTGTGGTACTGGTATAAGGATAGACATATAGACTAATGGAATATAATTGAAAGTCTAGAAATTAAGCAATAAATGTGGAAGCAATTAATTTTCAAAAATAGTGCCAAGACAATTCAATGGGTAAAGAATAGTTTTTTCAGTAAGTGGTGTTGTGAAAAATGGACAGCTCCATGCAAAAGAATGAACTTGGACCCTAACTCTCACCATATACAAAAATTAACTCAAAATGAATCAAAGATCTAAATGTAACAGCGACAACTATACAACTCCTAGAAGAAAATGTCGGTATAAATATTTATATTAGGCAATGGTTTCTTAGATATGACACCTAAAGCACAAGAAACCAAAGAAAAATAATAGATAAGTTGGACTTCATCAAAATTAAAGACTGTTGTGCTACAAAACATACTCTCAGGAAAGTAAAAAGACAACCCTCTAGAGTGGAAGAAAATATTTACGAATCATTTATCTGATACGAATATGATATCCAGAATATAGAAACAACTCTTAGAACTCAACAATTGGAACACAAATAATTCAATAATAAAGGTGAACAAAGAACTTAAATAGATATTTCTACAAAAAAATGTTCAAATGGCCAATAAGCACATGAAAAGATGCTCAAGATAATTATTAAGGAAATGCAAATCAAAACCATCTAGAGATACAACTTTATAGCCCATTGTTTGCAATAACAAAAAAAACTGGGAGCCACTTAGTCATTCATCGTCATGGACTCTGTTAGACACAATCATATAATGAAAAAATATAGTCATTAAAACGTGAGCTAGAACTGTATGTCCTGATATGGGAAAGCCTTCAAGATATGTAGTCTGTTTTCACACTGCTATAAAGAACTGCCCAAGACTCGGTAATCTATAAAGAAAAGAGATTTAATTGACTCACAGTTCCACGTGGCTAGAAAGGCCTCAGGAAACTTACGATCATGGCAGAAGGGGAAGCAGGCACATCTTACATGGCGGCAGGTGAGAGAGAGCAAAGGGAGAAAAGTCCCTTATAAAACCATCAGAGCTCATGAGAACTCACTCACTATCACACGAACAGCATGGGGGTAACCACCCCCAAGATCCAATCACCTCCCACCAGGTCTCTTCCTCGACATGTGGGGATTATGGGGATTAAAATTTAGGATGAGATTTGGGTGGGGACACAGAGCCAAACCATATCACCCACGAAGATGGCTACAATCAAAAAGATAGACAATAATAAGTATTGGTGAGGATTAAAGAAATTAAAACCCTTGTGCATTTTGGGGGGAATGTAAAGTGATACAGCCATTTTGGAAAAACAGTTTGGCAGTTCTGCAAAATGTTAAACATAGAGATACCATGTGACCCAGGAATTCCACTCTTAGGTATATATCCAATGAGAACTGAAACCTATGTTCATGCAAAAATTTGTACATAAATTATCATAACAAAATTGTTAATAGTCATAAAGTGTAAACAATCTCAATGTCCATCAACTGATTAATAGTTAAACAAATTGTAGTATATCCAAACAAAGAATGTTATTCAGCCATAAAAAGAAAATACTAATTCATGGCTACATCATGGATAAATCTTAAAAACATGTTCAGTGAAAGAACTGAGACACAAAAGCTCACATATTGTATAATTCCATTTATGTGACATGTTCAGAATAAGCAAATCTATACAGGCAGAAAGTGGATTAGTGGTAGCCAGGGACTAGATTGAGGGAGGGGAGAATGGAGAGTGACTGCTAATAAGTATGATGTTTCTTTCTAGTGTTATGAAAATATTCTACAATTAGATTGTGGTAATGGTTGCACAACATGAATATACTAAAAGCCACAGAATTATATACTTTTAAAGGGTCAATTTTGTGTTATATGAATTTTATCTCAAAAATAAAGGTTTCATAATTTATCTATCAGATTAGCACAAAAATTAAAATTTGAGAATGCCCAGTATTCACAAGTTTAAAGGGAAATGAGCCCCTTCATACACTGTGTCTGGTAAGGTAAACAGATTCAACTCCTTTGAAACACAATTAGGCAACATTTATCAATGTTTTGCCTGTACACTGACTCCACAATTCTGCTAAAAATTTAGCCAGTAGATGTACTGGTATAGTATGCCAAAATTATGTTCAAAAAAGATTCACTGAAACCATTTTTGCAATTACAAAAAAACTGGTAACCACTTAGACATTCATTAGCATTGGCTCTGTTAAATACAACCATATAATGAAAAATTATAGTCATTAAGACATGAGCTAGAACTGTATGTGCTGATATGGGAAAGGCTTTAAGATATGTTATGTTGAGAAAAACCAGTGTGTGCAGCACTCTGTGAAATAAGCCAGGCACAGAAAGATAAATACCACATGATCTCACTCATATGTGGAATCTAAAGAAGTTGATCTCATTAAAGCAGATAGTATAATAGTTGTCACTGAAGCTGGGGAGGGGAGGGAGGAGGGGAGAATAGGGAGAGATTGATCAATAGGTACAAAGTTACAGTTAGATAGCAGGAATAAATTCTGATGTTCCCTTGAACAGTAGGGTGACTATTGTTAACAATATTGCATTGTATGTTTCAAAATACATAAAAGAGAGGATTTTGAATGTTCTCACCACAAAGGAAAGACAAATGTATGAGGTGATGAATATGCTAAATAACCTGACTTGATTTTTTACAGAATGTATCAAAATACCACACTGTACCTCATAAATAAGCATAATATTGTGTGTCAATTAAAAACAAAATTTTCAAAATGAAATGCACTTTTGAGTAAACATATTTAGTAGTATGCCTTGGTAATAAGTAGTTATTATTCATTAGTAGATAATTACATAACTGGAATTCTCAATTTAAATTTGTGATTAGAAAAATATAGATTAAAAAATAGAAGTTAAGTGATTATTAGGTTACCAGCTTAGCCCACACACATTGACTTTACCCATTATTAGGGGGGCAATTGTACAACACTTACTCTGGAATCAGACTTGGGTTAGAATTCCCATTCTATAATTTAGTTGCTGTGTGAATTTGGGCAAATGGCCTACCTTGTCTGAGCATTCATTTCTTCAGCTAAACATGGGGCTAAGATTTTACGATAGAGTCATTACGAAGACAACAGATAAGCTATATATACAAAAGCACTAGAAGTCTTTAATAAATGGTCATGAATAACGTTCTTATAATGTAAGCAAAATAGTTCTTATAACAACTCAAATCCACAGATCACTTTAAAATTCTTGTATTGTAGATGGGTTAGATGTTTTTAATCTGAGGAGCCCTAATGCTTGGAGCTAAGTCAACATCTCCCTAGAATGTCTCACATTTCTGAATCTTCAGCTCCAGCACCCTGAAATTCTGAATCCATCTGTGCACTGAGCTACTCAAATGTTGGGCTCTTCCAAGCCCTTGAACATCAAGGAAATTTGGCAGTTATCAGCAAGAGGGCAGCCCTTACAACATCATGGAGCTGGGTTTCCAGGCTCAGGGAGATGAGGAGGCCCATAGGCAACGTCAACAGCAGAAGGCTCCACTGGCAGAGAGTCTGCACCCACATGGCAGGCTGTGGCAGCCGGAGGGATGCATGGAAATGTCTGCCAATGTGCTTTGACCATTTGAGGCAAGTGTCCTTACATCATAGCCCATCTGGACAATGAGAAGAGCTACATTTAAGGGTTAGAACAAATAGGTATTACGTCTTGCACTTTGCCTTTTGTATTGCTTATTTGTTTAATCTGTTTTGTACTTTTTCTGTGAAATGGCAGAGTGACAAGTGATCTGGAACCCAAGAAAGCAGGGTAAAATTGCAGGTTCCCCACTTTCTAGCAAAGCAGGTTTGAGCAAATCAACTAACCCATCTGAGCTTCTCTGTCTTCATTTGATGATAATCACATAAAGAGGCTTGTATTATACCTTGGATATAAAAAGTGCTCAATCCATTGTTATTTCTTTTCCTCTTCCCCTCCCATTTCTACTTAGTTCCCCTTTCCTTTCCTTATGATATAGTTTGCAATTTTGGCTTTGGTTAAAGATGCTCTTTCTTCTCTGTGCCTGAAA
Organism: Homo sapiens; assembly: GCF_000001405.40. NCBI lineage: Eukaryota > Metazoa > Chordata > Mammalia > Primates > Hominidae > Homo > Homo sapiens. Next base: position 103,694,570 of record NC_000011.10, on the reverse strand, counting down.
CCTAATGGTGCAAGCTAGATCTGTGGATATGACAGACGTTTGCCCAATGTGGTTGTTCCAGATCTCTCTGGGAAGCAATAGTCTCATGCAAAGATCTCAAATACTAGAAAACTTTCAATGTGCTTAAATAATGTCAATTCAATTTTAATTTTTACAATGTGACATCTGAAAGCTAGAAATGAGGGAACCAGGAAGATGTAAGGACTTTCATAGGCAGTCTCCATATGAAAGTGTTGGGATTACAGCTAGGAGAGTCTGCCCCTTCCCCCTTCATCAACACTGCAGTTTATGGTGTGCTCTGCAGTATGGGCATGGCTGGATCTCCCTGAAATGAGAGGGAACTTGAGAGTAAATATTCATTAGCCAGTTGATTTCACTGAATAAGAACAAAAATCCACACACACAGCCCATACTTCATTCTCTACTTGTTCTCAACATGCATAAAATGATAAGAAGAGATTTCCTTACTAGGATTGCCTTGTAGGAATTAAATTCATTTAAAGCAAAATGAAAGAAGCCTTAGAATTAGAAAACCCCAAGCCTGTTTCTTTTGGAAATTGCTATCTTTATTTTTATTGTTTATTCATTCACTCCCTGGTCTCATCATACCTTTATTGCATGAATTTTAAAATTTTCTTTCCAAAATATGTTTATTACTAGCTTTTTCATTGGCAATTTTTATAGTGTTTTGATTCTTCAATTGATTTTTTAATATCCAAATCCATTAAGTTGTTTCTGTTTAAATACCTTCAGTAAGGACAAAGAGAGCTTCCTGAGGTGAAGTGGGGGGAAAAGGTCCTTATAGTTCTAATCTTCAGAGGTAGAAACATTTTGATCTCCTGAAATCATAATCAGACAAAGAGGAGTTCTCTGTTAATGATGCTAGAGAGAGCCTCTTAATTAATTCCCTTTATTGTCTCCTGATACAATAGAGAGAAGACATAATGATAAGAATGAGATATTCTCCATAGATTTTTCTCTAATCACTTAACTTTTCAAAGTAGGGATGATTTTAATTTTTCTCTTTCTTTTGACTCTGGCATAATTCCTTCTGAAAAATATTCTCTTCAGGGGTCAAATTACAAAAGAGCAAGTTGTTTGGTTGTAAGCATATGGGCTATTTTATTTTAAACAATAAAGTAAAAGATCTGATGACATTGTTATACCCTAAAAAAGCTCACTTTCTATTCTAACCCAGTCATGTGTGAAACAACAGCAAAGCGAAAGAAATTATATTAATCCAGCTATCCAGATAGCTCTGTCACTTCTGGGTATTTTGGATAATGGGGGGAAAAGCTTATGACTGCTGTCAAATAAAAAATAGACCGTTTCTCTCCCTTTCTTGCAATGGTTCCAACCTCACTTAAATTTTGGATTCACCTGTAGAATTTCAAAACATAGTGATACCTCTGTTTTATCCCCCAGATATTCTTATTTAGTTGGTCTGGGGAAAACCAGGTATCAGGGTTTTTTAAATCCTCTGGCAATTCTAATATAGTATAGCCAAGGTTGAGAACTCTTGGTAAACAGAATTGTGGGGTGAAGACTGGGAGCAGGGCCACAGCTTCAGACTCCGCATCTTCCCCTTTCCTGTAGTTTCAAACTGAGCAGTTCTGCCTCTCTGTGTTTATATTTTGGAAGTCTGTTTATAGCTTTTTTATTGAAGAAAAATGGTTATTGTTTTTAATCCTCAAAGAAAATTTGGAAACCACTGTTCTACTGAGGAAGGCTAATAACTCACTCTTCCTTTCCAGGATGGTTTTATGCCTATGATCAAAAATAAAAGCATTTCAGCTTATTTTGTTTGTTTTATTCTTAATAATTAGGAAAATTGAATATAAAGTTAAAAAGTTGAGTGCTGGCTTTATTTTATTCTAAGAGGCATTGGAGAGAGTGGAACTCTTCTGCCCTATCCTCAAGCACTGCGGAGTGATTTAAGAAAAAAGGATCTTGGAGATGGAATATAGATAGATGCTTGCTCAGAAATATTAAAGCTCCCTTGAACCTTCAAAAAGCTGGATTGCTTATAGATGTAAATGAAGAGCAATGGTTGAAGGCTTCATTCGAAAATGAAATGTATTAAGGCCCCTCAAGACCAGTAGTTAATGGATATTATTTGATTAGTTCAAGTCCTCATCAAAATGAGAAAGTAAAAGGGTCTAGCACACAGCCTGCTAGAAGCTCCACAAACGTCAGGAATTTTTTTATTCTTCTTAAAAGATAGGAAATTTGAAAATTACATGCCAACATGGTGAAACCGTGTGTCTTCTAAAAATACAAAAACTAGCTGGATGTGGTGGCACAGGCCTGTAGTCCCAACTATTGGCAAGGCTGAGGTGGGAGAATTGCTTGAACCCAGGAGGCAGAGGTTGCAGTGAGCTGAGATCACAGCACTGTACTCTAGCCTGGGTGACAGAGTGAGATTCTGTCTCAAAAAAAAAAAAAAAAAATTACTTGGATGGATGTTGTTGAATTACAGTGGTAAAAATTACTCTTTCATTCTCAGCTTTTTCTTCTAGGACCAATAAGTTAAGGAGCCGTGAGCCACAGTGCTGAAACCCTATGAGTCTTCAACTCAGAATATGCATCCTACTAAATTAGTTTTACTTAAAGGTTAAAGATGGTTTTCTCATTAGAGAAAAGATAGTTAGATAAAAAAAATAACAATTTTTATTTGGAACAATTGTAAGCCTTTGCCTCATTTTGTTTCTCTTTTATTCCTTTCTTTTCTTTTTTTTTTTTTTGAGCTGATAAATATATTTATGCCAACCACAGAAACTATGAGGCATACAAAAACAAACAGCAAAATGATAGAAGCAGTTCCTTCCTTATCAGTAATTACTTCAAATATAAATAGATTCAACTTTCAAATAAAAAGGCAGAGATTGGAAAATGGATCAGAAAATAAACCAAAACCATGATTAAATTACATGCTGTCTACAAGAGATTCATGTTAGATTCAAAAAGACAAATAGCTTGAAAGTACAGGATGGAAAAAGATATTTTATGCAAATTACAACCAAAAAAATTGGAGTGGCTATGGTAATATCCAACAAAATAGATTCTAAGCCAAAAACTGTTACAAGAGACAAAGACAGATATTATATGGTGATAAAGGGTGAGTTCATCAAGAAGATATAACAATTATAAACATGTATACACTAAACAACAGAACCCCAAAATATATGCAGCAAACATTGGCAGAATTGAAGAGAGAAACAGTTCTACAATAATATTTGGAGTTTTTAATACCATTTTCAATAATGGATAGAATATGTAGACAGAGATTAATAAGGGAATAAAAGAGTTGAACAATATACACAAACTAAACCTAATAGAAATACAATTGATTTATGCTATTTGCGGTAGTAATGTTCTATAAAGTCACCATGAACTTTAGGGCAAATATTAAATTGTTACTCTTAGGCAAAATGCAGAGTTACTCTGGTAACGTTTCCATCAACTGATCAATACGTAAGTTTGTTTTATATGTATTTCTGTTTAAAGACACTTTATTCAATATATATTATTTATTTATTAACATTGAACTCATAATCAATAGCACTATAACTTGTTCCTTAATAACGACTATCTAACATACATTTTATCTGTAAGGCATGCCGCAACCTTCTTGCACTTAGAAACACCAGACAGCACTGCAATAGTGTGCTTAGGAACCATGTTAAACAGAAAAAACATTAATAATAAACAAAAATATGAAAAGCATAGCACTGCATAGATAACCAAAAGGACACTTGCTCATAGCATGGGAACTTAAAAAAGAAGGCAGAGCAACGCCTTGTTCAGTCTGAGTTGAGAATGTGTGTCTCAGACAACTCATATTTTTCACTGCTCCGAACATGTCCTCAAATGAATGTAAAAGCTATGTGATTTCAGAATTACAAACAATTTTTAGTGGGTGGGCTAATTGGGAATTATGCAATCTATGAATAATGAAGATTGACTGTATATGGAACACTCTACTGACAATAGCATAACACACATTATTCTCAAGTGCACATGGAACAGTCATCAAACTAGACCATATGTTAAGCCACAAAACAAGTCTCAATAAATTTATAAAGATTAAAATTATGCAAAATATCTTCTCTGACCACAGTGGAATGGAACTAGAAATCAGTAACAGAAGGAAAGCTGGAAAATTCACAATCTTGTGGAAATTAAACAACATAGAAACAACCAATGGGTCAAAGAAGAAATCACAAGTAAATTTAGAAAATATTTTGAGATGAATGAAAATGAAATCACAACATACCAAAACTTATGGGATGCAGCAAAAGAAGTGTTCAGAGGAAATTTATAGCTACAAATTCCTACAATAAAAAAGAAGAAAAATTCCATATCAATAATCAAAAACCTCTCAACAAAGAAAATTCCAGGCCCTGATAACTTCACTAGTGAATTCTACCAAACATTTAAAGAAAACAGATGAATAGTTAAACAAAATCTGGGTGGTGTGTGTGTACATACAATGGAATATTATTCAGGTATAAAAAGGAATATAGTTCTACTACATGCTACAACATGGATGAACGTTGAAAGTATACTTTGCTAAGTGAAATAAACCAGATAAAAAAGGACAAATACTGTATTTGCCACTTATATAAAATATCTGGAACAGGCAAATGCATAAAGAAAGAAAGTAGGTTAGAAGTTACCAAGGGATAGGGTAAGAGGGGAATGGTGAGCTATTGTTTAATGCATTACAGAGTTTCTGTTTGGGGTGATGAAAATGTTTTGGAGCTAGATAGTGGTGATAGTTGAACAACTCCATGGATGTAATTAATGCCATTGAATCGTACATTTTAAAATGGTAAAATAACAAATCTTATGTTTTATAGATATATTTTTACCACAATAAAAAACAGGTGTCACCCATAAAAGACAGAAACTGGTCTTCTAATTGTAGTTATTCTAATAACTGTTAATAAAATCATATATGAAAAAGCAACATACCGAAATCAGTGGTAAGTATGTAAGTACCTATGTTGTCTCATAAGCAGGATACTTTGAAGGCTAACACTTCTTAGCCACCCTGTTCTCCTTGAAAAAATTATCACATCTCCCCACTTTACCCCTCCTTTTCATGGGAATAAAATGCGTAATGCATGGCTGGCCATTTCTGACACTCCAGCCGCCTTCCTAGAATGACAAGTGTTATTTCAAAATAGGTTCTGCTGCAGGCCCCACTGCAGACACATTTTCAAGTGAATGCTGCTCTTTGTGAATCATTCGGCTGAATTTTCAAGTAGTAATATGAAAGCTCACAAGAAATGTAAAGTTCTAAAAATGAATTAACAACTTGTACATTTGAATTCCTTCATCTTTTTTTCACCTCTAAACCTTGGAATGCTCCAGGACTCCATATCTGGTGATTTTACCTTCTCCATCTGCACTCACTCCCTAGATGACCTCATCCAGTCCCATGGCTGAAATAGCATCTATGCTCTGATGACTGCAGCTTGCTACATACAGCCCAGTCCTCTGTTCTGAATTCTGAACTCGTATATCTATCTATTCAATATTTTAACATGTTTTAGTGTAGTGCTTACTTTGTGCAGTGCACAGTCCCAAGCACTTTACATGCATTAACTTATTTAATCCTCATTGCGATTGATTATTATCCCTATTCTACAGACCCCATTATCCCTATTCTACACTGAGAACAAACAGGTAAAGTAAGTATCCCAAGGTCATACAAGTTAGTGATAAAACTGGGATTTGAAACAGGCACTTGGGCTTTACAATCCATGTTCTTAATGAATAAATACACTATGTGATTGCCTGCTGAGATGAAGAATAGACATTACAAACTTAACATATCCAAAACTCAACACCGGCATTATCCCTAAAACCTCTTTCTTTCTTAATCTTTGCCATATCATTAAGGGACATCTTCAGGCTTTCAGTTATGTATTCCAAAAGCATTAGATAATCCTTGAGTCTTCTCTTTCTCTTGTAACCCACATCCAACCCATCAGCACATCCTTCTGGGAGAATGCAACATTTTCTAACCACCTCTGTTGCTACTTGGGCCAAGTCATGGTCATCTCTCCTCTGATCTCCCACCTGGCCTATAAACTTATGCTCTTGCCTCCTCAGCCTGTTCGCCATATAGCAGCCAGAATGATCCTTTTCAAACCTAATTCAGATCATGTTACTCCTCTGCTCAAGACTCTCCATCTCTACATCAAATCCAAAGCCCATCCTGTGATCTACACAGCCCCAGGCCATCTTGTCCTTGCTGCCTTAAGAGATGGGAAAAGCCTCTCACTCCATTCTTCTTTTGCTTACTCCCTTCTGCCCTCACTGACTTCCTTGATATTCCTGGAACACATGAAATGTGCCCCTGCCTTTTTCTTCTTGCCTGTCTGGCTCTTCCTGAAGCTATCCTATGACTGGTTCCCTTTCTAACTTTGTGTCTTCAATCAGAAATACTCTTTTCAGAGAACACTTTCTGATATCCTATGTAAATTAATTTCTTCATGCCCTATTTTTATTGTTATCATTATTGCTTATTTTATTTTACTTTTATTTCAATAGGTTTTGCGGAAACAGATGATTTTTGGTTACATGGATAAGTTGTTTAGTGGTGATATCTGAGATTTTGGTGCTACTGTCACCTGAGCAGTGCACACTGTACCCAATGTTTAGTCTTTTATCACTCCTCTCCCAAGAGTCCATTGTATCATTCTTATGCCTTTGCATCCTCATAGCTTAGCTCCCACTTATAAGCGAGTACATATGATGTTTGGTTTTCCATTCCCTAGTTACTTCACTTAGAATAATGGTCTCCTGTTCCATCCAGGTTGCTGCATATGCCATTATTTTGTTCCTTTTTATGACTGGGTAGTATTCCATATATATATATTTACACACATACACACACACATATTTTCTATTTCCACTCACTAATTAATGGGCATTTGAGATGGTTCCATATTTTTGCAATCGTGAATTGTGCTGCTATGAACACATGTGTGCAAGTGTCTTTTTCATATAATGACTTCTTTTCTTCTTGGTAGATACTCAGTAGTAGGATTGCTGGATTGAATGGTAGTTTTACTTTTAGTTCTGTAAGTATCTCCATACTGTTTTCCATAGTGATTGTATTCATTTAAATTTCCACCAGCAGTGTAAAAGTGTTCCCTTTTCACTGCATCCATGCCAACATCTATTATCTTTTGACTTTTTTATTATGGCCAATCTTGCAGGAGTAAGGTGGTATCGCATTGTGGTTTTGATTTGCATTTCCCTGATAATTAGTGACATTGTGCATTTTTTTGTATGTTTGTTGGCCATTTGTGTATCTTCTTTTGAGAATTGTCTATTCATGTCCTTAGCCCACTCTTTTGATGTGATTGTTTTTCTCTTGCTAATTTGTTTGAGCTCCTTGTAGATTCTAGATATTAGTCCTTTGTCAGATGTATAGATTTTCTCCCACTCCATGGGTTATCCATTCACTCTGCTAATTGTTTCTTTTGCTGTGCAGAAGCCTTTTAGTTTAATTGTCTCATTTTTTTATCTTCGTTTTTGTTGTGTTTGTTTTTGGGTTCTTCATCATGAATTCTTTGCCTAAGCCAATGTCTAGGAGGTTTTTTCTGATGTTATCTTCTATGTCTTTTATGGTTTCAGGTCTGGGATTTAAGTCCTTGAACCATCTTGAGTTGATTTTTGTATCAGGTGAGAGATGAAGATCCAGTTTCATTCTCCTACATGTTGCTTGCCAATTATCTCAGCACCATTTGTCCAATAGGGTGTCCTTTCCCGACTACATATTTTTTGTTTGCTTTGTTGAATATCAGTTGGCTGTAATTATTTGGCTTTATTTCTAGATTCTCTATGCCATTCCACTGGTCTATGTCCCTATTTTTTTGTCAGTACCATGCTGTTTTGGTGACTATGTCCTTATAGTATAGTTTGAAATCAGGTAATGTGATCCCTCCAGATTTGTTCTTTTTGCTTAGTCTTGCTTTTGCTATGCAGGTGTTTTTTTGGCTTCATATGAATTTTAGAATTGTTTTTTCTAGTTCTGTGACTAATTATGGTAGTATTTTGATGGGAATTGTATTGAATTTGTAGATTGACTTTGGCAGTGTGATCATTTTCACAATATTGATTCTACCCATCCATGAGCATGGGATGTGTTTCCATCTGTTTGTGTCATCTATAATTTCTACAGCAGTGTTCTGTAGTTTTCCTTCTAGGGGTCTTTCACCTCTTTGGTTAGGTATAATCCTAAGTATTTTATTATTTTTTTTGCAACTATTGTAAAATGGGTTGGCGTATGGCAGTGCTACTGATTTGTGTACATTGATTTTATATCCTGAAACTTATTGCTGTATTCATTTATCAGTTCTAGGAGCTTTTTGGATAAGTCTTTAGGGTTCTCTAGGTATAAGATAATGTGATCAGCAAAGAGTGACAGTTTGACTTCCTCTTTACCGATTTGGATGCCCTCTTTCTCTTGTGTGATTGCTCTGGCTAGGACTTCCAGTACTATGTTGAACAGAAGTGGTAAAAGTGGGCCTCCTTATATTGTTCCAGTTCTCAGGGGGAATGCTTTCAACTTTTCCCCATTCAGTATAATGTGAGTTTGTCATAGATGGCTTTTATTATCTTAAGGTGTGTCCCTTCTATGTTGATTTTACTGAGGGTTTTACTCATAAAGAGATTTGGATTTTGCCAATTCTTTTTCTGCATCTATTGAGATGATTGTGTGATTTTTGTTTTCAAATCTGTTTATGTGGTGTATCACATTTATTGACTTGCATATGTTAAACCATCCCTGCATGCCTGGCATGAAACCCACTTGATCATGGTGGATTATCTTTTTGAGATGCCGTTGGATTCAGTTAGCTAGTATTTTGTTGAGGATTTTTGCATCTATGCTCATCAGGGATTTTGGTCTGTAGTTTTCTCTTTTGGTTATGTCCTTTCCTAGTTTGGGTATTAGAATGATACTTGCTTCATAACTATCCTCTTTATTCTGCATTTCCTGGGTTTTTTCTCGTTATCATATATTTGTTTCATTATTTCTTAATGATCCAAATTCTCACCCCTGGAATATAAGCTCCTTGAAAGCAGGGACTTGATTTATGCACTGCTGTTTCTTACTACTTAAAACAGCACTTCCCCTATAATGGCATTCAGTAAGTATTTGTTGAACTAATTCCCTGAGAGCCCATGTAAGACAGTGAAAGACTTTCTCTGTCTCTGTGAAATTCCAGATTTTCCCAGAAGGGAAACAGGAATTTCAGAGCATGCAGAGCCCAGAGTACTATCAGAGAAAGTGGAGGAGCTGGCTCTCAGACGTTCTTTCATCCATGTAACCCTCTAATGCTTTAAGAATTGCACTGTTATAGGGTTAACTCCGTGGGGTCATCTCTTTTGGAAAATCTTAGTTAGGGAAGTCAGATGTGTATGATAGCTAAAATAGTTGTTAACTCCTAAATACCTATAACATTACAGGTACTGAATAGGATTTTATACAACAATCCTAAAACATAAGTAATATTATCCCTATCTTATAAATGAACAAATAGACAATGCCAGAAATGGAACTAAATTACTCAAGGTCACAAAGTGAGAAAGAGGCAAATTTAAGGGTTTGGGTTTAGATTCTCTCAAAAGCAGATCCTTAGTTTAGGTTCTCTCAAAAGCAGACCCTGCATCAAAGATTTGAGTACAAGCAGGTTTTTGAGGAGGAGAACCCAGGCAGTACTATGAAGAAGCAGAGAGGAGAGGCTGGGAAGGAAGGAAAGCCAAAGAAGGGGATTTAATGTGTAAGTAACTGGGGCTGCAACCCAGTAGGAACTGCTGAGAAAGTGTGTGGAGCACACCTCAGAACTGTCCCCCACATGGACGAGGAAGCGAGGCAGTTATCCACCAAAAACGACCCTCGTTGGTCAGGAATTCCTTCTGTAGTTTTAACTTTTCCACGCTTCTGACCTGTCCCACTTGTGGACTAAGACACTAGATGTCCATCAAATTCCCTGAAGCAGAAAGACACAGGAAACATTTCAGCCTGAAAGGGAACTGACCAGAGGTGACCTCCAGGATGGACTGAGGGAATGCAGACAGGGCAGCGAACGTGTCTGCCACACATGCAGGTGGTCCGAGAGGAAAATCCACTGCTGTCAGCATGTTATTACACCACTCGTCTAATTATCTCCACTTCAGACCTCAAATTTATGCAGGATTTGTAGACTCACCTATTTCCCACATCCTACAACCCAGCTAGTCTTCTTGATGGGTTATTTTTATGTACATAGTTTTATTCACTCATTGGTTCAGCAAATATTTGTGAAGCCTCTTATTTGTGTCCATTCAAGGGATAGGAACTCAATGATGAATAGAGCAGTTTTGTCCTCGAGAATTCTGCTCGCAGGTTATAGAAGAGACATAAGTAGGCCAACAATTTTGATAAAGTTTGGGGAGACTATGAGATGGAAATGGGTAGAAAGGGAAGCAATGGTAAACATTTGTCACAACCCATTGAATTTCACGTTAAAAATGGTCTTTTGTTGTATGTGAATCATACCTCAATACAGCTGATACGTATATTTTAAAGGTTAGGGATAAAGGAAATAAGCAATTAGGTCTTATCACCGCTATTCTAATGTAACATGTTACAACCCAGGAAACATAGAACACAGTTGCAATTTTGAGGCTAAACAGTGGACACTAAGAAAAAAGTTTCTAAAGCTCTAGTGTATATCTGAGTCACCAGAAAGCCTTGTGAAAACACCAATAGCTGAGCCCTGCCACCAGAATTTGTGATTCAGTAGGTTAGGGGTGAGATCCGAGAATTCACAGTTTTGATGGAGTCTCCAGTGATGCTGATACTCTTGTTCACAGTCCCACACCTCTAGAAATAACATATGACTGTACTAAGGAAATGTGTTCAAATCATAGTATGATATAGACTGAAGAATGCAACATTTTCCCATAAATAATAAGTGAATTGTAAATTTACACTGCAGCCCAAGACTGCTGGGGTGCTGGTCTGTTTCTTAATGTAGGTGGTGGTTATATGGGTGTGTTCACTTTATGAAATTTCAGAGATGTACACTCATGATTTGTACACATTTCAATATGTATCAAAATTGAACAAAAAGTTTAAATAAAAAAGAAAAAAAAAGGAATGTATGGTTCATTTCCATCCCAGTAGCCCCCTTAATGAAGTGCTTTTCGAGACATATGTATGCTTTATTTAGGGCTTCTTTAACCTAATATAAAAAGAAATCAACTTTCATGAACTTTCACTGAAAATATTGAGCCATATATCTTTGCCTCTAACACTATCATAGGATCCTAGAACATGTGACGTTCTCAATGGTTTGCAGATGAAGGAGAAACAGAAAACGAGCTAAAACACATTTGTTTTAGACTCTCAGAGGAGTAGGAGGAGGGAGATTAGTGTTTTCTAATGGAAAAATACAGCCCCAAAGGAGCAGCCACTTGCATCTTGAACATTAAAAAGCAATCACAAACAGTGCTTCATGCAGCCACTGAGCAGTTTCTGGAGAATTGAACTGAATTTCCTCCTCTCACATTTCTTTTAAGAGGTGCTTTGCCATGAGAGTATTTCCAAGAATTGGAGAGTCACAATAGTTACAAATACCACTGGCCTGAAGAATTCTTGGCACTTGAGGAGCTGTAGGGATTTATACATTAGTTGAGCACAGAGTTGGTGTGTGAGGCTGCATGCTACCAAGACAGGAACATCCATCGGGTTTCAATGGCACCTTTAAATCACCCAGCACTGTGGGGCAACAGGCAGGACAACTGTCTGCATTCTGCTTCCTATGCAATTGTTTAGTCATGAGATGGCATGTTCTCTCCTTTTGCATTAAACAGCAGCTCCACTGAGGTTATAATAATCGTAGTGAACGTTTGTACCATGTGGTGCCACTAAAAAGCCTCTTTGCATGTTGTGCCTTCTACTGACCAGAGTTTCTGTGAGCCCAGCTCCTTCCGTGCTTCTTGCTCTGGGTGCACTGCCTGAGATTAGCACTCAGCTTTGTCTGGCAGTGGTAATTAGTGTGATGTGCTGTGATCACCCCCTGGTGTTGAGTCTGTGCAATAACAATAACATCTGACCTTGGTGTCAACTTCAAAGCAAATCGGCAAAAGCTAAAAGGTGGCTTGATCGACCTGGACTGCTGCGCATTAGAGTTTCAAAAGATAACATTACCACATAAATAGCCTGCCAGGGATGGAGGAGGGGTGAAAAGAGGCTCCGAGGTAAGAGGGTTTTTCTATAGGAATGTTCTACAATCATTTCAGCATTACACAGCAACTCTGTTGGTGGAGATTATAATAATCACACTGAACATTTGTATGGTGCAATGCCATTAGAAAGGCTCTTTCCGTGTTACAGTCATTTCCCACGATTTGGTGGTCTAAATATAAAGAACCACCAAATGCTTAGTGCTCAGTACTGTGCTACTCGTGCTGAAAAGGACACATGTGAGCGCATGACGGGTGGTATCTTCCAGGCTGCCTGCTGGAGCATCTGGTGGGGTGGTCACAGTCCTAATGACTGTGTGTGCCTCTCAGGCCTCACTCACGCTGCTGAAAAGATTGATTGAGAGGAATTAATCCCATCTAAAAAATAAACTTGAGGCCATTTACTAAACGTCACTAGGTCATACATCTGTCTATATGTCAAGTTAAAGGTTTGGGTAGAAAATTAGCACCAGGGTCTAGGCCTAGTTTTAACCACCAGTTTCCCCTCACTTGAGTACTGGGAGTTGCCTTAGCTAGGAATGTCTTGGTAATGTCTTCATCCTGGTATTATTCCAGAATCTCTTTGCCATACTGGTTTTAGGTCTTGATTCAAGTTTTTTTTGTCTATTTCTTACATTAATGTGGCTGTTTGCTGAGATTCTTAATACTCAAATTGTAAAGAGTCTCTGGTTGCTTCTAGCCTGAAATAAACAGAGCTGAAAAGGTAATTTCTGTTTTCCACTGTTACTCTTATCATCTCTGTTTCTAATTCCAATTGCGCAAAGACTCACAGCACAGAAAGTACAAAATGTGGAACTCCTAACTAGAACTACCAGATTTTCCCTGAGGGATGGGACCCACCCAGCTGAGAGCATGGACATAGTTGATTGGCTACACCTTCAGAGTCGAGGACCAGACCTGGGGGTTTGGAGAGGTCATCTATCTATTCATTTATACACACACACATGTAAACGTATATACATACACATACCCATGCACACATGATGTACATATGTGTATCACCTCAAGATGCTGTGTGAGGATTACATGGCAATACCTATAAACCACTTAGAATGATATTGGACACATAGTAAACCTGAATAAATGTCAGCTATTATTATTTATTCTTTATATATCAGTTCACATGTCATTTCCTCCTGGAAGCCTCCTCTGATCCTTGGCTAAGTTTAGCTTCCTTTATTGTGTGTTCTTTGAAGACGTCTGCCTTTCTTTTAAAGCATTGATATAATCTGAAACTTAGATCTGTAGTTTCACAGATGTCTCCTCACTCTACATTGCCAGCTCTGTTTTTTCCTATGACTGTATCTCTGGAGCCCAAACTCTGTTAGGTGGCCAGTAAATACTTGTCAGTTATTTTAGCTGAATGAATCTCTGAATCCCACTGAAAGTCTCCTGCTTAGCAGGGAATGAGGAAAGGGAAGGAAAGACATCTCTAACTAGAGGCTGAGAAGAAAACACAGTCTAGACTCAAACACTCTTCCTCTCTGGTTATTTTCAGCTTTCTAATCTGCAGCAGCTAAGCTTAAGAGCTGCTACCTCAGGACTAAAAACTTATAGCAGGGCATGGTGGCATGCACTTGTAGTCCCAGCTGCTTGGGAGGCTGAGCAAAGAGTACTACTTGAGCCCAGGAGTTTGATCAGTGAGCTATGATCGCACCATTGCACTCCAGCCTGGACAGCAGAACAAAACCTTTTCTCTAAAAATAAGTAAATAATAATTTTTAAGTGCCTTGCTTGGGGGTTGTGAGATCATTATTATTCAATTGCTTGGGGTTCAGTACACATGAGCCACAAATGTCCTCCAAAAACCCAGGCTCTGGGGCAGCCTGACCTTGAAGATGTAGGATAAGACTAAAATTGTCCATCCAATGTGTGGGTGTGGTTTTTGGGGTCCCTTTTCACACTCATATCATCTCTTTTAACCATAAGCAATAATTGTCTTCTCTCCAAAGATCAGATCAAGTGCTCAGTTGGTTCTTCCTCCCTGTGTCCCCCAAACCATCCAGGAGCAGGGGCTTGAAAGATTTACAACACTTTACACTACTTCAACAGCTATTTTAGGTGAGTTTTGGCTCTGGACTTTTAATTGCATTCCTTCATTCATACAGAATGGCCCAGCTTAGGTGTGAAAATTGCCTCTAAATGTGATTGGTATTGATGAAATTCCTATTTGGAATAAATAATACATAGACTACACAGGGAAAGGGATGATAGATAAAACAAATTCAGGCTAAAGCATGAAGACTCTCAGTTTCCTCTGAGCTATCTATACACTGCCCAAAAAGTTCCCCATGGGAAACCACTTATGGTCTTATAGGGAACGAGGACAAATTCTGAGGCCTTTGTAGCACCAGAGCATAGCCCTGAGATGAAAGAATCTGAGTGCTTTTAGTCATCCATGACTAGAAAGGAACTGGGACATAGTAGGTACCAATAAATATTTGATTAATTAATGAAAGTCCTTTAGACTAAAATCTCGTATATATTTGCTGTATGCTGATATACATTTTACAGTGAGATAATCATCTTCATCTTCATAACATGTATGAAATGATTGCTCTGCGTCCTGAGCTAGGCCTGCACACATCAACCAATTTAATTTTTGCAACAGTTCTATGACATAGGTGCTGTTAGTATCCTCATCTTACAGGTGAACAGATCAAGGCTCACAAAAATTAAGTCACTGGCCCAGGCTTGCACTAGCACTAGTAAGACTCAGATCTATGCGATTCCAAAGCCCAGGTTTTTGACTACTCTAACATAAGTAGCCTATGAATTAAGGAAACTCCCATAAAACATTAGGGTTCATAACTTAATAAATATGATCTTATTGCTGAATTTGTATTTCCCTTCATAATGCTCAAATTGACATTTTTTTAAAGATAAGGCTGGGCACGGTAGCTCATGCCTGTAATCCCAGCACTTTGGGAGGCCAAGGTGGGTGGATCACGAGATCAGGAGTTCTAGACAAGCCTGGCCAATATGGTGAAACCCCTTCTCTACTAAAAAAGATACAAAAATTAGCCGGGCATGGTGGCACACGCCTGTAGTCCCAGCTACTCGGGAGGCTGAGGCAGAAGAATCGCTTGAACTCAGGAGGCAGAGGTTGCAGTGAGCCGAGATTGCGCCACTGCACTCCAGTGGCACTCCAGCCTGGGCGACAGAGCAAGACTCTGTCTCAAAAAAAATAAAAAAAAAAATAAGGCTTTTCCAGTTAGTGGTTATTATTCCCTCTTAAAATTAGCAGGGTGATTTTAGAAATTATAATCAACCATCATTCTTTGCTTCTAACATAAAGAAGCATCTTTACATCTAGAGAGTAAAACATGAGAGGATGTACTAAGGTCTCTGTCAATTCTATCTTCACATGCTCAGCATCATCCCGTTTTCTATTAAATGTCCTTTGAGAGAAGTCACCTGCATAATTACCATAGGACCCCTGTCAACACTGAAAAGGATAAAACTCATTGTCTGGAACTTCTATGGCAGAGAGAGACAAATTATTATGACATTATGAATAACAGTGTCATTATTTGATCTGTGGCAAATTAAAAAACACAGGACAAAGTAACATAATTTAGAAAATCAAAGGTGCTGGAACCAGCATACAATACAAACTTTCCAAATCTAAGAATATGAGGGAGGTGCTAAAAAGGAGATCCCTGCTATAAATGGGCATGGGAAACTTTGGGGATAACGGATGTGTAGTGATGGTGCAATGATTTAATGGATGTGTCTATGTCTCAAAAGTTAGCAAATTGTATACTTTACAGCAAATATGTATGGTTTACTGTATGTTAACTACACCTCAATAAAATTATATGTTTAAAAAATCATATGAAATCAATCTCAGTTGGCTGAAGTTTTTGAAGCCATATATTAGAGAGATATATTTAAACCAATTAAGATAGCCCATGTATAACTCCATACTGGCATAGAACTTCACAGAATATGTTCAAATACTTTTTAAATTTTATTTCGCACCAATCCTGTACACTGGAAAATGAAACTTGGAAAAAATAAGTTACTAATTGAAGGTCCCGAACAAAGATGTTAGGTCATCTGACTGCAAATCTAATGTTCTCTTCTTTATATAAAAGCAGACTCCTCTGCTACTATGGCCTTCTTTTCAACAGCAATGCTTTTAAAAGCATAATTTTTTGTCAACATAACCCTGGTCAGAGTAAGACCCATAGCTTAACTTCACTATATTTGTACCATTGTAATTTCCAAATGGAGTTATTTACCTTGAAGTAAACAATAAAATGAAGCATTGAAGTTCATTTCTCAATATTCCCTTTTCACGGAGAGAGCCCAATTGCCAATAAACGTCTGTAAAAGAAATTGTGGCTATTTTCAAATAATTTGGAGAGTTTGTTATTTCATACAAGTCTAAAAGTGGGAGGCCAATGTCAGGGAGCCATTTGATAAAGGTAGTATCTGCAACCACAATGCCCAGGACCAAATCTTTGGCTCTAAGTAGACTTCAATGTTCTGTTCCTTTTCGGGGGAAAATAAAAGGAAAAATGAAATGAAACAAAAGTATGTAATATGAGACCCTGTGGCCATTCAAACAATGTTAAAATGTTCTATTAAAGAAATTTATAAACTAAACATATGTTATGAATAGCAATTTTTGTTAAAAGGTCTACAATATGCTAAAGATTAGTCAGTAGAACAGAAAGGGCTGAGGACACAATCCCTTGGGTTGTCCTTGGGTTATGTTATGTGGCACCAGAACTGCTGCAGCAGATGCAGCTTTGCACAGTGAGTGGGCCATCCACAAAACCAGACCCTGAGAGAGTGGTACGGCGGGGAAGGCCTTAGAGTCTACTCCAGACCTATGCCATCGGTTCACAAATCTTACTTCATGAAATCAGTTCAAGAATTCCCCCAAAGAACTTACTATCTACATCATTGTGGTCACTCCAAACTTTGATAGCAAGAATTACCTTACTCATCCTCCTCCCCTTCCCCTAAAAGCTCTATTTCAGGTGTCTTCCACTCAATAGGAGTTCAAAAGATTATTTTTAATGGAATCATGCCTGTCTTATCAAAAGCATACAGCATTTGTCTCCTCATCTCGGACTCATTTAACAAAAAGCAGATGGATAAACCTGTGGTTGTCCCATTTTGAGAAGTGGAGAATTACTGAACTGTAGAGAACAAGCACTCTGCTTTAAGTCACAAAATCTACCCAGAATTGCAAATTGCCCCATTGAGTGACATGTATAAATAAATATCTGGATGGCTGAAAGCATTAACGGAATTCATAATTGCAAGTTTTAGAAATGGAATCCATTTCTTTTTCTGCAAAGAGCTTCCCAATTAATAAGACTAGCTATGATAGATAATAAACCCCACATCACTGGTAACAAAGACTTTTGGTCACAAATTTAACACTCTGCTATTTTATAGTCCCTCTAATGAATACATAGTTATGACTTTCTTTCAAACATTGTGTGCAGAGACCGATTCAGGGATTCAGGTCACTCATGCCACAAAGCTGTTTTCTATTCATGCTTCCTTAATGTTGCACAAGAGAATAATTGGTGTGTTCCTTTCCTCTTGTGGTTAAACATAACTCTGCTATAAGTTAATAAAAGTGCAGACACTTTATTCATATTCAGAAGGCAGGCAACAGCAGAAAAGCTCCTGCCACTATGACTACAAGTCAGAACAACTTAATCCAACATCAAATATGTATTACTGGGGCTGCTTAAAATGCACATCTGGCCAAAAGCATTACATTGTAATCCAGTAGCAGTCACGGAAAGACAAAAGGAACCAAGATCAGCAGCATCTCCAGACCAGCAAATGAATATGCCAAAGGAAGAGTGATAAAAGATTCCAAGGGACTTTTGGTGAAGAAACTCTTCTGGTCTTTTGAGTCAAAGACAGAAAGTAATTTCTTGGGAGAGCTGCACATTCATTAACTCAACCATATTTCTCAAATGCCTAGAGTGTGCTGAGCACAGTCCTTAGGGGGTGGAGTAACTTGAGAAGAACAAGTAAACCAAGGTCCCTGCATGACTGGAACTTATATTTAATTTGGAGAAATAAGAAAACAAAGCACATGAGAAACCTGGCTCTTTAAATTTTCTTCTTTATTTCCATAAGTCCTTAGATTTTATTGCCCCAACCATGGTCTCCTTGGGAACAGACTGAATCTGGATCCAGAAGTGGCTGCTGAGGGAGAAGGTAGACAAGGTAGACCAAGAGCAACTAAGTTACGAAAGCATTTCAAGGATGGAGTGATCAACTGGACCAAATGACACTGAGAGATTAAGAAAAGATGTAATTCACATTGGATTGGTGGTATGATGGTTATTCAGGGAAAGGTCAAGATGATTATTGTGAAAAGTTTGGGAATTTTTTTTTACTTTAAGTTCTGGGATACATATGCAGAATGTGCAGGTTTGTTACATAGGTATACAGGTGCCATGATGGTTTCTGCACCTATCAACCCGTCATCTAGGTTTTAAGCCCCACATTATTAGCTATTTATCCTGATGCTATCCCTCCCCTTGTCCCTCACCCTGCAACAGGCCCCGGTGTGTGATATTCCCCTCCCTGTGTCCATGTGTTCTCACTGTTCAACTCCCACTTATGAGTGAGAACATGCAGTGTTTGGTTTTCTGTTCCTGTGTTAGTTTGCTGAGAATGATGGTTTCCAGCTTCATCCATGTCCCTGCAAAGGACATGAACTCATTCCTATTTACGGCTGCATAGTATTCCATGGTGTATCTGTGCCACATTTTCTTTATCCGGTCTATCATTGATGGGCATTTGGGTTGGTTCCATAACTAAAGGAAAAAGTGGACTCATAAGAGAAGTTAATTTTAAAATAGAAAACTGGAATGTTTGCCTGCTGATGGGAGTGATCCAATAGAGAAAATTAGTGCAAAAAATGTGGATAAACAAAAGCACTTATACATCAGGTATATAAGATTGTTCTGTTCAATGATGTTTTGCTATAACCTCGATGAGAAAAAAAAATCAATTCCCCAGCCATGGCCATTTTCTGTGTGAAGTTTGCGTGTTCTCTTCATGTCTGCATTGGTTTCCTCCCACATCCCAAAGCCGTGCCACTGGCATCCCATTGGCATGTCTGAATTGTCCCAGTATGAGTGGTGTGGGTGTGTGTGAGGGTTCTCTGCGATGAGATGGCATCCTGTTCGGGACTGGTTCTTACCTGAACCTCCAGGACAGGCTCCACAGTAGGTCACCACCTACAATCTTGAACTGGAACAGTTGGGCAAGTAATTATCTGACTTGTTTGTATTAATCTTTCTTAAAAGTGTAGCTCACATTTATTTCATTGTTTAATATTGGAAGTGTTTTGGTCTTTATTTTGAAGGTTGGGTGATGATTTTGTGACCAGAAATATGCTGTAGGAAATTAACTCTAGTTTATTTCAATTAGCCTATGTTAAGTTGATTTCCTTTTACATCGTTTCACTTACAATCGTAGCTTCCAAGAACCTATCAATGACATTAAGTGAAGACTATTTGTATATGCCGAGTTGTCAGTCTCTGCCGATAGAATAGGGGAAGGAAGTTAAGGAATGAAGCCCACAAATTCCTTCTTCATCTCTCAAACTTGAGAAAGGGCTGCCCATTAGTCCTCCTTGATCAACTAAGTTTGAACTGTCTGCAATATCCTTGCCCTATTCGACCCCCAGTATGAACTAAGTGGATATGTAAGATCTTACCTATTTTTTCTGTGCCTGTTCATTTTGTCTCAAAACAAAAACAAAGTGAAGGCTCATTAATGAGAAATCAATGAAACAATAATTGATCACACACCTTTAACAGCTGCCTCCTCTTAACAAATCATCATATATCTAACCCCAAGCCCAAACCACCACCACCGCATATGGCTCTGTTATCCCTGTGTAGGTTCCTAGGCTATAGGTCTCGGGTCTCCTAAGTCCAGCCCATTCTATGACCTTTTCATTTCCACCTATGTGACAATATAGAGTAGATGCCTCTATTCCCAACTTGGAAGTAAAGAAAATCCTGAAATGCCAGAATTGATAAGAGAGATATGATAAAAGCAATTTAAAGCAAAATTTCAGAAGAAGAGAAAAGAACTTGGCTAAAACCTAATTAGTAATTTCAACATTATTTCAAAAAAAGAATGTGATACAATTCCCAGACAGTGTGTGCCATGGAACCCTGGGAAGGCACAGCAAACTCATATGGGTGCAGAGGGGTATTTTAAATTTTAGAGGAAACCAGCAATTTGTCAGAAACAATGTCAACTGCTAGTTCCTGGAGATCCACACTTTCAACAATAAACATTGCTACATTCTTTTTGATGATGTCATATCTTTGCAAACTTGGTTTTTATGCAGTAGCTCTGATAAAAAACAATTGCTTTGTGAAAATCACTGTGGGACAGAAAATGAGAGTGGCAGTGTCCAATCTGATTCTGAGGTTTGAGAAAGTGCACGGTATCCAACAGATACACACATTCTATTAGCGTGTAATTGAGGTCATTTAAAAATGAAATACATTTTTTTTTTCAAAAAAAAAAAGAAAAGTATGTGATCATCAAAAAGAGGGTTACTGTCTCTGGGGCATGGAACCATGGAAGTCAATGGGTAAATGTTAGTGTTTGTTCCATAATGGGACCAAGGAATCCAGCCATTCAGTCCTGACAGCTGGTATATCCCTAAGGTAGAGCTGAGCATTTAGCCATCTTAGCCTGACATCATTAAAGACTTGAGCCACACTCTGTACCCAATAAATACATCATAAATCCCGTCATAAATCAACTTCTCATGTTAATTTATCTGCAGAAGACAATACTGTTCTCAGAGTAAGATAGGATTTTCTACCACTGGCATTATGAATTAACTAATTGTCGTTCTTATTTATATGTCCATGCCCTATGAGCTGGATTAGAGTGAGATTTGCCCTGTGGGATGGTACACTGCACCCCAGAGCATTGACATAATCAGTTGGCTACATTTACGGAGTTCAGGGTCAAGGAACAGAACTTCTGGGCTTGGGAAAGTAATATACTGCATGTATATGTGTGTGTATATATATATGTGTGTATGCATGTATATATTTATGTTGTTACGTGTGTGTATATATATATATGTTGTTACGCATATATATGTATGTATGTGTGTGTGTATATATATATATGTTGTTACGTATAAGAGACCACCTGAGAAGGCTTAGTGTGAGCAACAAGGCTGTTTATTCACTTGGGTGCAAGTGGGCTGAGTCCGAGAAAGGAGTCATCGAAGGGTCGTGGGATTATCATTGGTTCTTACAGGTTTGGGATAGGCGGTGGAGTTAGAAGCAATTTTTTTTGTGGGCAGGGGATGGATGTTACAAAGTACATTCTCAAGGGCACGGAGGATGTTACAAACTACATTCACAAGGGCAGGGAGGGTGTATTGTCACAAGGGTGGGGAGGAATGTTACACAGTACATTCACAAGGGCGCAGGAACGTCACGATGGCTTGATTGTGGTGCGGCCAGCTCAGAGGACCTTACATATATGTGTGAGTGTATGTATATATATGTGTGTGTGTATGTGTGTTTTGTGTGTGTTTATATATGTGTGTGTGTATATACACACATAAAACACACACACTAAACACACACATACCTGTAACACATACAAAAATACATATATACACATACATACATATAAATATATACACACATATTAAAGTGCCTAATACTTCTGCACAGTCTGAGAGAGAGTTTTTTCCCAAGTATACCAGTGTCGGACTATTTTGATAATCTGTACTTTGCAGAGTGGTCCATTTAATCCTCATGTAATTCTGTAAAGTAGGCACCAGACACATTTTACAGATGTGATGAGAAGTAATGCAATTTGCACAAAATTATAAGATGTATATATGATATACCCAGTTTTCCTGGCTACCATTTCCTTTGTAAATGAAATAAATCATTTAGCCCAACAGGATTCAGTTTCAAGCCTGTGTTTCCTTAAAACACATGCATACACACTCTAGCAAATAAAGAAATTAAATAAAATTCCAGCCTCTGTTCACTTAAATAATATTAAAGGAAATCTAATTTATGACTCATGGAGACACTACTAAAATATAAAGCTCTTTCCCCTTCTAACCAATTCTCTCACACTCCAGTTTTCTCCCTAACTTTCCTCTTCCTCATTTCTCACACTCTGCACAGCAGGTATCGTTTTTCCACCTTCCCTAGTCTATAGCCACTTTCCTACTGGAAGTGGCCCCTTGCAATTCTGCTCTTACTCACCAGCCATGCTGGGTCCCTCTGGAAGCTCCAAGCCCGGTCCCCACTGACTCCTCACAGACAGAAGACCTCTGAACAGCCTCAGCAGTCTAGTTCTCTCAAGCTGACCACTTTTCTACCAGAAATCCTCGTGGAGAATTTTCAATAAGTAATAATATCTACCTTGTTACACATTTGATCATTCACGTATGCTTTCATTCATTCATCCGTAGCATGGAGAAAAATAAAAGTTGCTTTAAAAACCAAAAACAGATTTCCTTTTAAAGGAAAAGCAAATGAACTTTATTTAGAAAAATACAGTATGTTGGGCCATTTTGGTTGAAGGAAAATAGTCCTGATGTGGGCCTCGTGTTAGCCACAAGAACCACAATGCTTTGCACAATGAAGAAGGACAAATTTTGAGCTTCCATATGACATTTCCACGTGGAAGAAAGAAACACTATTTACTGGGTGGTTGCTGGAGTTGAGAAATACCATAGAGTATTGCCTGAGCTGTGTGCAAAGGGAGCATAAGATCAGGAATGGCCAAGACACTTTTAAGGACAGTTGTAGCTAATATTCGTTTCTGGCTATGCTGCAATACCTTTTGCCACCTCTACAAGTGCACAAATTCCTTTATGGTCCCAAACCATCTATATAAATATTTCTTTACACACAGACTGGAGTTGGTGATACTCAGGGGATTGTGGGGAGAGGGGGTTCATACAATGGGGCAAAGGCCAGACACTGGGAGGTGCATCAGCCTTCCCAGAGCAGGTGTTGACTGTGCCAGGTCTTCAAAAAGAAGTGTTTCAGAGAAAGAGAACATCAGTTTACATAAGTTAGAGAAACACAAAGCAGCTGCACCATTTTGGGAACAACACTTTCATAGCAATATAATATAGAGGACACAGCCTGGTGGTTATCCACTCCCACCCTGTTAATCTGAAGACCTAGGTTCGAATCCTGGCTATATCAGTTGTGCTAGCTGAATAAATGTAGGTAAGTTACCTAAGCGCACTCTGACTTTATTACCTTCTCTGGAAAATAGAACAATGCTAGGGTCTACCTTGTAGTATTGTTATGAAGAATAAATGTGGCAATATATGTTAAAAGTGCCTGGACCATGAAAACTCGTAGTGGTTAAGACAATCATAGGTCACTCATAGTGGTCATTCATAGTGATTAAGGTCACTCACAGTGGTTAAGACAATCACAGTCTGATTGTGACACCTCTAGGGGAGCTTTCATAACAGAGCACAGAAATATGGCTTTGGGTATTCTCTTTCCACTTTTATTAGAAAAAGCTGGACCTAGCAGCTCTGAAGTGTGGTGTGAGGTTACTTAGGGACACAGTGTGCCTCATATACTTTGTACCTCGTTATGGATGTTCCTTTCCATCTTGCTTTTCCCTAATGTCGTTGCAGCCAGATTATATTGAAGCCAAATGGAATGAATGAACAGAAAAATCAGAATGTCCTCTCTCTCCCCATAGCCACTGCAGGTTCCCACAAAACAGCCTAGGTTGTTACCCATCTCCACCCTTTTATGTGATCTAAGATCACAGTATACCGAAGCTCTGCCAAAAGCTTGTGAAGAAAATGAGGGCATGTTTGGAATGGCTCATAGTATAGAGGAGAAAACTCCAAGTGCCACCTTTACTGGGAGCAGAACATTATATTAGGTCTTAGCTCAGGTCCTCTAGAAGACAGAGCCTGAGGCATGGTTAAGGCAATAACTCTTTATGTGGGAGAACCAAGCCACAGGCAGTGAGGATGAGGGAAAACCAGAAGTGAGGGAAGCAAAGATGCAAAGCAATGCAATGTGCCACGTGACCACACTGGCTACTGCTTTACAACAAGCTGCTGACATAGCCAGCCACTCTGCAGGTATGTATTCTTGGCATGCAGGATATGCAGAGAAGAAATACACATTGTATTGGTCCATGAAAGAGAGGAGGGAAGGGAGTTTATCTGCCCGAGCTCCTCTCATCTCCTCTTTTCCTTTGATCAAGATTCCCCACAGGAGGGGTTAACTTGCCAGAGCTTCTGAGTTGCATCATCTGGCCCCCAGGATATCAGAGTCAGTGTACAGTGACCCCACTATGGCATTTTATTCAAGTCCAAAAGTTACTTGGCATTGATGAGAAGCAACCAAAAGTATGGAGGGGTCAAAGACTAACAGTGTATCACTTAAGATTATTTCCACTGGCTTGAAACCTATCAGAAGTACCCTTTCAAATTGCTTATATTGCTAATAGGATTATTATATACGAGAAACAATTATATAGGCTCATATAGACTAAACCTATCTATTAATATGACATCATACCTTCCATATGCCACATTTGTCACACACATACACACACTCTACCTCAAAATGCATTCCTTTGAATAAAGGACTAATGTACCTCTAGGCGGCTACCTATGATGTTACATTTATCATCCGGTAGGTACAGAATCAATCTCTCTCTCTCCCTCTCTCTCTCTCTCTCTCTCTCTCTCCTCCTTCTCTCTTTCTTCTTGTAGGCTATCTAGGCAGTCTCTGTGGACTAGATCTAGTATAAGGATCTTATTAAAGCAAGATCCAAGCAACCAAGCGAAAGATTCTACCTTCAAACATGAGGAGATCCAAGAAACAGCATGCACTACATCAGTGGAAGCCAATACCATTGAGCTATGAACATTCAGGTTCTTGTTCTCCGTAGGGGAAACTCCTTTTCTAGATTGGTATCCTTAGAGGTATTTGATGCACACACTTGCTAGGATAGTCTATATGCCAGTGAGTCTCCTCCCATAGGTTCAGCCCATATATGATTCACGCACATGAGAGCTTTGCTATTCCATCCATCTATCTGTAGGTTTTAGGAGAAATTCAGCAATCCTAAATTATTGGTGCTCACAGGATATGGTGGCTTTCTCTGAGACCTGGGCAGTCTACATAAGAAGGGTTGATAAGGGCTGTGGCTAGAATTGGGACTGAGAGTCATTTGCATACTCACACAATCTGCATACAGGGAAGAGACAGAAAGGAGAAAGTAGGTCAAGGACTCAGAAGTTGTACAGGTTTATGTCTCAATAGCAGAGCTAAGCAAGGAGCAGAGTCCGCCTGCTTTTCTGTTTTATATGCCTACTCTAAGACCATTCTGCCAATGATAGTGTTGAACCTGCAAGTCCTGCTGATAAATATACATCAGGGTAGCAAATGCTAAGGGCATGAGATTTGAGGAAAGAGATGGTATTTTTAAGGAGTCATCCTCTGGTTTTATTCATACATTTTGTGCAATAGTCACCTGGATCAGAACTTCTTCTGGGAGGCTCACTGGACTGTTCCTTTTGGTTAGCAAGATATACGCCTTCTTCTTTATCTTGACTAAGACTCCTTAACTAATAAGTAATAAAACCGAGACTTGAACCCAGCCCAGTCTGACTCTAGAACCTATACTTTTAACCATTAATATCAGCTGATATTAGTTCTGACAAATAAATGTCAAATGAACACTGAATGCAATTAAATGGTGCCTTCTCATTGTCTTCTTTGAGACAGCATAGCATAGTGGTTCAATATTGATTCAATAGCTATTTATTAACTGTTTATTTATTAGATAAGAGCAAGTGTTCTTTTTTTTGAGACAAGCTCTCACTCTGTTTCTCAGGCTAAGTGTAGTGGCACAATCCTAGGTCACTGCAGCCTCAATCTCCTTGGCTTAAGAGATCCTTCTCCCTCAGTTTCCTGAGTAAATAGGACAACAGGTGTGTTCCATCATGCCCAATTAATTTTTTCAATTGTTTGGAAGAGATGGAGTCTTGTTATGTTGCCCAGGCTGGAGAAGCAGGGGTTCTCGATGAAGACAACTTGTGTCTGTGCTGTCTAATATGGAAGCCACTACCAAATGGGACTGTTGAAGACTTAAATTATAGCTAGTGTAACTGGGGAGCTGAATTTTTAATTTTATTTAATTTAATTACACATAAATTTTTAAAGATACTCAATTCAATTATTAGAAACATTCAAGTATGTTTGAAAAAATTGGGGTATGTGAATCTACATCTTCAATAATAAATTTTACAAAATCAAAATATATCAAGTATTTCAAAGGATAATTGAGTGCCCACATTGAGATATCCAATAAGTGCAAAATATGTACCAGATTTCAAAGACTCATTACAAAAAAAGGAAAGTAAGGCTGGGCACAGTGGCTCATGCTTGTAATCCCAGCACTTTGGGAGGCCAAGGCAGGTGGATCACCTGAGGTCAAGAGTTTGAGACCAGCCTGGCCAATATGGTGAAATCCCATCTCTACTAAAAATACAAAAATTAGCCAGGCGTGGTGGCGTGCACTTGTAATCCCAGCTACTTGGGAGGCTGAAGCAGGAGAATCACTTGAACCCATGAGACGGAAGTTGCAGTGAGCCAAGATCACACCACTGCACTCCATCCTGGGTGACAGAGGGAGACTCTGTCTCAAAAAAAAAAAAGGAAAGTAAAATATCTTATTAATAATTTTTATTGTTTATATGTTAAATTAATAATATTTTGGTTATATTGACTTAAATAAAATATCACAATTAATATCACCTCCCATTTCTTTTTCATTTAATGTGGATACTGCAAAATTTAAAACAACATGATTGTCTAATACTGGCCTAGATTCAACTCCTAACTTTACCACATATAAGTCATGTGCCTTAGCAAGTTATGGCAAGCTTTACCTTTTTTTTTGCATCTATCTCTTAAGTCTATGAAATGGGGCATAACATCAGTACATATGTAATGAGTTGTAATGGTTAAGTCAGTTAGGGCCTGACACATGGTAATTTCTCAATAAGGGTTAATTATTATTACTACTAATGCTAATTGTATAAACATGCTATATATAATCTTAAAACTGATTTTATTATTTTAATGGAAATTCCATTGAGAATAGACCTACAGGATTCAGAACATATATAAATATGAAGAGTGCTTTGCTTAATGTTTTAAGCATTAAAACAATCCTTATTTGGGTAAGGATTTTCAAGGGAGATTGTAGTTGTCATTTAGATTAATAGCTTGAGAAACTGCTTTTTTTTTCCTGGCGGTGCCAGTGTCTCTCTGACATTGGGGGGATTTTTGTGCTGCTGCTGCTGCTGCTGCTTGTTTGCAATTTGTATTATATTTCAACAAAGAGCTTTGCTTGCTCGGAGCTATTGAAATTGTAAAGCAGCAAACATGATGGGGTGACTTATTTCATCCAATTCTCAATAACCATTGCAAGTTTTTTGTCTCTTTATGAAAAATGTCTGTTCAATTATAAGGTATTATTCACATTATCATTACCTGAATAGTTCCTTGAGGGAGAAAATCTGCAAGTTGAGAAAAAACAGCACAAGGACAGAGGATAGAGGGTAACGGATGTCTTCTTCTGGAGTCACCTGCCTCATAAAGGGTTACATGCAATTCTCTTCCTAGAAACTGCCTATGCCACTTTTCCAAGCAATTCTCTAAATTAAGATAGCATTATTTTAGGCTTTCCAAAGACTTCCTAAATAACCATAAAATAAACTTTCTTGGCTATAGAAATATGGGGATTCATGTGCTATGGCAAACACAGGTTTTCAGATGTGGTTTCTGTGAGCAGACAGTCTATAGTTAGGTGGGTAACACAAATACCTAAGTGTCACGTTAAGCCACAGAGGGATCCCAGGTCCAGCATTTGGCGTAAAAGGTGCTGCAGGAGCACAAAGGAGAGAAGCATAATTCTGCAAGAGAGGCAGAGTGTGCAGGGGATCTCCCCTGAGAAAAAGAACTTTGGGCAGGTCATTTTACTACAATGAGACTCGGATTTAGCACCTGTAAAAGGAAAGGTATAGACCAAGGTATCTCCAAGTTGTGACACTCCAGGAATCTTTTAAAGGGAGTCAGAACTGCCATAGATCATAGCCACTAGTTTCCCTTTTGTCCTTAAATTCCTTACTGATAAAAAAAAAAAAAGACATTACATAATGATAAAGGGTGCAATTCAACAAGAAGATCTAGCTATCCTAAATATATACGCACCTAGTGTTAGAGCATCCAAATTCATAAAACAAGTTCTCAGAGACTTACGAAGTAAATTGATAACCACAATAATAGTGGGAGACTTAACACCGCACTGATAGTATTAGACAGATCATCAAGGCAGAAAACTGACAAATATATTCTGTACCTAAACTTAACACTTGACCAAAAGGACCTAAGAGACATCTACAGGACACTCCACCCAACAAAAACAATATACATTCTTCTCATGTGCACATGACACATACTCTAACATTGACTGCACATTAGACCATAAAGAACTTCCCGGCAAATTCAAATTTAAAAAAATAAAAAATAAAAAAAATAAAAACTGAAGTCATACCAACCACGGTCTTGGACTACAGCACAATAAAAATGGAAACCAATGATAAGAAGATTGCTCAAAACCATACAATTACAAGGAAATTAAACAACCTACTCCTGGCCGGGCATAGTGGCTCACACCTGTAATCCCAGCACTTTGGGAGGCTGAGGAGGGTGGATCACCTGAGGTCAGGAGTTCAAGACCAGCCTGGCCAACATGGTGAAACCTCGCCTCTACTAAAAATACAAAAATTAACCTGGTGTGGTAGAGCCTGTAATCCCAGCTACTCAGGAGGCTGAGGCAGGAGAATCGCTTGAACCCAGGAGGTGGAGGTTGCAGTGAGCTGAGATCGTGCCACTGCATTCCAGGCTGGGTGACAGAGCGGAACTTTGTCTCAAAAAAAAAAAAAAAAAAAATCTACTTCTGAACGACTTTTTGGTAAACAATGAGATTAAGGCAGAAATCAAAAAATTACTTGAAACTAATGAAAACAAAGATACAACATATCAGAATCTCTGGAACAAGGCTGAAGCAGTGGTAAGAGAAAAGCTTACAATACTAAATGCTTGCATCAAAATGTCAGAAAGATTTCAACTTACTGAACTATTATAACATCACACTTACAGGAACTACAAAAAAAAAAAAAAAGGGCAAGCCAGCCCCAAAGCTAGCAGAAGAAATTTGCTTTTAAATTACCAGAACTCATAAGAACTCACTCACCATCCTGAGGACAGCATCAAGGAGATGTTGCTAACCCATTCATGAGAAACCACTCCCACAATCCAATCTCCTCCCACCAGGCTGCACCTCCAACATTGAGGATTACAATTGAACATGAGATCTGAGTGGAGACACAGATCCAAACCATATCAGACGGTAATGAAGAGACCTTCAGAGATAGGTCGTTTTTCAGATAGCAGGCCCAAATGGGGTGCCTGTAGGTGGGGAAAGGGAATCAAAGTATGACAAGCTCCTTAAAGCCCACTTTCAAATTGATCCAGCTTGAAATGGCAGGCAGATACATGAAGATGCACAAATTTTGACTCCCCACAATTTGGAAAAAGAATAATTAATGGGATCAGACTTTCCTGAGAATGAAGTTCTTGACTACATTTATCTTAGTTTCTATATACCTGGCACCTGATATAATACTTGGCTCATGATTGATGAGTGTGAAGGAGGTCTTGAATTATTCTTGGATAAAAACATAAACTTTCCTCTGGGCCAGAATTAATCAGA
The DNA here is from genome assembly GCF_000001405.40 of Homo sapiens. Lineage (NCBI taxonomy): Eukaryota > Metazoa > Chordata > Mammalia > Primates > Hominidae > Homo > Homo sapiens. Next base: position 103,664,447 of record NC_000011.10, on the reverse strand, counting down.
TGTAATCGGCATTGTCCCTCCTAAATCTCCCAAAACCTGTTTAATGTAGTATGCAGTAATTGCTGCTTCCAGTGGTGCCCTTTATTTAAATGCATAGAACTTTATATTCAGTAACGAACTTAAAAGGGCAATCAGGTTCTCAGAACTAAAATCAAGACTTAATGTTGACCCATGATTTGACAACAGAATGAAATTTTTATAATATAATATTAATAGTTATTATTTTGAATATAAAGAAATAGAGTATATGGGTAGAAAGTGTGGTACGTTTTCTTGCCCATCATAAGGGTCACAGCTGGCACTCCTATCATAAAAGACAGGTTAACAAGAGAGAAACATAACAAATTTATTTAATCAAAGTTTTGTGCGATACAGGAGCCTTCAGAAATGAAGATCCAAAGACCTAGAGAAAACCGTCTGCTTTTATGCTTAGTTTCAACGAAGAATGGACAACCATGTAGCAATGTGATTGACAAAAGGGTCTGATCTAATGATAATAGACTGAGAAACCCAGCAAGGCTTGTATGTCCAGATTCTTCTCGGTCTCTCTGCATAGCATTCCTCCCTCCTAGGTATAGGGCAGAACCCCTGTGGAATGAGGGTCTTCAAGGGAGAAGGGAGAGAATGACCTTGCTAGGTTTTATGTCTTGCTTTAGGGGAGAGGGGTTCTAGTATCTGTGACCCAACTTGGAGGAGAGGAATTCTGGTTTCTATGACTCACTTTAGGGGAGATGGAGGGACGGGAAAATGGAGGGCCAGAGAAGGTCAGAGAGAGACTTTGTTTCTGAGGCTACTTCTGGACCTTCCAATCTCCTTTTGTTCAAAGTACTCAGCATGCCAAAGTGTCATACTTTGCAGTATCATTTTCTGAGCCCCAGAAAGAGAAAAGCTAAAATGGCTCATAATCCCACCAACCAGACATTAAAGGTTTATACATTCAAGTTGAGGAGATATGAACAGTGGAAATGGTTCAAACATAAAAGCAAAAGCCTCCCTTCATGTCTCTTTTACTTAGACCGAATATGATTTTGTGTAATTGTTAATAGGATAAAACGGTTAAAATTGAGACTGCTCAGGGTAATCTGTGAGCCGTCGTCAGTCAAAATTCACAAGTTCAGCCATGCACAGTCACTATTCAAGAGTGGTCAAAGCACAGTCCCTGCACCCAAGGAATTTACAGCTTCAGGATAATTCTCATTCTAAAAGTAAACTGAATAATGTAACATTCCTATAAACTGAATTGAGCTTTAACTATGTTATCATCTACTCTAAATATCATGAAGTCTCAGCTGGTAAGTCTTCAAACTGGTACCACTGTCTCCCTCCCTGCACCCAACCACACACACATACACTCACATCTCTGCAGTTGGCCGAGGGGGAAGCTCTACTTCCTCCTGTTCTTTATATAATGACTTTACTGTAGCCACTTTCACTTTCCCTGGTGATATTAGAGAAGCTGGGACAATAAAAGCATCTCCTCTTGATCATAGGGTCGTATAAGTATCCCAGATTTCATCTGGACACTTCATATTATAAATAAAACACTTGAGGCCCTGAGAGGTTGTGTAACTATCTCTTTACAGTCACCCAGCTAGTTAGAACCTTGCCTTGACCTAACCCTGACTACCAGCCCAGTGCTCTTTCTATCAGATCACACTAGAAAAAAATCCAGCTGTTTTTGTCAACGCAATGTACCCATGCTTGCTGGAAGTGGTGCAGACCAACAGCTACATTACTTTTCTAATAGCTAATGCAGTTTCTCGTGAAAGCATATTCCTCTCTCTAAAAGTAAATTAAATGGCATAATCTTTCCATAAACTGGATTTAGTAACATATTCTCTATGATAAATAACATTCAAATTGGAATCACCTCCTCTGTAATGTGAAATTGAAGTTTATTTTTGATGTGTTATCTGTTGGTGACGATTGACTATAAATGTAGGACCATTTAGTAAGCAAATAAACCACTCAGTTAGGAAGTAACATAATACACAGCAATTTTATGAATCTCTTTTCATCTTGCCTTTCCACTGGTTTGGGAGAATTAAAGAGGACATTGAAAATGCATTAGGTAAATTGTGATATTAACAATGCCATTTAAATTGTTGCCAAGATTTGTGAAAACACAAAGAATAAAAACATACCTTGGGATGGCAGATAAAAGTCTAAGAAGATGGTTTTCCAACAGGGCTTCCAGGAGCATAAATGTCTAAGCAGTTAGTTGGGGGAGTGTTGTTGTAGTCAAGGCAAACAAGTAGGTAGGCAGGAAGAAGAGAAAAAAGAAAGGAAAAGATCGAAAAGCTGTCTCTTTGTCTTTGCCTTTCAGGTTGAAAAGCATACTATTTGTCTAACTTCAGCCCAGTCCCCATCTTTATTTCATTGTAGTAGCATAAACATATTCAAATTGATTTGGACAAGCACTACTAGATATTAAACATCTATCAAATGACCATAATTAAATAATGTATTACTGATAAAGTTATAGATAGTCACATATTAATAGAAGAGAATATGAATCTGTGAATCAAGTCAAAACACATGTGAGTATTTAGTCAATATTGAAAGAGGATTTTAGGCTGGGTATGGTGGCTCACACCTGCAATCCCAGCACTTTGGGAGGCTAAGGCAGGCAGATCACCTGAGGTCAGGAGTTGGAGATTAACCATGGCCAACATGGTGAAACCCTATCTCTACTAAAATTACAAAAATTAGCTGGGAGTGGTGGCATGCACCTGTAATCCCAACCACTCAGGAGGCTGAAGCACGAGAATTGTTTGAACCTGCGAGGCAGAGGTTGCAGTGAGCCAAGATCGTGCTACTGCACTCTAGCCTGGGTGGCAGAGTGAGACACTGTCTCAAAAAAATAGATTTTCATAATGTTGAAACAATTGACTAAATCATGGGGTAGGGTGCACAATTAGATATCTATTAATTATTATACACACACACACAGCATGAGAGAGAGAGATGATAAGGAATTGGCTCACACAATTGTGGAGGCTAACAAGTCCCAAGATCTGCAGTTGGCAAGCTGAAGACCTATGAGAGCCAATGGTGCAGTTTCAGTCCCAAGGTCAGTGGACCCAGGAAAAGCTGATGTTTCAGCTGGAGTCCAAAGGCAGGATAAACCAATGTCCCAGCCATAAGGCAATCAAGTAAGAGGAAATTCCCTCTCATGTAAGGGAGGTTCAGACTTTTTGTTCTATTCAGGCCCTCCACTGATGGGATGAGACCTACTCACATTAGGAAGGACAGCCTGTTTTACTCAGTCTACAGATTCAAATGTTAATCTCATCCAAAACACCCTCACATACATACCTAAGATAATCTTTGACCAAGTATTTGGGCACTTTATGGTCAGTCAGGTTGACACATAAAATTAACCTTCATAATTTTCAACATGAATCCCAGGTTAATTAAAGATTTGAAAGTAAAAAGGAAAGTAGAACACAAAAGAATTAATATAGATGAATATTCCTCTATTTCTTGGTATTCTCAGGCCTTTTAAGTTTAGATATATACAAAATACTATAAAGAATAATATTAAGAAATTTAGTTACATAAACATTGAACTATAGGAATAATTTACACCTTTTAATTTGCTTTATTGGTATTCAAACTTTTTAGAGTCAAGGGGCTCTGGAGAAGAAAGTATTACATTTAGCTTCTAGCAATTATTTTTCTCAACTTTTCTGTCAAGCATGAGCCAACCAATTCCAATCCCTTATTCCTGATATTCTTAAATGACTGGATTGGAAAGGAGGTATGTAGGGTATCAAAAGAGTCATTCCTGCTTTTAAGGTGAAGGATCAACTCCTTAGCTATGTTGATGTGAACAAAAAGAACAGTATCAAATATTCTAGAACTTGTCCTAACCTAAGCTTATGTGTGATTTCTTTCATTTTCATGTTCCCTGCAACATATGGTATGTAATTATTTCCTAATCAGTATATAAATTTTAAGGTCATCCTGAAGTCTACAAATTCTTGCCAGGAAACTAATTTATAAACAAGGTGTTATGCAGCATGTAAACTGAGTTATAAAGTTATGGATGGGCTTAATGACACGGCTGCTATAACCACTTGCTCCTAATGCCTGAACATAATTTGTATGGTATCTTAAATGGAGTGACCATTTTTGCAAGCAAATGACTGAAATTTTGGACTTAATCCATAGAAATTTATTTTATGGAGCATTATATACAGTGATATAATTTGCAATGTGCTTTAATGGCCATTCTAGTGGCCATATAAACTGCCATCAAAACTTGCAAAAATGGCACCTAATTTGAGTGGCATTCCTCTTCATTTTAGATGTTATTACTTCATGAGGAAAGAAAACATTTTTTCTCTTTCTTTTTTCCTCTTTTTGCTCTTTTTGTATTTGATCAAGCAGCATTATTCCATAGTAGGTCTGCCACAGACTGCTATGCAGATTGGGACATGAGTCACACAGATATGATATAAACAGCACCTTAGTCTAAACTTATGCAAAGTACTGTCTTCAGAACTGATTATGGCAACCATCCCATACAACAACAATACATGTGTAATGTGAGAAGCTTTAATCCAAATTTCTCCTCAGTGTCTATTTGCAGAAGGGAGGGACTATTTGGTGGTGGATTGGAGCCAACTCAAAGTGGCTTGTGCTGAACATGCACCTCTTTTCCCAGTTTCATGTTCCCTGATATTTTGTGAATAGCTTCTGATAGACCATGGGAGATATATACGCACCATGGAAATTTGCAATTGCTACAAATCAAGGCTTTAAAAATTTTTCCTCCGTGACTGCTGATTATTAAACACTTACCAGCATACCCCTGGACTCTGCAATGGAGGCCTGGACAAACACTCCTGGTCTCTCCCATGTGTCTATTTTTGCCAGTGTAATAGTGGGCAGAACCACTAGGTGGGAGAAGCCTCACTCTTGATGATACATGGAGCAAACCTTCTGCCCCCAATGACCTGCACTGGCTGTGACCTGAATGAGATATAAATCATTATTATATTTAGCCATAAAAGCTTGGAGATTACATTATAGCAATTAGCATCCTTAGACTAATGCAGTCAGTTAGCAACAACACTGATAATGGAACTTTGGAAAAAACTGTCTGAAGTAATTCATGTCTAATAGAGTAATAAGGATTTTTCTATTATGAGAAGTGTCTAGACTCAATGCCTCAGAAGAGCAAGATAATTTTACATTGAATGTAACTAAATCAAATATATAAATCTTGGTTATCTCTATCAAGCCTTCTTGATGACTCTCAGGATGTCATTAAGCAGAGTCTTTAAGTATGTAAGACAGTGTTGATCTCCTATCCCAAAGCTAACTCTTCCTTTTCCCTCTCCTAGAAAAAAATGCAACAGGAATTCAGCACAAGTTTACAATAGAAGAGTAATATTCAAATGAAATTTAAAATATGATGAAAATTAGCACCTGATATTTTGAAACAAAAATCACAGGTACTTTTTTTGGAATAACACATCATCATTGCTTTTTGAATTTTCCTTTTATCTCCAAAAAGATTTTGAAAAATATCATCCATAAAATGATTTAATTTTAATAGAATAAGCAATTTTACTCAATAAAATGTTTCTGTGGCATAAAATCTGATATGCAATAGTCTTTAAATATACAATTCATAAGTGTTTAAAGGCAATTAAACCTCAAAGAATTGCTCCCCTAGGAGCACAAGGAGAACAAGAGAAATTCAAATATATTCAACCACTACTTTCTGACACTTTCAAATTACATTCTTTTATTTGCATTTAGTACATTTCCCTGTGACTCATGTAACTGTATTTATTTTATTTTAAGAACACTTTTTTATTTTAGAAGTGTTTTAAATTTACAGAAAAGTGGCAACGTTTGTACAAAGTATTTATATATAGCCCTACACAGTTTCCCCTACTGTTATTGTTCTATGCCACCAGGACCCCTTTGTCACAAGTAAGAAATCAACATTGGTACGTTACTATTAACTTAACAGTTTATTCAGATGTCATCATAATATCAACCTAACAGTTTATTCAGGTGTCATCAATTTTTTTCCTCAATGATATTTTTTTATGGTCCAGGTTACATTGAGTCAGTATCTCCCTAGCCTCCTCTGATCTGTGACAGTTTCTCAGAAACAACAAGTTTCCTTGTTATTGATGACCTAACAGTTTTAAGGAGCACTGATCAAAGTTTTTGCAGAATGTCACTCAATTTGGGTTTGATCAATATCTTTCTCATGGCTATCCTGGAGTCATGAGTTTTGGGAGAAAAAACACAGAAATGCAGTGTCATTCTAAGTACAGCAGGTCAAGAATGCACACTATCAATATGACTAATTGCTGATGATAACTTCCATCGCCTTGATGAGACAGTATTTGCCAGGTCTCCCTACTGTGATTTTACCCTATGCCCTAGCTCTTCCCATATTCTACTCTTTGAAAGCAAGTTAGTAGGTGCAGCCCACACTCAATGGGGGCTGAAGTGAGGGATAAGAAGAGGTGTAGAGGAACTAAGCTCTAGTTCCTGATAAATTATTATATATAAATTATTTAGAATTCATTTGTAAAGAAGATTAATCTCTTCTCTCTCATTTATGTATTTATCCAATCATTTTTATAGCATCATGGACTTGTGGCTATCTATTTTGTGCTTTAAATTATAGTCCAATATACTTACTTTGTTGCTAAAATCATTCCAGCTTTGGCCACTGGGAGTACACGCATCCCTCAATACCCACAAGGAATTGGTTCTAGGACCACCGCAGATACCAAAATCCATGAATGCTCAAATCCTTATATAAAATGGTGTGGTATTTCTATATAACTTACACACATTATCCCGTATAATCTAAACCACCTTTAGATTACTTATAATACCTACTACAATGTAAATGGTATGTAAGTAGTTGTTATATTGCATTGTTTAGGAAATAATGACCAAAAAAAGTTCTATATACATGTTCAGTACAGATGAAACTGTCCCTTTTTTTTTCTGAAAATTTTTGATCCATGGTTTATTGAATCCATGGATGTGGAACCCATACATACAGAAAGCTAACTGTACTCACTTTACTTTTCAAATGTACATTTCTGTTAACAAATACTACATTTGTTAACAACATTGGGCTAGAAAAGTCCCAATGTTTCATTTTTAGGAGTAACAAAAAAATGGAACATTTTTGCTTTATTGGAAATGCAACTTATGGAGTCATCATGACCAACAGATAAAACCAGGGTAATTTATTTTTTAGCTTTATGTTTCCATAATTAATAAGCAGGGTCAAATGAGCCCTTGGATATTTTATCTGTGGTAATTATTCAAATTTGGACAAAGTTATAATAAAACTTCTGAGGATAAGTTGCACATTTTTCTAGAATAATTTATTCAAAAGTAGTAGATTAAAACTGTTTTTTATGGCACTAAGAATAAAATGCAACAAAATTGGGGTGGGAAGTAGGTGCAATATTTAAATGGAAAGGCATCATTTTTCAAAGTGTTTTGCCACACTGCAAGTCACTACCTATTAGTGGATCATAAAACCCAAATTTAGTGGATCTCAATCAACAATTATTTTTCAAGAAAAGATTTAATGTAATAAATTAGAATAGAAAATATAAAAGTACATGTATAAGTCACACACACATAGATATGGATATATGGAAATACGTATCTATCTCTGGATAAATGGATAGATAGAGATTCATTTTAAGGAACTGGCTCATGTGACTATAGAGGCTGGCAAGTCCAAGATTTGCAGGATAGGCCACAGACTTGGGGAAGAGTTGATGTTGCAGTCTTCCGGCAAAATTTCTTCTTGCCCAAGGACAGTCAGTCTTCTGTCTATTAAGACCTTCAACTGATTAGATAAGGCCCACCCACATTATGGTGAATAATCTGCTTTACACACAGCCTACTGATTTAAATGTTAATTTCATCTAAAAATACCCTCACAGAAACATGTAGAAGAATGTTTGACCAAATATCTTAGTACCGTGGCATAGCCAAGTTGACACATAATATTAACCACCATGGCACATATCATAAGGTAGGAGGAGATGTGCCTTATGAAACTTTTCCTTTCCTAGGCCATGGATGGTGATTATGTTCTATTCGAATGTTACTAGCTTCAGTGCCTGCCCCAGTGCCTTGTACAGAGTAGGCACACAATGAATATTTGTTAGACAAAATCACTTTCATAGATAGAAATAAGAACGGCTGTCATTTTTTTGAGTGACTCCAATCATTGACATTTTATGTACACTGTTTCATATTCTTAAAATAACTCTGCAGATCAGGAATTATTGTTTCCTAAATCAGAAACCGATACTCAAAGAAGTTGGGCACCTTGCCTGGAGTAAACAGCCAGTAAACTGTAGGAATTTGAACCTAAGACTCTGTCTTGGTTCAAAGCACATTTTCTTTACTGTATATCATGAATAGAAAATAAGGCCTGACGCCTGTGCCAACTCCAGTCCATTTTGTTGATAAGCAATGTTTCCATTTCTCTCTCTGAGAAGAGAGCCATGCGATGGAGGAGAATGAGGTGTGCACCTTTGAAATCTTGGCTTCACATTATATTGTGTTTCAAAAATGAACCGTGAGATGCAGTGAGCAATTTATCCAAGGTCATTGTTCAATATGATAAGGAGAGAATTTAAAATTCACCAATTTTTGGCACTGAATATGAAATTGCACTGTTTATTTCTTTCAGGATCTCATTAGCATTTCATGTAAGTTGTCTAGTTGGATGTGGACAGACAAGATTGAGAAATAGAACCTTGTCTGGTGAAAGACAAGGGAGATAACATGATATTTTGTGTATTTTCAAAGTCATCACAATGTCTTTGGCACAACTCCTTCTTTATACACAGGGGTTAAATCTAATGCTTTCTTTGGACTCTGTGCTTCAAGACCAACTTATAAAAAATTATTTTAGTAGTTCAGAAAAAATAATAATAATACCTGTGCATGGGATCTGAGACATACTCACCTTATCTGAAATCCAATTCCACAGTAAGTTACTAGGATATTTCTTTCAAGCCCTATGAGACATTTTTCCTCTCTTTGTTAGACCATAAGAATTAATAACTATTTCATCCTGCATATCTCCTCCTAAGAGATGGCTTATAAATATGAGAGAACCACAGTAGTTTCCCAGGAAAACGGGGTTACCTGCAGCCACACTTTTGTATCATTTTCTTCATTTTTATTCTGTGCTGTGAAAGAGTTTGTCGTTTTCTCTTTTACAAAATGTGGGATTCACACTGCATGTTCTCTGTGATAAACACAGAACGTTTTAGGCAAATTCATTCACCTCCTGAAATCTATGAAGGCAAAGGTTTTAAACACAAACTTATAATCCATGCAATGCATTATTTTTATTGATATAGTAATAGCCAAGCAGAGAATGTTGGTTGAATTGTTCAAAGATCCCCAAATTTTCAAATATAGGTCATTGTAGTGGCTATTTGCACACTTTGAGAGTTTAACAATTTTGGCATCTCAGGTGATGATTATAGAAAGCACTTTCATATAAAAGACTGACTATTTTATTTCTTCATCTGCACTGATTTATGATATGAAAATATTATTAAAGTTAAAGTCATTTTCACTTGGGAATCTTACCTTATTATTTTCCATTTCATTTTCTTTAGAAAATCTTACAGAAAAAAAATGGTTCAATGAACAACGAAGAAAAAACTTGGATGCCAGTTAAGTCAGTAACAATGCTATTAACTGGCAGAGAAAAGGCAGTGTTTCCTCAAGTGTATCTGTTTACACAGGTTCCTGATGCAGCAGTGTTCACAGAGGGCTAAGAGGTGATTATTCATTTTGGAACCTCACTCTGTGCCTCCAAAATTGTCACATCTCCTGTGCACTGTCCTTCACAAATATGTAAAAGGAAAAGGGGATGATTTTGTCAACTTCACTGGATTTGTTCACAAAACAAAAATATAAAAGTGATGTCCTCCTCCATGCAGTTAATATACCTCTGAGATGACCCTCACACACAAGTGATGGGGGAATTATTATCTGAGATATTTGAAACAAGATTGCACAGAGCACTTCTGAAATAATTTATAATAAAGGAAGACATGATAGGTAGAGTGGAATGTGCAGAGTATTCTATTTGTTCTTTTGTTCATCTGCAGCTGCCTACTTTATAATTTAGATTCATCCCTTCAAAGTCAAGATCTGAAAATAATAGTCATGATAATTGGGAATGGCTCCCAATTATCTTAAAATTTTCTTAAAGTTATACTAACAAGCCATGTATATATTACCTCGTTTGAAAAATTACAGCTGTATTTTAAAATAGCTAAAGAAAAGGTTACCATTTTTGTTCCCATTTTATAATGTCCAAAGAAGTTAAACGAAATTAGTTGAAGGTTACAAAGTTGGTTCTAGTGGTAAAACTGGGCTTAGTGTTTAACCCTCACTTCTTCCAATAGGGCACTCTATCATACCTCAAGGCCACTCAAAGCCTATGTACAAGATGGTCTAACCCTGAAAGGTCTTGGTACTTGTGTCACCCTGGGTGAACGCCCAGCACTTTTACTTTGTAGGGTTTCCAAAACCATTATAAGAATGCAGAAAGGAGCAACCAATCCAGATTGAAGAGTGCCTCCCTGAAAGACATAACCTCCGAGCTGAGTCTCAAAGCACATGTAGGGGTTACTAAAGGAAAAAAGCAGGGGGAAGGGAGAAGAGGACTAGTGGAAGACACAGTCTAAGTAGAGGCAATGACATATTTAAAGGTACATGCACATGAAAGATGATGTTTTATTTGGAGACTTAAAACTTATAGAAAAAGAATAACAAAGAATAAGCTTTCTTTCCATGGCATCCATCTGTCACATAGGGCGTATACTTTGTGTGCCTCACTTCCTGTCATTAGATTACAAGCTCTAAGGGGACAAAAAGTGCCTCACTTCTTGCCATTAGATTACAAGCTCCAAGGGGACCTCTCCTATCTTCATATTCCACAGAGCCCTTCACAGATTAGGTGCTCAATAAATTTGATGAATAGGACAATCAGCAGTATGATTTAAACAAGTCATTAACTCCACTAAGTCAGTTTCTTATCCATTAAATAGGGATAATAATAGTATTTTCCTGGTGTCTCTATATGAGGATTAAATAAGGAAATCCCTGTAGAGACATTGGAATAGTGCACAGAACACAATAAGAACTCAATTTATCTAAGCTAGTGTTTATTGTTAATATTGGTGCACGTGCTTGTGTTTAAGGCAGGATTCAATATGAACTGAAAAAAATCACTACTCAAAATTGAAACCAATATGGAAGCCCCTGTATGAATCAGTGAGAGTCTCCTTTAATCTCTCTTCCCATCTCTACAACTTTGGAAGATGCTGCTTTTTGTACATCTTTTCAGCATGAGTAGACAATCAAATAAGGGGCCAGACACACACTGTCATCTGACCTCTTGACACACTATACCTAGGTCAATAACAAAGAGAAGCTTTTAGTTCTTCTAGAAGGATATTCAATAGTGAAGGTGGTTGAGAAGTATATATTCTCTCTTCTGTAGAACAAAATGGATCATTCAGTATTCTTTTAGGCAGAAGTGGAAAATATTTCATTTGTGGTGAAAAAGTAAATTTTATTTAGGGGTGGTGTATTATACATATGTGTGTATATATGTGTGTGTGTGTGTGTGTGTGTGTGTGTGTGTTTATGTTTACTTTTAAGCTTCAAAGCCCTAATCTTGTCAGAATCCCAAACAAGTAAGAAATAAACCTTGATAGAAATAAAACATATTTATTTTATTTTTGAAATTCTATATTATTCACTGAGCTTTTTTCTCTGCATTAGATAAAGGTATTATTTTATTAATATGAATTGATTACACTTATTGAGTTTTTACTATATCATTATCTGATTTGATCCTCATAATGGATCTAGGAGATAAGTAATCACCCAATGGGTTCTCCCTGCCTGTTGCATAGAAAAAAAAAAATTCACTGAAACTATGATACTGCAGTAAAGAAAGAATTTAATTAACACAAGGCAGCCAAGCAGAAGGATGGAAGTTATCACTCAAATCAGTCTCCCTAAGAATTCAGAGGCTAGGGTTTTTATGGATAATTGGTGAGTAGGGGCTAGGGAATGAGTACTGCTGATTGGTTGAGGATAAAATCATAGGGGTGTGAAAAATGATCCTCATACACTACGTCTACCTCTGAGTATGGGCCACAGGACTGGGTAAGTTATGAGTCATGAGTCACAGGTCCAGGCCTGTTGCCAGAATGCAAAAATCTAAAAAACATCTCAAAAGACCAACCTTAGGTTCTACAATAGTGATGTTATCTATAGAAGCAACTGGGGAAGTCATAAATCTTGTAAACTCTGACCACATGACTCCTGAGCAGTAAGGGATTATAGAAACTATGCCTACATTTTAGCAGAGTTCAGGCTCCTCCCCTAATCCTAATCTCATGGCTTTTCATTAGTTTTTGGTCCCTGAGCAAGGAGGGGGTGAGTTTTAGAAAGGGACTATTATCACCCTTCTTCCAAGTTAAACTATAAACTAAATTCCTCCCATGGATAGCTTGGTCTATGCCCAGGAATGAGTGAAGACAGCTAGCCTGTGACGCTAGAGGTAAGATGGAGTCAGCCACGTTAGATTTCTCCTGCCGTTATGTCTTTGCAAAGGGGGGTTCGGATAGGTACTACTATTAATCCCATTTACAATTAAGAAAATCTGAACTCAAGAGATTAAATCATTTTCCCAAGAACACACAGCTAGAAAGTTGAAGGCTGGGATTTAAGTCCAGCTGTTAAATTCCAAACTTAATACCTTTAATCACTGCACTCTACTGGTAGAACTATCAACAAAAGAATAAATAAACACATGAGCTCAGACTCTCCTTAGATGGGGCTTGCTGCAGCTACTGTGGGGTATGGGTGTGGTTCTCACACCAATGGAGTTATGTTCTCAGGAAGATTATGGCTGCCTCTGCTGCATCATCCAGGTCACCAGGGAAGAGGGGAAAGCCAGCAGTTACAGGATTCACGCAGCTCCCTTGCAGCCCAAAAGGCTGATCTCACTCCCATTGTGCCCCCACCCCAACAGCACCAAGTTTATTTCCAGGCAGAAGGTGAACAGGGCTGAGAACTTGCCCCGGGCTACCAGTCTCACGGCTGAGAAAGCACGCAGGGTTTTCAAGTTTAGCATCTCCCCACCTGCTACAGGTTCTGTGCTATGTCTGCATTCCAAATTCACACCCCTCCACACACCCTCAGATTCTCTCCAGGAAACTTTGTGTTCGGTGAAAACTGTTACAAATTCAGCTAGAAGTTTCCTTCTCCCTGTGGTCTTTTCTCAGTTCCTCTGGCAGCCCTCCCCAAGGACCTCTGTGAGACAAACTCAGAAACGGCTTCCCTTGGGACATAAAGACCCCACAGGGCTCATCCCTCTGCTTCTTCTACCCCTGTACTTTGCTCAGCTCACTAAATTTGTCTCAGCTCCAGGTAAGATCAAATCCTCCCATGATCTGGACCTTCAAGTTCCCCAGTGAGGGGGTGTGTTTGAGGGCAGACAATTCCCCTTTCACACTTTCACACTTTGGACAGTTTTTTAGCTGTCTCCGGAGGCCTGCAACAGCAACCTGCTTCTTTCAAAGGGTTTGTGGATTCTCTCGGCTTTCCTAGTATGTTCCTGCAGTAGTTCTTGGAGCAAAAATTCACTATGTGAGTCTCCACACACTGCTCTGTCCATCCAAGTGGGAGCTACAAGTTAGTCCTGCCTCCTATCCACCATTTTGTAAAAGAACGAATGAAAAATTCTGACATGATTGATTCTCTTTTTTTAATGACATGATTCTTATGAAAGTCTAATTTTGTAAATTACATTTATTTTTTCCTGTTACAAAGTTAACTGCATAAGGCTGTTCCTTCAACAGGATCATGATGTAACAGGCATGATAATATAATCAAATCAACATAACCACAAGAATATTGACTCCAATTAAACCAGCATAGCTTGTCAAAGCCCATTGGTTTCTCAAGGGCCTCAAAGATTCTAGTAATAGGTCCCTCCTGTTTTTGAGCAGAAGCAAGAAATAAATACTCTTCTTGACAAGAGAACAATCATCTCAGAACTCCAGGATCCCATTATTAATCACCTCTCCTTAAACTGAAATCCCCTTTATATACTAATTTAGAATTTCTATGTCCATTTCTATCATCTACTCAGACAGCAAACTGCCTAAACTACAAAGGGAAAGGTCTATGGTCCTATAAGAGTTTACCTTGCAAGCAAGATCAACATTTTCTTGGGGAAAGAAGCCAAATAAAGCCAAGAGTTTGTATACATCTTCCAAATATCCTGAGCTACAGAAAAGAAGAAAGGGTCAGAAAGAAGATTCTCTCTGCTAGTAGGTCTGAAACAATCAGATTCATATGTGTCTTTGTGTATTAATATGAATATCTTTTCTTGAATAAATGAGCTTTAAATTTAGAAAACTTTCTGGTTTATATTAAGCATATTAAAATTTTATCTTTTTGAAGGCTGATTTCCACCTCCCACCTCCTACATCTACCTCACATAAATTTAGAGTAGGTTGAGTCTCACCCCAGCAGTGAGAAGAAAGGACGGAAGCGATTTTGAGAGGGTGAAGTAGATGCTGCCCCTCTTATTGTACTTTACCTGGCCCAGGGCTGCATGTTGGACAACTCCAGAGTGTGCCATTCACACTGCACTCTTTGGAGTCCAAAGTAACTCCATCTTGGATGCTGATCTACCACACTGACTTCAATTAAGCCTGTTCTGGGAAGGCCTCTAAGACTTCCAGTTTATCTATTGTTCCTTGTGTAAGAGCAGGTACTTACCATAAATTCTGCCCTCAGGTCAAACAGTCTTAATGCTTTTATACTTCAGTCATCCTAGACATCCATTCTGAGTCACCTTTCTCTATGGTATATAAGCCCTGGGTCTGGAGAGTAACGGCATGGGATCCACCATCTTGTCTCACCTACACCTGAGACACAAACATGGCTTCTGTTTGTAAGTCCCTATTAAATGTTTCTTTTTGAGAAATATGCCACACTAAATATGCCAGCCTCTTTCTTCAGCCTCTCAGCTTCCTGGGACTTTGGGGGTAGGTTTGCACATACCTGCCCACTGAAGAACACACTCTGTGTGGATGTGGCTAATGCCCTTGGAGATGTGCAATGTGGCTGGCTTGTCATGGCCTGTCTTAAACCAAATTGGGAAACAGATGAAGTGTGTCATAGCCCCAACCTATCTTTTACTCCATTTCCTTCTTTCACTTGGTGGTGGTCTCTCTCATGTCCCCCCTTCCTCCCTCCCCAAGCACCTTCTCAGATGGCAAGGTAGTGTGTATGTGGTTGCTATGTGCAGTCAGCCTGTGTGATTGGTTCACCCCTGACTCCATGCTTTATGAGCACATGACCTTGGGCAAGTTACTTTACTTCCTTTTGTTTCAGGTTCCTGACTGTAAGATGAGGCCAAGAGTATTTTTTACCTCATAGGGTTATTGTGAGTACTAAATGAAGTCAGGCATGTGAAATGTGTAGCCCTCAGAATGTGGTTAGCTATTTTTAGTGCTATTATCATTATCACCACTGCCATTCGATTGCCCAAAACCCAATACCCAAAGCACAGGAGGTCTTGTTCACCCTCTAGTGAAGATAAGTAGAGATGTTAGTCAGCTCAACAGTGTCTCATAGATTATGAAACCCCACCCCTTCATTTCAAATTAGTAGACTGGCAATACAGAGATAACAGGAAATTCTCCAAATCGCATAGCTGGTTGTAGATGAACTAGAAACAAGAACTGGAGTCCCCTGCCTCCCAGTCCAGTACATTTTTCACTGCATCAAACATTTGATTAAACTTCCATGAGACCAGCCCGCTTCAACTATCCAATCTTCAATCATGAACAATTTCAATCAGGCATATGTATCTGGATGATTATAATCAGCTACTAGGAAACAAAGTCCTGATTGATCAACTCATTTTCATCCTCTTCTCCCTAACATGAGGTTAATGAGACAAACATCTTTGGCTCATGAATTCTGAGCAGTTAAGAGGCAGAAAAGACCTTGTTCCTGAGAAAGAGAGGTTAGTGCTGGTCAGCTTTTCCATGTCCCTGCCAGGCAAGGTTCTCTCTGAGCTCTGTGTCAGACTTTATTGAATCCAGAAAAGAGGAACCAAACTTCTCAGCAGAAAGATTGTCTTCTTCAGAGTTGTACAGTAAGGGTTCTTTGCTAGATGAATCCTGCTTGCCCTTGAGAGTTCAGTTTAAATCCTTTTTCTTCAGAGAGCTCTTTTCCCCAGCCTCTAGCCTAGCTTAGTCCTGCCCACCCTTACATTCCCACAGCCTTCTGAAAGAATAAGCAGTATTATTGAAACCACCATAGCTCACTGGGGGACTTTTTTTGGAGTGGGTCATATTATCACATCATATTTTCAGGGTCTTTCGTCTTGTGACATTTCAACAAAGAATTACAGTGATTCTCTAATCACTGACACTAAGGGAAAGAAAGATGCCTAAGTTTATTCTACTCTTCTTTTTCTAGCCCCTTGAAATGGATGTTAGCATGGTAACATTCATCCTTTGCTTCTAATATAAAAGTTTCTAACTATACATTTCTCTCAAAGCTGGCTATAAATATTCTATACTGACCTTCTTTTCAAGCTTACGCAGGACATGAAAATTGACTTTGAAAATCACCAAGTTTGAAATTCACCATAGTTTAGTAGAAAGACTTCATTTTTAACCATTATACAATTAAGGTAGAAATCAATAATAGGTCATTAGAACAACCTCTAATATTTCAAAATTTCTAAAATACTCATGTGTATTCTCCAGTTGCTAAACATAACGTCCTATATAGAGCAGATCATTAGATCAAGGTTGCTATTGAATTGACCAAATAATCAATATTTGTTCTGACTGTTGTCTGCTTTATCCATCAAGTACTGAGAGGGAAATATTAAAATTTCCAACTGTGAGGATGGGTATGTTCTTTTTTCCCCTAATAGTTTTGTCAATCTTTTATTGATATATTTTGAGGCTATGTTACTACAGATGATATGGTTTGGCTCTGTGTTCCCACCCAAATCTCATGTCAAATTGTAATTCCCAATGTTGGGGGAGGGACCTGGCAGGAAGTGACTGGATCATGAAGGTGGATTTCCCCTTGCTGTTCTTGTGATAGTGAGTGAGTTATCACGAGATCTGGTTATTTAAAAGTGTATAGCACTTCCCGCTTCACTCTCTCTCTATTGCTCCACCATGGTAAGATGTGCTTGCTTCTCCTTCACCTTTCCACCATGATTGTAAGTTTCCTGAGGTTCCCTTGCCATGCTTCCTGTACAGCCTGCAGAACTGTGAATCAATTAAACCTATTTTCTTTATAAATTGCCCAGTCTCAGGTAGTTCTTTACAGCAATGTAAGAACAGACTAATACGACATACCTATATTTTTAATTGTTTTATCAACATTGAGAGTTGATTGTCTTATAAATATGAAGTAACCCTCTTTATTTCTAGTAATGCTCCCTGAGTTTATTTTCTAAACTCAATTGATTATAAACCTTTTTCATTTTGATAAACGTGTCTAAGACCAAATGTTTTCCAAATATATACTCTGAAAAAAATGTTGTCTTATGCCAAGTAAACTTTGGTTTAGGAGTTCCCTGTCTCTTTATTCAGTACCTTCATAGCCCCCTCAGGTAGCCAGCGATGTTATACAGAAATTGCTCTCTCTTCACCTATCAAATATTGCTTTTAATAAAGAAAACTCATTCGTCTAAGATGAGCAAGTACTTTTTTTCTACATCAAACATGGTATTTTAAGTTGATGGGAGTATATAATGTGATCCTTTGGATTGTGAGGTAGGGATGGGGTAAGAAGCCTTCCCAGAAGCTAAACATTAGGTCACACAAGCCATGACATGCTTACCACTACTCTTCCCCCCCCCCCCCCCACAGAAAGCTGCTGAAGTATCATTTTTTTAAATTTTAGACTCAAGGGGTACCTGTGCTTATTTATTACATGGATATATCACTTACTGGTGGGGATTGAGTTTTTAGTGTACTCATCACCCAAACAGTGAACATTGTACCTGATAGGCAATTTTTCAACTCCTGTTCCCTTCCCACCTTCCCCTCTTTTGCAGTCCCCATTGTCTATCATTTTCTTTTCTTTTCTTTTTTTTTTTTTTTTTGAGATGGAGACTTGCTTTGTCACCCAGGCTGGAGTGCAGTGGCATGATTTCGACTCACTGCAACCTCCACCTCCCCAGTTCCAGCAATTCCCTTGCCTCAGCCTCCCGAATAGCTGAGATTACAGATGTGTGCCACCACACCTGGCTAATTTTTGTATTTTTGATAGAGACAGGGTTTTGCCATGTTGTCCAGGGTGGTCTCAAACTCCTGGCCTCAATTGATCCACCTGTCTCAGCCTCCCAAAGTGTGGGATTACAGGCATGAGCCACTAGACCCAGACTTTTTTCCATCTCTATGTTTATGTGTATCCACCTTTCCTCTTTAAACATATTTTGTCTGATGTGTTATAACAGCAATACCATATGTATGTTTTGTTCCATTTTCCTGAGACAGGGTCTTGCTCTGTCATCCAGGCTGGAGTGCAGTGGCATGATTATAGCTCACTGCAGCCTCGAACTCCTGGGCTCAAGCAATCCTCCCGTCTCAGCCTCCCAAGTAGCTTGGACTATAGGTGTTCGCCACCATCACAACTGGCTAATTTTTTTCATTATTTTTGGTAGAGGCAGGGTCTCACTGTGTTGCCTAGACTAGTCTTGCTCTCCTGGCCTCAAGTGGTCTTCACACCTTGGCCTTCCAAAGTGCTGGGATTACAGATGTGAGCCACCATGCCCAGCACCCATATTTCTGTTTATTGGGATTTGATGACATATAATTTTTATTCTCTCACTTTCAACTAGTCTGATTCTTCATTTTAATTATATCTCTCATAAATGAGTTATATTTTTTAAAAAGTCCATTAGAACTACCTTTGACTTTTTAAATAAACTTTTTTGAAATAATTTTATATTTACAGAAAAGTTGCAAGTATAATAGTTTCTATATGCCCTTTACCTAGCTTCCTCTCATATTAACATATTATATAACCTTGATACTGAGAGACAGGACTAGCTGGACTTCCTAGGCCGACTAAGAATTCCTAAGGCTAGCTGGGGAAGGTGACCTCACTCACCTTTAAATACAGGGCTTGTAACTCAGCTCACACCCGACCGATCAGGTAATAAGAGGGCTCACTAAAATACAAATTAGGCTAAAAGCAGGAGGTAAAGAAATAATCAAATGATCTATTGCCTGAGAGCACAGGAGGAGGGACAATTATAGGGATATAAACCCAGGGCATTTGAGCCAGCAGTGGCAACCCCCTTTGGGTCCCCTCCCATCGTATGGAAGCTCTGTTTTCACTCTATTAAATCTTGCAACTGCACACTCTTCTGGGCCGCGTTTGTTCCGGCTCAGGCTGAGCTTTTGTTCACCGTCCACCACTGCTGAACGCCGCCGTCGCAGACCCGCCATTGACTTCCACCCCTCCAGATCCGGCAGGGTGTCTGTTTAGCTTCTGATCCAGCGAGGCACCCATTGCCGCTCCGATAGGGTTAGAGGCTCACCATTGTTCCTAGCGCGACTAAGTGCTCAGGTTGGTCCTAATCGAGCTGAATGCTAGTCGCTGGGTTCCACGGTTCTCTTCCATGACCCACGGCTTCTAATAGTGCTATAACACTCACCTCAGGGCCCAAGGCTCCATTCCTTGGAATCCGTGAGGCCAAGAACCCCAGGTCAGAGAACAAAGGCTTGCTGCCATCTTGGGAGCAGCCTGCCACTACCTTGGGAGTTCTAAGAACAAAGACCCTCCGGTAACAATACATTTGTCAAAACTGAAAAATCAACATTAATAGAGTGCAACTAAGTAAACTACAGACTTTTTGTATTTCATTAGCCTTTTCACTAATGTTCCTTTTCTGTTCCGGCATCTAATTCAGGATACCACATTGCATTCACTATCTTTGTCTCAAAGAGTTTAGCCCTTTGCATTTATTGTGATTTGTAATATATTTAAAGCTGTTGTCACCACTGTATCTTATGCTATGTGTGCTGTTTTTTGCTAACTTCTTTTCTTTACTTTGACTTCTATTAATTGAATTTTTTTATTTGAATCATTCTCTTTTGCCCTCAAATAACATGCAGCTTATATAAGTGATTTTCTAGTCTTTTAGTGGTTATGCCAGCAATTTTAATAGACATAATTAAAAAAATTAATCAAAGTTGACTCTAGTCACCGCCTCCCAAAATATACATTCATATTTCTATGTATTTTAATTCTATCTTCTTTTAAGCCTACAAGACACTGTGATTTTTTTATATAGTGTTTGTCCAGATGTAGCATCATATTAAACTCTTCCTCTGCTCATCAACACATCTTTCACTTAAGACCTTTCATCTGGGATTTTTTTTCTTTCTACTTGAAATAGTTCCGTTGGTAAAGATCTGTTTTTGGCAAAGTGCTTCTGCTTTTACCTGAAAAATAGTTTTACATTTATCCTTGAAATATAGGTTTATTTGGATTTAAAATTCTAGGTTAGCAGCTATTTTCTCTCAGTTACTTTAAAACATATTTCACTGGCTTCTCCCTTCTTTCTCTGCTGTTGAGAAGTTTGCTGTTAGTCTACTTGTTATTCTTTTTCAGATAATCTGTCTTTTCTCTCTGACTGCATTTATGATCATCTCTTTTTCTTTGGTTTTCTGCAATTCCACTAACAAATGTCTAGAGGTATATTTATTTTTATTTAAGCTGCTTGGAAACGTTTTTGGGTTTCTGAAATTAAGAATTCATTAAGTCTTTAAGATTTTTTATATTTTTAAATTATTTATCTCAAATTATTATTTTTTTAACACTCAGGCATAATTACTTCTAATTTTGCCTCTCACACATTCCATTATTTTATTTTGGAATTCTAAATAATTCCTAATAATTCCAATTAGATGCATGTTAGACCTTCTCATTCTAACATGTTAAAACTCTCCTCTTTGAAATTGTCTACCTCTGTATCTGCTTGTGTAGCTTTTGGGTAATTTTTTCATATCTATTTTTCAGTTCATTAACTTTTTTCATCTGTATACTATTTGCTCTTTAGCCATTTATTATGGTTTTAAATTCAATTTACTTATTTATATCTCAAAGATCTGTTTGATTTATTTTCAGGCATTTTTATCATATTTTATTGTCATCTAAACTTATGTTAATCTTATATTTTATTTATTGTAACAAGTTAAACATACAAAGTTTATATTCTTCACTTGGTCATTCCAGTATCTGCAGATACTTCACATCTGCTCCTACTCTCTGGCATCATGTGTATTTGTCCAGCTTTGTTATGCTGATGAACTTTATCAGTCCAAATTTTTCAAAGCCTGCTTGAAGGTGATTTAGAGGGGACTTGCCTTTGTCTCAACCTGGAGTCACTTTAAAACTAAACCTTGACTTGAAGTTTTTTGAACCTGCACAAGTAATATAAACTTAGGCTACAAAGTGGCCAGAAAATAGGCTCATAGCTAAGACATTTCACTAGAGATATTTTTTTCCCACTTCTACTCAAAACCAAGATGGTAACAGAGAAGTTTTCTTAATATTTCCTTCTGGGAGTAATTTATTTTTCACCCTTGCACTGTAATTGTGCCCTTCAGTCCCAGTGTCAAGAAGGGGTCATATTTAGACTCATTACCTTGGTTGGGCTCTATATGTTTTCTCCTGCTCACCTGTTCCCCGGATAGCCTTCAAACTAGGAAGTGAAGGTCATGAAGGCCCAGTAGATGGGCAAAAGCTGACATCAGAACTGGCTCATCTTTCTGGAGCTCCATGTTCACATCATTGGACTCTCAGGATGCCTTACCATGTTGTTAGCTCACTAATGCATAGTTTTAATATGTTACCCATTTTTAGTTGTTATCAGTGACTATGTTGTTTAGCATATCAGACTGTGATACACTAGAAACAGACAGCAAGGAAACCTAAATATGACTGGTTCAAACTTTAAATATTTTTCTAAGCCCTTTTGTTTCCCAAAACCATTATCTGGAATTTGAATTATAATCTAGATTTCATGACAAAATCTCAGGCAGAATTCATGAAATGCCAAATCTGCTGGAGTCCCTGATGACTAATTATTAACTTCTCAACTTAGCAAAATATTTTGCTATCTTATTAGTTTCC
Organism: Homo sapiens; assembly: GCF_000001405.40. Lineage (NCBI taxonomy): Eukaryota > Metazoa > Chordata > Mammalia > Primates > Hominidae > Homo > Homo sapiens. Next base: position 103,642,181 of record NC_000011.10, on the reverse strand, counting down.
TAGGGTTTTAATAATACGTCATCATGAACTTAGCTTAAAACAACAGAAATTTATACCCTGATAGTTCAGGAGGCTAGAAGTTCAAAATCAAGCCATGAGCAGGGTTGGTTCCTTCTAGAAACGCCAAGGGAAAAATTAGTCCCATCTCTCCTCTAGCTTATGGTGACCCCTGACAATCTTTCGTGTTGCTTGGTGTTACTTCACTCCAATCTTTGCCTTTGTCTTTATATAGTTCTGTCTGTCTCTGTGTGTCCTTTCCTCTTCTTATAAAGAAACCAATTATTAGATTTAAAGTCTACCCTAATCCAGTGTGATCTCATCTTGTTTTCTCTATTTATCTAGCAAAAAATGACTTCATTTTAACTTAACTAAATATATCAGCAAAAACTATTTCCAGATGTCACATTCTGAGCTTCCAGGTGGACATGAATTTTGGGGGAACACCGTTCAATCCTTTACAACCACCTTGAGCTTTCTCCTGAAGATAAAGCTCCCATGTAACCCAGAGAAACAAATATACATTGTGTCATACCAAAACATACTTACTGGCCTAACATCACTTCCCTATATTTCATAATGTCAAGCACGGTTCCCACTGTCAATTTTTTTGACTTCAAATAAGTTCATTATGTGTGAAGGTCTCCTTCAAGAGCTCTGTAGCCCAGAGCTCATCACTCCTTTATTTCCACCATCGGAATTGTTTTCTAGACAACCTGATAGCTCCACATTCTTAAAATGACCCATCAAAACACAGCCAGCCATATAAATTGTATTGAGACTTTCTCAGTGCAGCAAAGCAAGTTAGTTTGTTAAAGTTTAGCAACAAACTTTGTCTAGCAAGGAAATTCAGTGATCTAGCTCCTACCTAACTTTCCAGCCATATCTCTTGTCAAAATTACTCCCCTACCCACTCTCCTGCCCTTGCATCCTTCTCTTCGGCAATATAGAATTTCTTGTAATTCTCCGAATATAAGATACTACATCATGCCACTGTGGCTTTACAAAGCCTGCTCTTCCTGCCTGGCTGGCCCTGACACTACTCATTCACCTAGTGATCTCCTACTGTTTCTTTAAGAAACTAATCCACCATTTTCTTTTCTGTGAAGGCTTCTCTGATCCACCTGTTCAGATCATTCTTTTACTAATATTCTTCTAGTTGCACCAGTCATAGTACCTCGATATTGCACTTTTTCACTGCATCTAATGTATTAGTTCATCTTAAATGTCTTCCTTTACCAGAATATAAACTCTCTTGTATCCTCAGCCCAGCACAGAGTCTAGAACATGGTTGGCACTCAATATGGTTTTAGCAAAATGGCTATTGCCTACTTATACAGGCCCAGCTTAGTGAAAATAAAAGGATAGTTAAGGTCTGATTCTGACTTTCTGGGTATTTGTATTCTGTATCTATGTATTGACATCTACTTGGTTGCATGGAACTTTCAAACTCAAGATTTGCTATTTGATTGCTCAATATAATTCTGATTTGGGGAGATGTGATTTATTAAACTGCTATCACTTCAAATTAGCAAGCGAAGCCTTTTAAGCCATCATTCACAACTACTTCTGGACAAAAAAGAAAAAAAATGCTTCTTCCTCTCCACTAAAATCAGATACTTCATTAGTATATGAACCCTCTGGCTTCTCTACTGTCAGACTCACACATTCATCTTTCACCTAATTCTCGTCAGGCCAGTCACTTCCATTCCATTTGTAAAACTTCTGAAAAGAGCATTCTTTTCTAGATCTATGTATATCATTCAAATGATTTAATACAGAAACTTTTGGGCCATCTTAAGAAACTCTAACTCTTGTCTTCTTGCTGCATAAATGAAGAAAAACTTTTGCTTCTTCTTCAACCTGCTAATCATGTTTTTAAAACATGATTAAACCATTTCTCTAGCCCCATTTTTCTTCCTGCATTTGTCTGGTCAATGCTCCATCACATTTTTTAAGCAAAATGCCAGTTATTCAAGTCAATGGCAATCTATATCAAGAGCATCTCACACTACCGTCAATACATATCTTCACAATCTGGCAATGCAATTATTTCTCCTTTTTCAAAGCTGGAAAGAGCTTTCCTATAAATGCAGTGTAACCTTAACCCATGCACTTCCAAATGCTACAGTTTTAATTAAAATTTTTACTGCATTCTCTTTCTCTCCCTTTTAAATTAACAGCAAAATAAAATTCCAGAAGGGTTTGTTTTCTCTTTTAGAGATTTAATGATGGGAAATTCCCTGAAAAATAGAGAGATAAACAGTACATTTCCTGAAAAACTGAAGATATAAACCAGGATCTTCTTCAACATAAAGGCAATCTTGAGGTTGTCCCCAAAACAGTAATCTGTGGACTTTTGTAAGCAACCTAGGCTATTATTCTAAATCCAATTGCATTGTGTCATACACTGGTCTTGTAATATTTGAAATGGTTCAATTGTACTAATTTCCTCTTTCCCTGGAAAACATTGGAGAAAACTTTAGCTAAATGTGGTGCTTTATTTTTTCTAATTCAAATTTTTACTTGTTTGAGTAGAGGAGTATGACTCTCTGTGTGGGCGTGTCTCTCTGTGTGTGTGTGTGTGTGTGTGTGTGTGTGTGTGTGTGTGTGATATGGAAAAGGCTTTATGTAAAAGATGATAGGATAGAACTGGATGATTTTTCTATTTGACCTTGGAATATTCCATTAGCTTTTATATTTTTTTCACTAAATGAATTAGATAATCTCTAAGTCATTCCTGGTTCTGACACTCTAAAACATCCTTGATTAAAGTTGAAACCTGAATTTTTATGTCTGTGCACAAAGATTATTGACACAAGTTTCCCAGGACAATTTCAGAAGTATCTAAGAGAGTACGGAAACTCCATTCCTCACCTAGAAAGGCTTCATTTTGTTCTTCCATTTATCCAGTAAGCCATTGTTAAGTATGTGTTTCATGCAAAGACTAAACACCCTGCTAAAATGGTGTTTATGCATCCTTCCAGTAGAGCCCTTACCACATTGAATTAACATAGCTGATTAAAGCCTGTCTGCTCCATTAGAATATGAACACCTGCAGGGCACCTAATATGTTACTTTTATCTCTATATTTTCTAGGTCTCGCATGGTTCTGAACACATAGTAAATGCTGAATTACTATTTCCTAAATTATCATAAAGCTGAGAAGAATCATGATTCTCAAACTTCACCTTGGAATTAAAATGGATTTCCTTGAGAAGCACATATGAGGTATACTCTTACTGGCATTTTCAACTTAAGCCTTGATATCTCTTGACATGTGATTCTTCAGCATAAGAGTACTGATGCTCTAAATAAAATGCCATTTTTATGGGAAGATCAGGATAAATCAGCATGCCTTGGTTACCTCACACTTTCAGAGTCACTGCTGTTTTAACCCCCCAAATAGCATGTTGATTATATTAGGAAACCTTTCTGACAAGTATACTTAGAGCAGAAGGGAAAAATAAATATTTTATCTTAACAATTTGCATCCTAATTCCTTTTAGGGAGAAAACCATGTTTAGGGAATTAACTCACAAATCTTTCAAGTGGGCATTTCTTATTTTTGATTCCCCCAGAAGCAGACCCTGAAACAAAGATCTGAGAACAGTTGGCTTATATGGGAGGCGAACTCGTAAAACACTGGTAGGGGAGTGAGAGACTGAGAAGAGAAATAAACCAGTCAAACATGTATTAGCAACGAGAGCTTAAACATGCTGAAGGATTCTAAGACTCCCTTTAGAACACAGGCTCAGAGTCACCTAAACCAAGGGTAAGGGACCTGGGTTATCTACGCATGGGTATCCATCAATTATCGGTTAAGAATTATCTGAGGAGGGGATATTGTCCAGTAATTTTGGCCTAAGACATGCATAATCATATGCATGGGGCTGACTGAGATGACCAGACAAAACACTCAGGCAAAGAGACACAGGTGCTATGGTTGAGTTCAGGACTGCATGCACTAATATGGTATGTATATGAGAAAAGAATAGGGATTTCAGGATCAGAGGAGAGAAGGATAAAAAACTGGAATGGAGAAATGGAGAAACCACCCAAGCAGGAACTATGCATTTTAAAACAGTGAATTCACATCCCCTGCAGCAAAGTGGCTGATGAAATTTTATGAACACAAATATCTAATGTTTAACTTTTGGTTGCTTATGTTGCTGAGATGTAAATCCTTCCTCTGTCATCAGCACCAGTCCAAATTTTTAGCATAATCAGCTTTACATAAAGCCCTTGAGAGAAGATCTTTTTTAAAGTTGAATGTGAAGAAAGGTCTGAAGTTGATGTTTTTGGCTAATAAGGTATAAAACAAAGCCAGGAGAAGCATGATATTAAGATAAACCCATGAACACCCCTAAGTCCCTGGACGCTGAGGTTCAGAGCTATGAGTGACCATAAGGCTGTGAGTACCTCAAGACTTTTCAGATTTTTATAGTAGTAAGCATGGAATTATATTCTCAAATGGTGGTTTATGGAAAAATTATCCAAATCTTACAGATCAGGAGACACAGCTAACAGTCTGTTTCCCGCCACTCCTATTCACATGCAGAAGGAGCCCCTAATTTACACATGAAAGGCTGGATCACACAGAAAAAAATAATAGTGAGAAATGAATCACCTTTTACTTTCCCAGAACAATGATAGGTCTAAAAGACCATATGGCCAAATGATGGACCAGATTTCTGCCTTGTTTCTGCAAATGACTCACCATGAGACCTTGAGGTTCTTTGGCTGGTCTACAAATAAAGTTGACAAAAGACAGATTAACAGGAGAAAAACAATTTTAATTGCAAACGTACACACAGGAGTTTCACAAAAATATGAGGTTCAAAGAAGCACCCAGATGATTGAGTTTTATATATCATTTTGAGCTGCAAAAACGAATAGGATTTTGTGGCCTCTAGGGGCTGATAGAGACAAATTCCGGGAGGGTAAAGGAGGGAAATATACAATGAATAAAAGTTGCCTTGTTATTCAGATAAAAATCTCTCAGGTGACAAAAGTTGTCTCAGAGTAGCTCTCTTCCTGATACAGATAACTTTACTAATGAAAATTTCCTCTATGAATGTACATTTCTTTACAAAAGGATAGCCTTTCAGAGCTTATCTGTCTGTAGTTTCTCAAACCAGCTCAAAACAATCAATACGCCAAAGAGGCATATTTTTACAGTGGCATATTCTTGTCTCCTATAGTCATGTATTGGGGTGGTATGTTCTGAACCTCATTACCCATGTGTTGTTCATTATGTGAAATGATGTTATATTTTATATTGGATTAAATAACTGGTAAAATTCTAGTCAGTAAATTTATCTCCAGAATTGTTCTGTGGTGAAGTCAACTTACACAGACAAGCCAACAACTATTTACGACGTTCTCTCTTTTTTTTTTTTTTTGAGATGGAGTCTCGCTCTGTCGCCCAGGGTGGAGTGCACTTGCACCATCTCGGCTCACTGCAAGCTCCACCTTCCAGGTTCAGGCCATTCTCCTGCCTCAGCCTCCCGAGTAGCTGGGACTACAGGAGCCCACCACTTCTCTAGGCTAACTCTTTATATTTTCAGTATAGATTGGGTTTCACTGTGTTAGCCAGGATAGTCTTGATCTCCTGACCTCGTGATCCGCCCACCTCAGCCTCCCAAAGTGCTGGGAATTACAGGCGTGAGCCACTGTGCCCTGCCACCAGGTTCTCTTAAGGACACCATGTGCCTATAATTCATACCTAGAACAGCTCTCTTTTCCCTTTGAGTCAGCACTGATCATTATGGCATCCACTGTTCTATAGAGACGAGGAAAAGAAAGTGTGAAATATGAATAGAAACAAGAACTCTGACTTTAAGCACAGAGAGGCTTGGATTTGAATTATAACTCTGATGCTTCCTAGCTATGTAGTGTGTCCCTAAGCAAGTTACTTAAAAGGACTTCAGGCTGGGCGCGGTGGCTCACACTTGTAATCCCAGCACTTTAGGAGGCTGAGGCGGGCGGATCACGAGGTCAGGAGATCGAGACCATCCTGGCTAACACGGTGAAACCCCATCTCTACTAAAAAAATACAAAAAAAAATTAGCCGGGCGTGGTGGCGGGCGCCTGTAGTCCCAGCTACTGGGGAGACTGAGGCAGGAGAATGGCGTGAACCCGGGAGGCGGAGCTTGTGGTGAGCCGAGATCGCGCCACTGCACTCCAGACTGGGTGATGGAGCCAGACTCCATCTAAAAAAACGAAAAAAACAAAAAGGGACTTCAAAATCTCCATTTCTTGCACTGTTAAGTGGGGGGTAATTGTAATGGTTATTTTATAGAATTTCTGTGAAAATCCAGTGTGAAACTGTGTACAGCGTTTAACAGACTCTTCGGCACATAGCTGTGCTTAACAGTGTTTGTGACTTGTTATTGTTATAACCTAGACGACTATACACCTTGCAGTGGAATAGAAATATGGTTGAGAAAAGAAAATACATGGTTAAGCAAAACAGTATTTCTGATGCTTGTTTCAGCTCTGGCTCTGTTTTAATTTTCTCCTCTGTTTTATTATTAAGAATTAAGAATTTGGTAGGGTTAGAAAATCTATACAAAAATCCCCACTATTTTCCTAATAGAATTCCAACTGTAAGACATATAAATTAAGCATCTTTCAGACTAAAAGCTTTGGAATTCTCATGGCACTACCTTGAGTCTGCCATTTATTTATTTATTTATTATTATTTTTTGAGACCAAGTCTCACTCTGTTACCCAAGCTAAAGTGCAATGGCGCGATCTTGGCTCACTGCAACCTCTGCCTCCTGGGTTCAAGCAATTCTCCTGCCTCAGCTTCCTGAGTAGCTGGGATTACAGATGTGCGCCGCAACGCCGGGCTAATTTTTTGTATTTTTAGTAGAGATAGGGTTTCATCATGTTGGCCAGGCTGGTCTCAAACTCCTCACTTCAAATGATCCACCCACCTCAGCTTCTTAAAGTGCTGGGATTACAGACATGGCATCTGCCACTTTTTAGGTTTTATTGACAAGCTCAGTTCTTTCTGACTTGGTATCTTTATTAATGTTTCACCATTACACCATTTTTTATTTATTTATGTGACATTTGGTTTTTTTAAGAGATAAATACAATTCAGTAGGATTATTCTTTTCCCAATAGAACTCATCTTTAATTTTATAAAAGAATATTGGTGCTAGAATGAACTTAGACATCATCTAATCTCACTCACTCATTTTGTGAAGAAAGAGTCGAGGCATATTGGAAGTTCCATCACTTGCCCAGTGTTACATAGATTTGCAAACATGTTGCTTAGATGAATGAAGAAATGCTAAAATTAGAATTCAGTTTATCTGCCTTCAACTCTAATCCGTTTTCTACTATTTTAACAATAATGAATAAGTTTAAAAATGAGTTAAATAAAAATTTTGCAGACAATATTTTTAGAAGGCTTGTAGGCCTTCAAGTGTAAATACCTCTTTAACTTTGATCACAGGTAACAAATCCAGTTTCATAGAGAGAAAGAAATGAAAATCCATACTAAAGCCCTTTCCTTTGACCTTGGATGTGTAAGAGTACTCAGAAAGAGTCTGAATTTTGGAGGTTGCCGCTAGTTGCTTTATTCAAGACTCTGAGTTGAATAAGTCGTCTGGACTTAACCTCAGTTTTTCAGAAGTCTTTAATTTAAGATCTTCTTTTACTTGATTCTAAGGTTCATAAAAGTGTTAGGAGCTTCCTGGCTTATATCTTAGAGTAAACATTGAAGAAGAATGAAGAAATTTTTTCCCTTGGCTAGAATATTGGTTATGTTAGAGGCAAAGGAAACTTTTTCCTTTATCTGAAGTTTCAAGTCTGCTGCAATAGACTGGCAATAGATTAACAGGAGAAAGGACACATAAATGTATTAATGTGCAAGTGTGCACAAGAGCCAAGCAAGGTACGATACTCAAAGAAGGGCCAAATGGTTGATGCTTAAATACTCTCTTTACAGGAGATAGGGAAATGGGGGAATATAAGCAATTTTGAATGGCAGTAAATTATTTTCAGGAGAGTTGTTTGAGCCCAAAGAATAAATGATAGTTTGTAAGTAACTCTCTTTGGAAATTGAATGGGACTGGAAAACAATAGCCTGTGTCAAAGTGTCTAGGTGTGGTGACATTCCTCAGTCTTCCTTTCCGAGATATGAATCTAATATTCTCTGGTTAATACAATTTCAGGGAGGGGACTGAAGGCAATTGTATTCCAAACTTCAGATACTGGAACTTCAGAGAGAGAGATTTCCACCCTGTACTTAGGGGGAAACACAGGAGAATGTTGAAAAGTCCTTGGTTCTGGGGCTGCTTCTAAGTTCTTATAATTCACTGTAGTTCAAAGTGTTCAGCATGCCATAGCGTCATCCTTCGGGGTATTACTTTCTGAACTCCAACAGTTACTACATCATGGTGAAACTGGCCTAGCCACTGTAGCCTCTAACTTTTCAGCATGCCCCTTGCATCCTTTCCTATTCATTATTAGCTCTGTGTCCTCAGTACTGGGTGAAAGACTTATCCTTACTATACAGCTCCATCACTCCTAACACTTGATGGAATTTGTGGAATTCTAAGGATGTAGTTATGAACACTGAAATACAAGGGAGGAAATGACCATTTTAATCAGCAATTGAAATTAGTTCCCAGACCTTGAGCATGAGGAAGAGAGAGGATTGCAGACAATTAGCCCTCCTGTGGTTGCTCAGTTAAGGACTGGCATAGGATTTCTGCATTCTTCTATAATTCATAGTGCAAAATTTATGGCCATTGTGTTCTGCCTAGAATCAGAAAATTTCCTGCTGTGGTTTACAAGGAGGGTTATTAACCATGGTGATGCCTGATTAGTTTCATTGAATTAATAAAATGAACAAGTCTCAATGCTTTAGCAACTTTAATACACACACAATACATTACAATCCCGCAAGGGCAGGGCAAGGACAGATGCTACCATCCACTGAGCCATAGCATTGATCTTTATTCTGCTTTGACCACCAGGCTTTACTACTATCCTGAGCTCCAGACATGTGTTCCCAACTGCCTCCTCAATTAAATGTGTCCCAGCAAAGACTACACTTAATTTTTTATTAATGTAAAAAATATAGGCTGAGCACAGTGGCTCAGGCCTATAATCCCAGTACTTTGGGAGGCCGAGGCGGGTGGATCACCTGAGGTCAGGAGTTTGAGACCAGCCCGACCAACATGGAGAAACCCCATCTCTACTAAAAATACAAAATTAGCCAGGTGTGGCACATGCCTGTATTCCCAGCTGCTCGGGAGGCTGAGGCAGGAGAATAGCTTGAATCAGGGAGGTGGAGCTTGCGGTGAGCCAAGATTGCACACCATTGCACTCCACCCAGGGCAACAAGAGCGAAACTCCATCTCAAAAAAAAAAAAAAAAAGTATATATATATATATATGTAGAGAGAGAGAGAGAGGGAGAGAGAGAGAGAGAAAGTGAGAGAGAGTGCCTTTTCATTTCTGTCCCTTCAAATAACAGCAGTGTATCCAAAATTAAGTTCATTCCTCAAAATCTGCTTCATCTTCTCCATTCTGTATCTTAGTAAGCAGCTTTATCATTCATCCAAATGGCTGTGGTGGTCACACTTTCCCTCTCCTCACCCTCCCCATTCAATCTATAATGTCCTCTAAGTTTCATATTCTGAACAATACTTGACTATATCTTTCCTATCCATTCCCATTGCCATGAACCTTGTTCTTGAATGTACTAAATTTTACCTGGACTGAAGCAATTGTTTCTTAATTTTTACCTTTACCTATTTTAAACTTACATAGGTTTACATTGCTAAGTGTTAGAATTTTTACTTTTTGCTAATGCTTTAAATATATTTTCTTAGTTAAAAAAAAAAATCCGGCGGTAGGAGGGACCCTTCCTATATTAACCTGTATCAACCACACAGCTTAATAGGATTAAGAATTAGAAATGTCTATAGTAACAGCACTTTACTATTTTGGGAAATTCTCACCCAGTGAGGTTAAGTTACAAATAATGTTATTGGTTGACAAAGAAACTTCCTAAAAATACATTTATCTGAACAACAGACTGCACAACCAGCTCCCTCTTCAGACAATAGATTACTCATCAGGATTTATAGCCCTCGTGGTACAATATAAAGTATATTTAGCCTTTGCCCCATGTTGATGAAAAAAGCCAAACTCTGTAAAATATTTGAAAAGGTTTATCCTGAGCCAAATGTAAGGGCCATGACCTGTGACACAGCCTCAGGGGGCCCTGAGAACATGGGCCCAAAGTGTATGTGTTATGGCTTGATTTTATACATTTTAGGCAAACACAAGTTACAGGCAAAGACATACATCAATAAATGTAAGTAATACATTGGTTTGGCCCAGAAAGCTGGAACATCTCAAAGCAGGAGCTTCCAGGTCTTAGGTGGATTTAAAGATTTCCTGATTTGCAATTGCTTGAATGAGTTAAGCTTTGCCTAGAGAGTTAAAATCAGCAAAAAGAAATGCTTAGGGTTAAAATAGAGGGCTTATGGAAGCCAAAGTTCTTGTTATATAGATGAAGTCTCCAGGTAAGCAGGCTTCAGAAAGAGTAGATAGTAAATGTCTTTTTTTTTTTTTTTGAGGCAGCATTAACATTAAAGTAGAGATCCTTAGACTCACAGAATAAACTCTTTGTAGCAATAAGATACCAAGTCCAGCCTAACTCTGGTATAACATCACATGACAGATAACAGGCCCTATCTCTCCTAAAAACCCCATCTCTCCTAAAAATACAAGAAATTAGCCAGGTGTGGTGGCACACACCTGTAATCCTAGCTATTTGGGAGGCTGAGGCATGAGAACTGCTTGAACCCAGGAGGCGGAGGTTGTGGTGAGCTGGGATCATGCCACTGCTCTCCAGCCTGGGCAACAGAGTGAGACTCTGTCTCAAAAATAAATACATAAATAAGTAAAGTATTCAGCATGTCAAAGCACCAAACTTTTGGGGTATTATTTTCTGAGTCCCAACATTAGGAAGACTTGTTTGTTCAGCTTCTCTGTGTCCTTGTGTCTTCAGAGATAAGAATGTTTCTTTATTCTGAGTTTAAGGAGGGCACCTCAATAATGGACTTCTGACCTACTTCAGAAAAGAAGGGTGAGGGTAAAGTGGGGATGACCTTCCTAATTCTGCTGTTTTCTTAAATGCCAATGTGCCATATTTTGGGGTATGTGTCCACTGTCATGTCTCCAATGTCTCCTTCTGTGTAGACATCCAAACAGCCCTCTGGCATTCCTTAAACTGAATCAGGCTCTTCTACCTCCCTGGTCTTTGCACACATTGTTCCTGTAGCCCACAGTGTTTGCACACCCCTTTCCACCTGGAAAATCCATTTATCCTTCAGGATAGGACTGGATGTCCCTGATAGTTGGCCATTCCCTCCTCTCTGCTTTCTGAGCATTTTTCATTAATCCATATTTTTAATACTTACCTATGTTATATCTATTTTTCTGCCTCTCCCTTGAACTGAATAATGAGTCATTCCAGAATAAGGATGAGATGATTTTTGTCCAACTGAGGAGCTAGACAACCTGGATTTCATTTCTCTCTCTTCCACTTTCTGTTTGGCTTTGGTCAAGCTACCTAACTGCTCTTTGACTCAGTTTCCTTATATGTAAAGTCGGGGTAATAATAGTGTCTAATTCATAGGATTATTGAATGGATCAAATGAGCTTCTATGTATCCAACTTTGCTGGCAAACCTCCAAGTTTTTCTGTCTTATTCTTTGAACCAGGGCTTCTTTGAATCTATTTTTTTTTTTTTCTGTTTTGTGGGAGCTGGGAAGGTGGTAGTGACCAACAGCACTCAGGATACCAGTGAGATAGCAGAGAGGGAGAGAGACTTACAGAAAATTTAAGAGTGAAGACTTTGGTATGTAGCCTTGCCATGGATGAATAAATGAATGAAAAAATAAAATTTAAAAATATCTAATAGGTGAATGTATGGAGAAAAGACCAAGATGAAAATGGTATGAATTTTAAAAAGCATGAAGGCATAAATGATTCAAGCTTTAGGATACATAACAAATTAATATACAAACATCACTTAAAAATAATGACACCTTGAGTCTATGGTGGAATTCATTGTTTTACTTTAGAATAATAGAATTAAAAGTTCAGGTTTATTGAGCACTTATTACACATAGCATCATTCCCAATGCTCTATTTTTATTATCTCATTAAATCTTCACAACAGCTCTGTTACAGATGAAGAAACAGCATTAAGAAGTTAAGTAAATTGCTCAAATTCATACAACTGATGAGAGTTAGGGCTGCAGTTTGAACCAAAGCAGATGAGGCTCTTTTATACTATTTACAATTCAGATATATATAAATCATGTATTAATTCAGAAATTTGAAGTGCTTGAGAAAAGGCACAGCTATTAATGATTAGATGCCAGCCCAAAAATATGCATTCTCAGGTTTTCACATTCAATGTGACTCCAAAATGAAGCAACTTATTCCAAAATTCTATGGTCAAATCTCTTGAATATCAGTAGTCAGATGTGCTTAGAATTTTCCGATATACATTGCGTGTAATAGAGGAGGAAGGGGAGGTGGAAGACAAGAGAAAGAGAGGAATGGGAAGGATTTATATAAAACAATTCTGAGTCAATGGCTACTTCTGATCAGATGCAATAATTCCAGTAAGCCTCAAGCAAGGCTTCCACCATTAAAGCTAAAGTTATTTCATTTCACCAATTATCTTCAACACATAAATGTGGAGCATTTACTAAGTGTGGCTGCACTACATGCTGCTAATTCAGTAGCATAAACAGCTAGGAGAAAAAGAAACACACAAACCACCAACCATGTAACACTGTCAAGTGCCACAATGGAGGAACAGGAAGGAGAAGAGCACCTGAAGCAATCTGTGTGTAGGGGAAATGATCCTGAAGGAGGTGATTCTAGAGCTAAGCCTTTAAATGTCTCCTGTTCCCCTTCCCACTTAAACAGGTTAGATTGAAGGCTCTTGGTGTATTTCTGTAGAGCTCAGTTTAGAGGAAAACAGTTAAACTCTGGCTTTCCTAGTTGTTTTTTTGAGAGCCAGCCTCATACCTTGCAATTTTGTCCCAAATCAAATATCAACGACCAACAACTGCCTGGCTGGGAAGTCTGGGAAAGGGATACAGAAGCTTTGTGGGCCTAACACCATTCATGTTCCTTACCCTCTGTCTCTCCTCCCTGCATCCCACCTATGGTTCAGTGTTGCAAGAGTCTGGGCTTGGGGTCTTTAAAGCCAGCAAGGGGAAATGATAAAAAGAGAGCTGCTTTCCCTTTCACCTTGAGGTATTTGTCCCTTGGAACAGAGCACAGTTTGGCCAACTCTGGTAGCATTACCCTGTGACACTGTTTTGAGGTCCCCTTCCCTTCTTTCCTCGAGGAGGAATGTCTTCTGTCTTTGGTATTATAGTTCATCTTCCCGTTCTTTTACTTAGAGCATTTGTGCAGGTATGTTTAACACTGTGCATCAGAAAAGAGCCTTTGGTAACCAGTTTTGTTCTTCTTCTGCCACTCCTTCTTGCTTGCATCTTGTTGCTGGCAGAGTCCTCTTGTACTTCAAGAAAGCGAGGTGATTTTGTCTGCTTCTAGAGCAGGTCCGTACCAAGTAATAGAGTCACTTTAGCCTTTACTTGGTGGGTAAGGCCTGATCATAGTATTGTGTCAGATAACGCCTAAGAATGACCTCTGAAGAGCGTTGACCCATTTGAGTGCCCAGTCTCAGTCGTCATGTTTAAGTCCAGTGAGCCTTGTGATAGTTGTTCTCAGATTGCAGTTTCTTATGTTTTGAGTTTGAAGCTGATTTTCAGAATGTTCTTAGAAAAAAAACTGCATTTTTTTCCTTTCTGGATCTGCTTTGTTTGGCTGCTGGGATAGATAAGCACGGGCTTAAAAAATGTGTTCCTACCAGTTTTCTTGCCTTTCCTATTGTACTCTGAATTTCCCTCCCTACCTCCCTCACTGTCTTCCTCTTTCCTTTCTTTCCTTTCTCTCTACCAGGCCATTTTTCAAATTTACATCAAATATACCTCAAGTGTTGGTATATGAGAACATCTGTCACTCCTCTTATCTGAGAAGTGACCGTTTATTTTTAAGATGATGACAGACCTATTTTTAGATATGTTTTCAGTACAATTTTGAACAGCAACCTTTTAGTTAAACATCTTCCAGTGTTAGCAAGGTGAGAAATGTTCATAGGCGAGCCTGCTGTTCTATGTCACCATGTTTTGTATCCCCTTGTCCCCCAGGAACTCTTTCGTTTCCCCTCTAGTTTTTGGGTGTGCATGCTTGGAGTCTGCAGTGGGTGGTTTGTAAAACTGGACCATTCTGCCTTGCTATGAGTTGTTCATAAAAGCCTCATTCTTTTCTCTGACCCTTTAGCTTTTGCATTCACCCTCCTTCCCACCTACCTCTCCAGGGACTATCGACTGACATAATAATCCCGGGAGAATGACTCCCCTCATAGAAAGACTAAAGCATCCATCCCCTCATAGTTAAGTAGCCAATGGTGTCCTGGGAATTTCTGGCTGGATTTGGTGCCCTGAACTTTCTTATTAAGAAATCAGATCCCAGGGTGAGAGTAGAAGGCCATTTGGCCAAGAAAGAAACCTGTTTTTCTTTTGAACTATGAAAAGACCCTGTCTGTGAATACATTTTAGAAAGAAGAGAGAAAGGATGTCTGCAGAACTTTGTTCTGTTTTCTGCTACAAAAATGTGAATAGTTCAGAGTGAAAACATTTTGTGATGGTTGATGTCTCTCGGGAATAAGCTGGATATCCAATGTTTTGGGGGATGCTTTGAGTCTCAAGAATTGATAATCAGAAAAGTATTTTTTGTTTGTTTGTTTAATGTATCCCTGTTCTGATTTTAATTAAACTCCAAGTCTCATTTTACATATTCTTGGAAAAACCTAAAAAAAAAAAGAGAGAGTGAGAGAATGTGGTGATGGAGAGAAGAGGTGAGTGAATGAGTTGGGGAATTACTTTTTTTTTTTTTTTTTTTTTTTTGACACTGAGTCTCCCTCTGTTGCCCAGGCTGGAGTGCAGTAGTGTGATCTCAGCTCACTGCAAGCTTCACCTCCTGGGCTCAAGTGATTCTCCTGCCTCATCCTCCCCAGTAGCTGAGATTATAGGTGCCTGCCATCATGCCTGGCTAATTTTTTGTATTATCAGTAGAGATGGGGTTTCACCATGTTGGCCTGGCTGGTCTTGACATACTTACCTCAGGTGATCCACCTGCCTCAGCCTCCCAAAGTGCTGGGATTACAGGCGTGAGCCACCGCACCCATCCAGAGTTGGGGAGTTACTTTCAAGGTGAGGGAAATAGTTTGAGCAAGCTTCTGAACACTTGCTCAGATATTTCCCTCACCTTAAAAGTAATTCCCCAACTCTAGCCTAACTCCCAAAAGCCCAAACTAAGAAACTCAACGCATGACATTCCCTCAGGCAGAAGGATTGGTTCCAAATGGGACTATGACCCAATTTGTTGCGATAAAACATAAGGGAGAGTTTCAGGGGGCTAATTAGGGAGAGACTCTGTTGCTCTTTGAGAGCTAGTGGAGAAGACACTCTTCCTCTGGTCTGCATAGGATGTAGATGTGAATGCTGGAACTGCAGCGGTTACTTTGCCATTATGAAAGAGCTGGCTTGATAATGAAGCCAATATACTGAGAAGAGCAGAACTGGGAGAGTCATCACAGAGAAAGAGATCTGACTGAAGTCCTTTCTCCGGGAGAGTAGGGCTTCGTTATAAGAACACTCTGGGCTTGTTTCACAAGGGTTACTCTTCCCCTCCCCTTGCCGGGTCTGCAGGGGAATTTTCTCAAATCATTATTAGGAGAACCTGGTGGGTTTCCTGAAGGGCAAGCCTATAAATGTGAGACTGAAGCGTCCAAGTGTTTCTTACTCTCAAGGTAATCCACGCTCAGCCTTTAGCAATTTACCAAAATTACCATTTAAAGTGCATCTACCTGTTTTCACCTCTAGCCGCTTCTACCCCAGGTAAGCAGACCTCTCCTGTGATGTTCTGGATATGCCTGTCTCAACAGATTTCAGGGTGGCCGTCTTCTCTGCAAATTCAGTTCTCTGATGTGTCCAAGGTAAGTCATTTGTTTTTAATTTGTCCAGCTTTTTCTTGTAGTAAGGATAAGTTGACAACTAGCAATGACTCTTTAATCCTAGATGGCCAAATTTACTTGGCCATCTGAACCTTTGCCCATCTGTGCACTTCCTGGTAAAATCCAGTTTTAGCCATCCTTGCTAAGTCAATTTAACAAGAATCCCCTATCTCCAATATCTGATCATCCTGGATATCTTCAGCAAGAATCCTATTAGGTCATATAATAGGTTCATTTGCCTGATGCACAGCAAGTGAATATACTGAGACACTGGGGACTGCAGCAGAGAGAGTTTAATAATCATAGGGCAGCCAAATGAAGAAACAGTAGGAAACCTCAAAACTGCCGCCCTAAAAAAAATTTGGGACAGGAATTTTAGGTGGGCCAAAGTGTGGCAGAGTGGTACAGTTTGCAGAGTGCAGGGTGAAGTCATGGGTTGAGAGATGAAAAAACTACATTGTCATGCTGATTCAGTTTCTCTGTGGAGGTCCTCAAACTGGTTGACATCAGTCATTCCATTGGAATTCCAGATCTAAAGAACATCTTAAGCAATTCTTAAACAAAAGCCTATGACTCTAACATCAGAATTCCTATCTGTAGGAACAATGGGGATGTAAGTGGTCAGTATCTAGTGCTACATGATTCAGTTACAAGGAAGTGAGCCAAAGTGCAGCCTGATTAATGCTTAATTATAACTATATTTCTGTCCAGACCCTGGTGTGTAATTCTTGTTAACCCTGTAAGGATACTTTCAGTTGATTTGGCCAGAGTCCCCCTTATCACAGATGTTTCCTATTAGTAATTTCCATCCACTAGCCCCTACCCTGCTCCCCGCCTATAAATTTCCGCTTTGCCCATGCTGTGTTCACAGTTGAGTCCAATCTCTTTCCTCCACTGCAAGACCCTGTTGCAGTGGCCCCGTGCCTATCTCAATGGTCTTAAATAAGGTCTTCTTTAATATGCTTTAGCAAATATCACTGAATAATTTTTTCTTTAATACAACTTCCAAGTTTTTTACATATTACAGCTAAAACTGTAATTCCTTTCTATTAATAGTTCAGTATTGTATTTTCTGTGTGAAAAGTCTTTAGAAGTTATTCCGCATGTGTAGGGGGTTTCCAGCACTAAGATTGATCATAGATTGGGTAAGATTGACATAATAGAGAAACTGTATTTCCTATGCAGGAAATGTTTTTGACCAGAAAAAATAGTATTTAATCAGGTGGAAATTCCGTTCTGATTTCCCCTTCTTTTAATAATCATCTTCTTTTTTTTTTTTTTTTTGAGGTGGAGTCTCACTCTGTTTTGCACAGGTTGGAGTGCAGTAGCATGATTTTGGCTAACTGCAAACTCCGCCTCCCAGGGTCAAGTGATTCTCCTGCCTCAACTTTCTGAGTAGCAGGACTATAGGCACAGGCCTGGCTAATTTTTGTATTTGTAGTAGAGGTGGGGTTTCGCCATGCTGGCCAGGCTGGTCACGAACCCCTGACCTTAAGTGATCCACCTGCCTGAGCCTCCCAAAGTGCTGGGATTACAGGCGTGAGCCACTGTGCCTGGCCCCTTCTTTTAGTCTTCTATTTTATAATGACAACAACAAATTTAGAGATGGAGAACATGGATATGAAAGTGATGTGTCACTGAGTCTTTTTACTTACTGCATGAACAAGAGTAATATTTTTTCAGTTTTATTGAGGTATAATTGACAAATAGAAATTGTATTTAAGGTATACAACTCGATGTTTTGTATATGTATACATTGTGAAATTAAAACCACAGTCAAGCTAATTACAGTATCAATCAACTCACATAGTTATCATCTTTTCTTTCTCTCTGTGTGGGGAGGTGGAGGATCAGAACTCTTAAGCTCTACCCTCTTAGCATATTTCAGTTATAAAATACAGTGTTAACCATAGTCACCATGCTGTGCATTAGCTCTCTAGAACTTACTCATCTTGTGTAACTGAAACTTTGTAAAAAGTAACAGGAGTTTTAAATTATTTTAAAAATTTTCATTCTTAGTTGTAAATTGACAAATTATAGTTGTATATATTTATGGGATACAAAGTGAGGTTACAATTTATGAATAGAATGTAAAATAATTAAATCAAGCTAATTAACATATCTATCACCTCAAGTATTTCCTGTGGTGAGAACACTTGCAATTTTTTCTTAGCAATTTTGAAATGTATATTATTTACTACATTCACCATACTGTGTAATATGTCACAAAGAAAAAAACTTATTTCTCCTTTCTGAGGCTTTTTACCTTCTGACCATCACCTCCCCATTGCCCTCATCCCCTCAGCTTCTATAACCACCATTCTACTCTCTGCTTCTTTGAGTTTGATTGTTTTACATTCCATATATGAGAAAGTGTATTTGTCTTTCTATGCCTTGGCTTATTTTAGTCAGCATAATGTTCTCCAATTCCATTTATGTTGTCACGAATGACAGATTTTCCTTCACTTTTAAAGCTGAATAGTATTTCCTTGTGTGTATATACCACATTTTCTCTATCTGTTGACAGACACTTAGGTTGGTTCCATATATTGTTCCAATGTTCCAAGTTTCAATATTCCAACTTGGATATTATGAATAGTGCTGCAATGAACATGGGAGCACAGATATTTTTTGACATATCAATTTAAAGTATTTTGTATAAACACCCAGAAGCAGGGTTGCTAGATCATATAGTAGTTCTGTTTTTAATTTTTGAGTCACTGCCATAGTGTTTTCCATGGTGGCTGTATGAATTTACATTCCCACCAACCATGTACAATGTTTCCCTTATCTCCACAATTCTTATACATCGACCTGAAGCATTCCCTCAGAGATTAGGTGAGGAATGGAAGAATTTCAAGCTCGCCTCCTTGCCCATTTCCCTAGTCCAGGAGCAGAGCAGCCCACCACATTAGCCATCCAGTGGCCTGTTGTCCAGCTTGTGCGGCTTTCTCTGGGGCTGTCATCCCAGGTAAAGGTTATTTAGGAGATGATACCAAAGTAAGGGGGACAATGATGAAGATTCTGCTTCCGCCTGTGCCCACCTCAACCTTCTCCATTCAGGAGAACCTAGTCATAAGTGCTGAAGCATTAGTAGCTGCTGAGAAGTTCTCTGATGAAGACTGGAGAATAAACTTGTTACATGAACCCTTAATGAAAGCCTTCTACCTTCCAAGACACCACGAAAAAAAGAAAATGCAGTCCTACTGCTTAGATAGATCTTTCAAGGGATCTCTACCTGATGCTAAAAGCATGTGTATACACTACTTAGCTTGTGCTCATTTAAGCATTTGCTGAGAAAGTGATGGATTTATTTATTTAACAATTGCTCGTGAATGGACCTTGGCTATTTTAGCTGTTCACTAGCTTTGACTACAAAAACTTAAAATGTAGATTACAGCGTGGCTGAACTATATGTCAATTAGGTTAAAAAAATCCATAAACTGTCTTTGTAAATGATAGGCGTAATCCTTACCACATAAAATTCCTGCACAGAGGGCATATGGTTTATGGTAAATTAGAGCTGTGTGATCTCCAGTAATTTAATTCAAAATATTGCCTGAGGTGATTGTGTCTCTTGGGTTATGTTTTTACAAGGCATGAGGCCCTGCTCTGGCTACAAAATGACTGGAGTAGAGTGAGCTTAAAACAAGAGTTCTGTAATGAAGCTTGATAATTGTTAATGCCAGTGTGCTCTCAATTTGCATGCTGCTTAGATGTCTGGAATTTCTGGTGTGTCCCCCTTCCTGGAGCTCTAGAATGCACCACAGCCACCCTTTAGCAGATCCGGTAGAGGAAGATGGTCACATGTGTGACCACCATTTCAGGACAGATAGAGGACATTTGGGGTCTAGACCTCTTGGGATACAAAATAAATATTTTTATTAATTTTCATGGCTTGAAGATGTCTCAGTTTTCTAAGTCTCCACTTATCAAATAGAGAGACTCTATCTACTTAATTCTGTGATGTTGGGTTTGCCTAACTCGGGATGGCAGTGGCCCCAGGTATCACCCTTGGGTTACCTGTTGCCCTCAGAGGCATAATCACACACACAATAAAAGACTCTTGAAACTCTGTGTTTCACCTTTCATTCTGAAAGCATGAATTTGCAAGATGACTGACTGGACAGAGTGATTGTCTTTGGCTAGGGAACCTAGAGTATATTGTAAACACCTGTATTCCCCCTACACTGGGGAATAGGGACAGTGTTGTGTTGACAGTTGTAAACCTAGACTCTAGACAGTGCCTAACACATATACAGTTTTGTATACATTTTTTAATAAAAGTTTTGTATAAATTTATAAATACTCATAAATATTTGTCAAACCAAAGCACAAAACCAGTGTCCCAGTTAACACCTATATTAGGGTTCTCTTAGAGGGACAGAACTAATAGGATAGATATATATGAGTTTATTAAGTATTAACTTACACGACCACAAGGTCCCACAATAGGCTGTCTGCAAGCTGAGCAGCAAGGAGAGCCAATCTGTGTCCCCAAACTGAAGAACTTGGAGTCCAATGTTCGAGGGCAGGAAGCATCCAGCATGGGAGAAAGATGCAGGTTGGGAGGCTAGGCCCATCTCTCCTTTTCACATTTTTCTGCCTGCTTCATATTAGCTGGAAGCTGATTGGATTGTGCCCATCAGATTAAGCGTGGATCTGCCTTCCCCAGCTCACTGACTCAAATGTTAATCTCTTTTGGCAACACCCACAGAGACACACCCAGGATTAATACTTTGTATCCCTCAATCCAATCCAGTTGATACTCAGTATTAACCATCACAACCATCACAATCCCAATCCTAAGAAAAAAAAAAAATCCTTAGCAGGGCTGTGTGATTACCAAAGGAATTGTGTACCAAACCCCTACACTGGGTTCTGGGTAAGGCTGAGATCCAGTGACTGAAGGACAGCCAGAGGAAGCCTATATAGAGTATGCTTGAGAAAGGCAAAGAGAGAAAGGGTTTTCATTCTCCCTGTTCTAAAAAGAAACAAAAAAGTGATGGCAGTTGTGTTTGGGAATAGGAAAGAATGAAATGCTGAGAATCTACCTCACTGTTGGCTTCTTGGTGACCTCCAGTTAACTCTCAAACCCTCCCTTCCCACCTATTTCCCCACCCACTACCTTCTCCACTCTGCCAGGACTGAGAGTCTTCCCTCTCAACTGGCTGAATGCTGCTTCTTACAGTTTTGCCATTTATTGCTACCCTTGTTTACAGTCCTTCATCTCTGTTCCAAGACCATTTAAATTAATTTTGCAAATAAGATTTCACAAGACACTGCATAATATGCTTCAATAGGATCCAGACATATTATGTTTACTGTATAGCAAATTAGCAAATTAGCTTTTGCACAGATTATAATTTATTGTTTTACTTATGCATTTCATTACTTCTCTTCCTATTTTTCACTATACAAAGCTGCCTGAGTTACAACAACTGGCTGCTGAATAATACAACATCTTCTCATGCTACAGCTCAGCAGAAATTTTTCAAACACATGCCGCATGGGTAATACTGAACCGTGCAATTGTACAGGAGTTCATTAAAAGCAAACTTTCAAAAGCAAATCAGAAAGGAAAATCATGTTTTATGAAATATATATCTAGAGTTCTGGGCTCAGACTCTAGGAGACAAAAATTAAGCTTATAAAAAAATTTCTAAGAATCTTTATCGAATTTTGACATTTATGACAGCCTTGTGCCTAACTGTTTGGTGTCTTATTCTGGTTCAAATAAAAATGACTTCAGTATCTGGAGGTAGAATGTGTGTTACAAAGGCATAGAACAGTACACAAAGGAGCTGGTGCTTGCTGTTAGGCTTGCCAAATTATCCTTGCCACAGGAGATTCAAAAAATAAGCTTCAAAGAGTTGGCAGCCTCTGTTCCTGTGATGTCTATAGTGGTTGCTCTATGTGAGCATTTGTGAAGCTTGTGAGCATCATAAATGAGGTCACTGTGTTCACCTCTGTTTCTTGTATCTCTGTGATTTTGTGCCACCCTAGTTAGCCGTTTCTCTAACTCAGCCACAGATGTGATGCTTGCCCTCCGAGGAAGAGCAGAAAGCCTCTGAGCATTGACCTTGGACACTCATTTGTAATTTAGAGAAGAAAAGGTGATGAATATGCTAATTAGCCTGATTTTATCTTTTCGTGTATTGAAACATCACGTTGCACCCCATAAACATATACAATTATTCTTTGTCAATTAAACATTTAAAAAATCATAAAATAATGAATACAACAAAGGTAGGTTAGGAAAGGCAGATGGAATGAGAAGTAATGTTTCTCCAAGTTGGTTTTTTTTTACACAGGTGTCTGTGAACAAGCCAAACAACACTGACACAGCTGCTTCAGTTTGGCACCCTCTGCCGTTTAGAGCCAAGTGTTGACAGGGGATAGGATGGTGCAGAAAAACATTTTTATGTGTATTATCTCTTCAGCTTTCGAAAGGTGCTTATCCTCACTCTATTGACACAGGATGCTCCAAAATAGCGTAACTGATGGCAGAACGAGGAGGTCTGAATCCTTAAGGAAAAATTCCCCAGGATCAGGATCTGCCCCTTCTCTCCCTCTGGGAGATAGTGTGATATGGAGGGAAAAAAAAAGCCTCCCCTACTCCTCCCTTTTTTCCTTTTTTTTTTTGGTGTGTGTGTGTGTGTGTGTGTGTGTGTGTGTGTGTGTGTGTGTGTGTGTGTGTGTGTCTGAATCTAGCTCTGTCATCCAGGCTGGAGTGCAGTGGTGCAATTATAGCTCACTGCAGCCTTGACCTCCTGGGTTCAAGCAATCCTCCTGCCTCAGTTTGTGTCTGGGAATACAGGCATGCATCATTATGCCTGGCTAGTTTTTAAATTTTTTGTAGACAGGGGGGTCTCACTATGTTGCCCGGGCTAGTCTTAAACCCTTGGCCTCAAAGAATCCTCCTGCCTCAGCCTCTCAAAGCACTGGGATTACAGGCATGAGGCACTGCAACATACCCCTGCCTCTTTTTTTTTTTTCCCAAATTTTGCAATCACTTTCTACTTATGAGAGCCTGGCCGTGTTACTGAAAATCTGTGAGCCTCAGTTTCCCACCTGTAAAATAGGAAAAAGATTACTTACTTTTCTTATTGTGTCTTAAATGTTGTTGTGACATTTGAGGTGTTCATTAGATAACTGTTGCCTTCCTCTCACAAACTGCATCATCAGTACCAAATAACCAGCTCCTGAGAACCATCTGTGGTGGACATGGCAAAAGAAGCGACTGCCAGTTCTGTTATCCGCAGATAAGGTTAACTGTTTCCACATTGCCTGAAGATGCAGCAGTGGTTATTGTCTCTAACAAGCACATTCCTGCTGAGTGTTTAACTCCTGCAAAATGAAGGTTACCCAAGTAGATGCTACACATAAATGAGTCATGAATCCTGCAAAATCTTTGTAACTCACTCTCAATACCCCTTTTTAAAGTTATATAAACTTCAGATAAGATGACTCTGGGTGGATCTCTTGGAATCCGTCCTACTCTAAGGGTCTTACATATTCAAAAGGCATTTGGGATGAGCTTCTCATCTCACCCCACCAAACTAATGATAATGGAGAACAATAACACCTCATGGCAGAATTTATCTCTTTTAAATGTGGCAATAGAGAAAATAATTACTGCCTCTGTTTCCTATCTTCTTTGGTTTAGCATTTATGCGCCCTTGTTAGAAGAAGTTTAGATATAATTAATCCCAAACTGAGCCCTAATAGAGTTCCTAACTGTAGGTACAGTCTCACTATCCAATAGATTTTTCTGCAATGTTGGAATGTTCTAATACCTGTGCTGCCCAATATGGTAGCCACCACATGTGACTGTTGACATGTGAAATGTGGCAAGTGCAATTAAGAACTAAATTTTTTTTTAATTTACATAGCCATGTGTGGCTGACGTCTACTGTGTTGGACAGTTTAGGTTAGGGCTGTAGATTGGGTTTATTTTCATATATATGATTGAAAACCTGAAGGAAATACAGATGACACTGAGAGAGAATCCATATATTGCTTCTACTTTTACTTATTAAATGGTCTCCCAAGTAGCTGGCCCTCAAGGGTTTATAAAATATAGTTATTTAGTACAATTGCCATATTTCTAATAATCGATATCCCAATAGGATCATATCATTGTGCCATTTTTGTTATATTTGTCATGAATATTTCAAAGCCAAACTTATTAGAATCATTTCAGTATAGTCACTTCCAAATGGAAATGTTAGCTGATAGGAGCAACTAATATTTAGACCACTGAGCCTAAGGAACTGAATTGGAAAGAGGGTTATATATTCTTACTCTTCTTCCATTTCCTGACACACTGCAACTACCATTGTCTTTTCTTAAACCATAACTCACTATCTCAATATTTTATTAAGCTAACACATATATAGTACTTATAAGATAAGACACTATTCTAAAACAAATGCCTTGTCTACCCATATTCATGTTGGAAGAGAGAGCACACAAGAATACACTGAAATTTTTACTGATATGTAAAAGTGTATTTTTGCTATGACTGAGGAAACAACTCATATATATCTATATATCTATATATATATATATATATACACACACACACACTTTAAGTTATAGGGTACATGTGCACAACAAGCAGGTTTGTTACATAGGTATACATGTGACATGTTGGTTTGCTGTACCCATCAACTCATTTACATTAGATATTTCTCCTAATGCTATCCCTCCCCCAGCCCCCCACCCCCTGATAGGCCCCAGTGTGTGATGTTCCCCACCCTGTGTCCATGTGTTCTCATTGTTCAACTCCCACCTATGAGTGAGAACATGTGGTGTTTGGTTTTCTGTCCTTATGATAATTTGCTCAGAATGATGGTTTCCAGCGTCATCCATGTCCCTGCAAAGGACATGGACTCATCCTTTTTTATGGTGGCATAGTATTCCACGGTGTATATGTGCCACATTTTCTTAATCCAGTCTATCATTGATGTACATTTGGGTTGGTTCCAAGTCTTTGCTATTGTGAATAGTGCTGCAATAAACATATGTGTGCATGTGTCTTTATAGTAGTATGATTTATTATCCTTTAGATGTATACCCAGTAATGGGATGGCTGGGTCAAATGGTATTTCTAGTTCTAGATTCTGGAGGAATCACCACACTGTCTTCCACAATGGTTGAACTAATTTACACTCCCACCAACATTGTAAAAGCATTCCTATTTCTCCACATCCTCTCCAGCATCTGTTGTTTCCTTTTTTAATGATCGCCATTCTAACTGGCATGAGATGGTATCTCATTGTGGTTTTGATTTGCATTTCTCTGATCACCAGTGATGATGACCATTTTTTCATGTGTCTTTTGACTGCATAAATGTCTTCTTTTGAGAAGTGTCTGTTCATATCCTTTGCCCACTTTTTGATGGGGTTTTTTTTTTCTCGTAAATTGAAGTTCTTTGTGGATTCTGGATATTAGCCATTTGTCAGATGGATAGATTGCAAAAATTTTCTCCCATTCTGTAGGTTGCCTGTTCACTATGATGGTAGTTTCTTTTGCTGTGCAGAAGCTCTTTAGTTTCATTGATCCTATTTGTCTATTTTGGCTTTTGTTGCCATTGCTTTTGGTGTTTTAGTCATGAAGTCCTTGCCAATGTCTATGTCCTGAATGGTATTGCCAGGGTTTTTATGGTTTTAGGTCTTATAATTTAAGTCTTTAATCCATCTTGAGTTAATTTTTGTATAAGGTGTAAAGAAAGGATCCAGTTTCAGCTTTCTACATATGACTAGCCAGTTTTCCCAACACCATTTATTAAATAGGGAATCCTTTCCCCATTGCTTGTTTTTCTCAGGTTTGTCAAAGATCAGATAGTTGTAGATATGCGGCGTTATTTCTGAGGGCTCTGTTCTGTTCCATTGATCTATATCTCTGTTTTGGTACCAGTACCATGCTGTTTTTGGTTACTGTAGCCTTGTAGTATAGTTTGAAGTCAGGTAGCGTGATGCCTCCAGCTTTGTTCTTTTGGCTTAGGATTGACTTGGCGATGCGGGCTCTTTTTTGGTTCCATATGAACTTTAAAGTAGTTTTTTCCAGTTCTGTGAAGAAAGGCATTGGTAGCTTGATGGGGATGGCATTAAATCTATAAATTACCTTGGGCAGTATGGCCATTTTCATGATATTGATTCTTCCTATCCATGAGCATGGAATGTTCTTCCATTTGTTTGTGTTCTCTTTTATTTCATTGAGCAGTGGTTTGTAGTTCCCCTTGAAGAGGTCCTTCACATCCCTTGTAAGCTGGATTCCTAGGTATTTTATTCTCTTTGTAACAATTGTGAATGGGAGTTCACTCATGATTTGGTTCTCTGTCTGTTTTTTGTGTACAGGAATTCTTCTGATTTCTGCACATTGATTTTGTATCCTGAGACTTTGCTGAAGTTGCTTATCAGCTTAAGGGGATTTTGGGCTGAGACAATGGGGTTTTCTAAATATACAGTAATGTCATCTGCAAACAGGGACAATTTGACTTCCTCTTTTCCTAATTGAATACCCTTTATTTCTTTCTCTTGCCTGATTTCCCTGGCCAGAACGTCCAACACTATGTTGAATAGGAGTGGTGAGAGAGGGGCATCCTTTTCTTGTGCCAGTTTTCAAAGGGAGTGCTTCCAGTTTTTGCCCATTCAGTATGATACTGGCTGTGGGTTTGTCATAAATAGCTCTTATTATTTTGAGATATGTTCTATCAATACCTAGTTTACTGAGAGTTTTTAGCATGAAGCACTGCTGAATTTTGACCAAGGCCTTTTCTGCATCTATTGAGATAATCATGTGGTTTTTGTCACTGGCTCTGTTTATGTGATGGATTACATTTATTGATTTGCATATGTTGAACCAGCCTTGCATCCCAGGGATGAAGCCGATTTGATCGTGGTGGATAAGCTTTTTGATGTGCTGCTGAATTTGGTTTGCCAGTATTTAATTGAGGATTTTGCATCAATGTTCATCACGGATATTGTCTAAAATCCTCTTTTTTTGTTGTGTCTCTGCCACGCTTTGGTATCAGGATACCTCATAAAATGAATTAGGGAGGATTCCCTCTTTTTCTGTTGATTGGAATAGTTTCAGAAGGAATGGTACCAGCTCCTCTTTGTACCTCTGGTAGAATGTGGCAGTGAATCCATCTGGTCCTGGACTTTTTTTGGTTGGTAGGCTATTAATTATTGCCTCAATTTCAGAGCCTGTTATTGGTCTATTCAGCAATTCAACTTCTTCCTGGTTTAGTCTTGGGAAGGTATATGTGTCCAGGAATTTATCCACTTCTTCTAGATTTTGTAGTTTATTTCCATAGAGGCATTTATAATATTCTCTGATGGTAGTCTGTGTTTCTGTGGGATTGGTGGTGATATCCCCTTTATCATTTTTTACTGTGTCTGTTTGATTATTCTCTCTTTTCTTCTTTATTAGTCTGGCCAGCGGTTTATCTATTTTGTTGATCTCTTCAAAAAACCAGCTCCTGGATTCATTGATTTTTTTTTTTTTGAAGGGTATTTTGTGTCTCTATCTCCTTCAGTTATTCTCTGATCTTAGTTATTTCTTGCCTTCTGTTAGCTTTTGAATTTGTTTGCTCTTGCTTCTCTAGTTCTTCTAATTGTGATGTTAGGGTGTCAATTTTAGATCTTTCCTGCTTTCTCTTGTGGGCATTTAGTGCTATAAATTTCCCTCTACACACTGCTTTAAATGTGTCCCAGAGATTCTGGTACGTTGTGTCTTTGTTCTTATTGGTTTCAAAGAACATCTTTATTTCTGCCTTCATTTTGTTATTTACCCAGTAGTCATTCAGAAGCAGGTTGTTCAGTGTTCATGTAGTTGAGCAGTTTTGAGTGAGTTTCTTAATCTTGAGTTCTAAATTGATTGCACTGTGGTCTGAGAGACAGTTTGTTATAATTTCTGTTCTTTTACATTTGTTGAGGAGTGTTTTACTTTTAATTACGTGGTCAATTTTAGAATAAGCATGATGTGGTTCTGAGAAGAATGTGTATTCTGTTGATTTTGGGTGGAGAGTTCTGTAGATGTCTATTAGGTCTGCTTGGTGCAGAGCTGAGTTCAAGTCCTGGATATCCTTGTTATCCTTCTGTCTCATTGATCTGTCTAATATTGACAGTGGTGTGTTAAAGTCTCCCATTATTGTGTGGGAGTCTAAGTCTCTTTATAGGTCTCTAAGGACTTGCTTTATAAATCTGGGTGCTCCTGTATTGGGTGCATATGGATTTAGGATAGTTAGTTGTTCTTGTTGAGTTGATCCCTTTACCATTATGTAATGCCCTTCTTGGTCTCTTTTGATCTTTGTTGGTTTAAAGTCTGTTTTATCAGAGTCTAGGATTGCAACCCCTGCTTTTTTTTGCTTTCCATTTGCTTGATAGATCTTCCTCCATCCATTTATTTTGAGCCCGTGTGTGTCTCTGCACATGAGATAGGTCTCCTGAATACAGCAAACTGATGGGTTGTGACTCTATCCAATTCGCCAGTCTGTCTTTTAATTGGGGCATTTAGACCATTTACATTTAAGGTTAATATTGTTATGTGTGAATTTGATCCTGTCATTATGATGTTAGCTGGTTATTTTGCCAGTTAGTTGATGCAGTTTCTTCATAGCATCAATGGTCTTTACAATTTGGTATGTTTTTACAGTGGCTAGTACTGGTTGTTCCTTTCCATGTTTAGTGCTTCCTTCAGGAGCTCTTGTAAGGCAGGCCTGGTGGTGATAAAATCTCTCAGCATTTGCTTGTCTGTAAAGGATTTTATTTCTCCTTCACTTATGAAGCTTAGTTTGGCTGAATATGAAATTCTGGGTTGAAAATTCTTTTCTTTAAGAATGTTGAATATTGACCCCCACTCTCTTCTGGCTTGTAGGGTTTCTGCTGAGAAATCAGCTGTTAGTCTGATGGGCTTCCCTTTGTGGGTAACCAGACCTTTCTCTCTGGCTACCCTTAACATTTTTTCCTTCATTTCAACCTTGGTGAATCTGATGATTATGTGTCTTGGGGTTGCTCTTCTCGAGGAGTATCTTTGTGGTGTTCTATGTATTTCCTGAATTTGAATGTTGGCCTGCTTTGTTAGGTTGGGGAAGTTCTCCTGGATAATATCCTGAATAGTGTTTTCTAACTTGGTTCCATTCTCCCTGCCACTTTTAGGTACACCAATCAAATGTAGATTTGGTCTTTTCATAGTCCCATATTTTTTAGAGGCTTTGTTCATTTCTTTTCACCCTTTTTTTCTCTAATCTCGTCTTCTTGCTTTATTTCATTAATTTGATCTTCAGTTGCTGATATCCTTTCTTCCACTTGATCGAATTGGCTACTGAAGCTTGTACATGCATCATGTAGTTCTCGTGCTATGGTTTTCCGCTCCATCAGTTCATTTAACAACCTCTCTACACTGTTTATTCTAGTTAGCCATTCGTCTAACCTTTTTTCAAGGTTTTTTGCTTCCTTGCAATGGGTTAGAACATGCTCCTTTAGCTCGGAGACGTTTGTTATTACTGATCTTCTGAAGCCTACTTTTGTCAACTCGTCAAACTCATTCTCTGTCCAGTTTTGTTCCATTGCCAGCGAGGAACTGCGATCTTTTGGAGGAGAAGAGGCATTCTGGTTTTTTGGAATTTTCAGCTTTTCTGCTCTGGTTTCTCCCCATCTTTGTGGTTTTATCTACCTTTGGTCTTTGATTTTGGTGACCTACAGATGGGGGTTTGGTGTGGATGTCCTTTTTGGTTGCTGTTGATGCTATTCCTTTCTGTTTGTTAGTTTTCCTTCTAACAGTCAGGCCCCTCAGCTGCAGTTCTGTTGGAGTTTGCTGGAGGTCCACTCCAGACCCTGTTTGCCTGGGTATCACCAGCGGAGGCTGCAGAACAGCAAATATTACAGAATAGCAAATATTGCTGCCTGACCCTTCCTCTAGAAGCTTCATCCCAGAGGGGCACCCGACTGTATGAGGTGTCTATCGCCCCCTACTGGGAGGTGTCTCCCAGTCAGGCCACACAGGGGTCAGGGACCTACTTGAGGAGGCAGTCTGTCCATTCTCAGAGCTTGAACACCATGCTGGGAGAACCACTGTTCTCTTCAGAGCTGTCAGACAGCAACATTTAAGTCTGCAGAAGTTGTCTGCTGCTTTTGTTCAGTGATGCCCTGCCCTCAGAGGTGGAGTCTATACAGGCAGTAGGCCTTGCTGAGCTGTAGTGGGCTCCACCCAGTTCGAGCTTCCTGGCCACTTTGTTTACCTACTCAAGCCTCAGCAGTGGAGGATACCCCTCCCTGCACCAGGCTGCAGCCTCACAGGTCAGTCTCAGACTGCTGCGCTAGCAGTGAGCAAGGCTCTGTGGGCATGGGACTCACTGAGCCAGGCACGTGGCAAAAAACCTTGAAAACCTTGAAAACCTTGAAAAAAGGTTAGACGAATGGCTAACTAGAATAAACAGTGTAGAGAGGTTGTTAAATGAACTGATGGAGCTGAAAACCACAGCACTTAGCCAGTTGCTAAGACTGTGGGAAAAGTGCAGTATTTGGCAGTATTTGGGCAGAGGTGTACCATTCCTCCACGTATATTTTGTCATGGCTTCCCTTGTCTAGGAACAGGAAATACCCTGACCCCTTGCACTTCCTGGGTGAGACTACACCCTGCCCTGCTTTGGCTTGGCCTCTGTGAGTTTCACCCACTGTCCAACCAGTCCCAATGAGATAAACCAGGTACCTCAGTTGGAAATGCAGAAATCACCCGTCTTCTGTGTCAATCTCGCTAGGAGCTGCGGACCAGAGCTGTTCCCATTCGGCCATCTTGGACTCTGTCTTATGTTTGGAAACAACTCTAATGGTGATGCCTGTGAGCTGGAGCATTAGCCTGAATGCCACCTGCAATGCAGGTAAAGCAAGGTACAACCTAACATGACTAGATTAGAAGTGTGGCATAGCAGCCAGCTGGCACCAAGGGAAGGCGGCGAGTTATCTGAAGTATACAGGAAAATATAATAGAGTGTGCTCAAGGCAGTAAATAATTTTACCTAAATAGTTACATGATGCTGAAGGGCCAATTCATAACTAGCGGGTTTACTATAAATGCTTTTGTAAACATTTTGAAACACTGCTATGAAGTTGTAGAGTTGTGATTATTGATGTGTGGTATTGGAGTACTTTAATATTTTGATCTCTTGAGTGTACCCACCAACATTTTAGTATTAAAAATAAAAGTTTAAAAAGATGAATGCAAACCATTGCTCTACAATGTCTGTATTTTCCCCTAAAGAACCATTCTATGCCATTCTCTGAGCCTAATTCATTATTTTCATCCTTCCTTCTAAAAATTACATTCTTAGCTATCCCAGTTAATTCCCAGAACTGTATCTCTCCCAAAGAAAACAGCCAGCAGCTGACCAATTTCTTACTCAATACTGTGCAAAAAGTCATTTTGGAGGCTCCCTTAGTAGAAAGGAAAGGTACTATGTATCCCTACTGTATTAGTCCATTCTCACATTCCTATAAATAAATACCTGAGACTGGGTAATTTATAAAGTAAAGATGTTTAATTGGATTATGGTTCCACAGGCTGTACAGGAAGCCTGGCAGTATCAGCATCTGGTGAGGCCTCAGGGAACTTTCAATCATGGCAGAAGGTGAAGAGGGAGCAAGCACTTCACATGGCTGGAGCAAGAGAAAGGCGAGGGGAGATGCTACACACTTTTAAAACAATGAGATCTTATGATAACTCACTCACTATCATAAGAACAGCACCAAGGGGATAGTGCTACACCATTCGTGAGAACTCTGCCCCCATGATCCAATCACTTCCCATCAGGCTCCACCTCCAACATTGGGGATGACAGTTAAACTTTAGATTTGGGCAGGGACACAGATTCAAACCATATCACCTACAATAACTCTTACCATGCTGTTGGCAAAACCAAAGGAGTCAGTAGAGTCTGGAAACATCTCCAAATATTATACAATTTTTCCATGAAGAGATATTGGCCAAGAGGCCAGAAAGGAAGGATATCTTAAATGCATCTGTAGATATTAAGATAATTGTGTGTATTATTGCATAACAGAGAGGGAATAATGAAGGCTAGAGGATAAACATGTTCACATAGATTCCCTGTTAGTGGCCTTTTTCCCCACGTAGGAGGGGAACTCATCCTCACAGAACTACACAGAAGGGAGTTTAAGGTGTATTTCTCAGGCATTGGATAAGAGGTTTTGAGGATAGCAGAGTCCAGGGCCCACTCTGTTGGCTTCCCATTTGCCTTAGTTATTAAATCATCACCTTTTGGTTCCAAACTCATTCAAGACTACTACTTTGCTTCACAATGAGGGCTGGGACTCAGAAAACCACATTTCTGTTTTGCCAGCTAGTCCTGTTAGACTCTGCCAGTAGGGGGACTGGGGAGGACTGCAAGGCTGGAGAAGGAAAGAGAACATGTTCTTTTCTGTGTGCTCCTGGTTTCCTGTGGTCTTCCCATTACTGTGAGTAACACCTCAGGAATGTTCTTCATCTCAGCAGCAACAGTTCCTAGTAATAACTGAATTGGTGTTTCCTTTTTCCAACACTTACAGAACCAGCTTCATCATGCCTCCCCACAAAACCTCCAGTACCAACAAAGCCATACCCTCTCTTTGGAGATCTGGGACCCCACAGGGTCCCTCCTTCAAGTTTGAAAGTGTTCATAGTTCTAACCTGTTACCTGTGTTCTTTCAGCCCCAGGGGTGGTAGCATAGCTGCTTCCTGCAGTAGCCAACTCTATAGCACCTAACTTTTCACCACTTTAGTTACGTATTGACAACTTACTTACAACCTACTTAGGGCATTCCTTTTCTTTTTTTCTTTTTCTTTTTCTTTTTTTTTCTTTGAGACAGGGTCTCTCTCTCTCTCTCTCTCTCTGCCAAACCAGGCTGAGAGAGTACAGTGGTACAATCATAGTTCACTGCCACATGGAACTCCTGAGCTCAAGAGATCCTCCCATCTCAGCCTCTGGAGTAGCTAGCACTACAAGTGCATGCCACCATGTGCAGCTAAATTTTTTTTAACTTTTTGTAGAGACGGGGTCTTACTATGTTGCCCAGATCCATTCTTTGTTCTAATAACAAGTGTGGTTTCTCTCTCCTGCTTGGACCCAGACTGATGTACCTCTGAAATGGTCGTTTCAATGAACAAATAGATACTTGGGATGTACCAAACGTTAATAACTGATTTTTTGGAGCTGGGTGATTCTGCTAAGCCATGTGGTACTTGTGAGTCACCAGCAGTGGCAGTGGCTAAAAAATGCTACAGTGAAATGGAGTCACACCACCTTAAAAAAGCCTTTCAAGTCATACAATATTTGAATTGTTTACTTACCCGTAACTACTGGACTGCAAGCTCTATGAGGTGAATGATGATGTCCTGTTGATAGTTTTATCTTCAGTTTCAATGTGTACTTGTTGAATAAGTAAATAAATGAATGAAAAATTTAAGCATTTAATGTAGTTTTAGATGATAGCAAATTTAACCACATATTCAAGGACCTCCTTCCGCAATAAAAGTTTAAAAATCAGGTTAAAATGGAAAAGAATCCCTTTATAAATTTAAGGGTGAACTTTCCACATTCCTTTTTATTCTACAATTTCTGCTCTCCCTCAGTTTCCAGACATCATTGTGAGCTCTTTAGGCCCTCGGTTCTTTCAACATTTTTAATTACCTTAAAACATCCTTCAACTCTAGCAGTCTTGGCAATCTTATTATCTCGAAGGGACAAGGAGCAAAGATTAGTAGATTAGTTGTTTTATCATTTAAGTAATGAGAATTTTACACTTCTCTAAAGAGATTTATGAGAGTAATTAGTCTAAGCAGGAGTTTTCAGCATGAATGTTACTAGGTGTAATAATTAACCCTAGCGGGGTGAGTTACTGCCTAGTAACTTGACAATCATTGAGGATGGCATGAAATTTCAGTTTTAGGCATTTGGAAATATTTATAAATATGCATTACTAATAAGCATTTAATAAAACACTAAATTTAATTATAAAAACATCAATATAAAACAAAGTATTGGCAAGTTTCATGTTTTATTAGCTTTTTTTTGTGTTCTTACAATATAATTACTTGTCAAAGAAATGAGAGGGCAGCATTATATACTACCAGAGCACTAGTGTTAGAGTTAGATCTCAGCTCTGCCATGTGCTAGCTCTATGACTCTGGTTAATTCATTTGACCATCCAAACCTCAGGTTTCTTCAGCTTCAAAACAGGTGGTAAAAAGTGATATCTAAGTCCTCTCTCAACCCTGGCTATCTATAACTATAAAAGACACAAACATAAATTAAGTAGCTAGAGTTAGTACCTAGGCCACCCAGGCTATGACTGACTCCTTTGTCCCTAAAGAGAAAATAAAATTAACAATAAAGTGTTTACTATGTACTATAATTTTCATATACATGATCTCATTTATATTTCTTTAATAATGATATCCTTATTGTATAGATAAGGACACTCAAGAAATTTGAGGAACTTGCATGGCAGGTAAGTTTGTATGAAACAGAATAGGTTCAAATACCAATTCCATTACTATGTAACATCTATAAGTGAGAATAACCATAGTTTCTACCTTAGAATTACTAAAAGAAATAAATTAGATTTTACATGCAAGGTTCTTAGCAAAATATCTAGCTAGGAATGAACACTCTATAAATGTTAACTATTATTACTATTATTGTGATTATTTTTAATGTCATAACTACAAAATGCCAGTCAAGTTTTGAATCCAGGCAATTTTGACTATAAACACCATATAGATTCAGTTATATCATCTTGATAAACTATGAGAACTTGGAAATGTTAGGTTTTTTAAAATTACTATGCAGCTGTTTCTCCCCTATTATCTCCCAACTAATGCCTTATGCCTTAATCCACCAAGAGACAATTCGATTTTTCAGTTGTAAAACACAAGCCAATGTCTCCATGCTACTTCATATTCCATAAGGTCAGATTCTATGATAAATGAACTATTTCCCAGACATAATAACGTTAGCACATTAAAAAAGATTTTTGAGGAAATTAATGTAGGTCTAAAACATAACTAAAATTTAATTTCAGTTCTTTGGTTTCACAAAATCCTTGGTAAGACCATAGAAATGATAGGACTTTATTAACTGGGAGGAGAAGAATTTATTGAGTCCCTGCTAAGTGTTAGGCATTGTGTTATCACTTTTAGCCAATATCCAAATCACTTGGTTTAGCCTTTCTCAGTTTGGATTCCTCGTATGAGCCATAAAATAAAATAAAATAAAAAATTGAGTGATTATTTTATCCATCTTCCCAAAGGTGGTACATAATTAGTACTATAGCATATTTTATTTTCTAAAGATAGAGGTACCTATATATCCCACACAACTAGCTTTTCTTTCAATGTGACATTGTCATTCCTCCACTGAGAGATGGGGATTACATTCCCTCCATTTGAATCTGGGCGGCTCTGTGTCTACAGCAGAAGTGATGCTATGTGATCTCCCAAGGCTAAGTCGTTAAAAAATTCTTCAACATTCTCCAGTTCACTTCCTGGGCCTCATGGAAGTTTGCCCTTAGAACTCAATCACCATGCTGTGAGGGAGCCATGAAAAAATCATGTGTATGTATCTGGCCATAGCGCCAGTAGCTAGTGAGGCTTTAAGATTATTCTATCCTCCACCCTTGGAGCCACCCTAGCTGACTGAGTAGAGCAGGAACAAGTTGTTTCTACTGAGCACTAGCCAAATGCAAACTCATGGATGAAATACATGTTCCTGTCTTAAGCTACTAAGTTTTCAAGTGGTTTGTTGTTAGCAAAGATAAGCAGAAAGAGTGTCATTCAAGGTGCATTGTACTACATATAATGGTCACCTTAAGGCATTAGAGCTTATTTTTTATTCAAAACCAATTGAGTACAGTTTGGACAAATAATGGTTGTTATTAAACACATTATTTTCTTCTACAGTGGTCTTACTCTTCGTATAGATAATCAAATAGATATAGATATAAAAAGTATAAACTAATACTATATGAGAGGAAAACAAATTCTGAGATTTCTAGGATTTAAAAACTATGAAAATTGATTTGTTTTAATATTAGAAACTTCCAGAGTTTTATCATCTTCTAGAGTAATAATAGAACAATGTGATACATGCAAGCTGTCAGGAATTTAATAAATAACCCTTAAGGTTTAGATGACATTTGATGTGGACAGAATCCAATTAGAAATGTGCTTTGCCTCTAACCTAATGTAATTTCATTTTCTGACACTGCACTGTGAATTTTTAATAAACCAACCCTTTTTCACATATGTCCACTTATTTGTTAATCTTTTTTTTTTTTTTTGAGACGGAGTCTCACTCTGTTGCCCAGGCTGGAGTGCAGTGGTGCCATCTCCACTCACTGCAAGCTCCGCCTCCCAGATTCACTCCATTCTCCTGCCTCTGCCTCCCAAGTAGCTGGGACTACAGGCACCCGCCACCATGCCCAGCTAATTTTTTTTTTTGTATTTTTAGTAGAGATGGCATTTCACCGTGTTAGCCAGGATAGTCTCAATCTCCTGACCTCATGATCCGCCCGCCTCAGCCTCCCAAAGTGCTGGGATTACAGGCATGAGCCACCACGCCTGGACATTTGTTATTCTTGTTCTCATAAAAAGAATAGACTTAACATGGAATTTTTTCCTTATTTTTTTTCTCCTCCTTTCCATGTTTATTAGCATCAACCCTAAGCAAAATTCTTCACTTCTTTCCAACATCTATACTCATTTTTCTATACCCTATCCTTTTTGGTTCTGTTCTTTACATTTTAGTGCATCTCCCAA
This sequence comes from Homo sapiens, assembly GCF_000001405.40. Taxonomy (NCBI): domain Eukaryota; kingdom Metazoa; phylum Chordata; class Mammalia; order Primates; family Hominidae; genus Homo; species Homo sapiens. The sequence continues at coordinate 103,605,218 of NC_000011.10, read as the reverse complement.
GTTTTACAGTTGTACTGTTCCCATGAGCTGTTTACATATGTCCAAAAGATTTTCAACCTAGGTCTGCCTTCCAAGTCTTATCAATGTTCTAGAATATTCCCTTTGCAGTATCTGGGATGTTTATGCTTTGTAGAGCTTCAGGGAGACTTAAGACACATAAGGGATTCATTTTGCTCTCAGGAGGGGCTAGGACTAAGAATTATAAAGTTGATGAATGGGTAAACGAAAGAAAGCTAAGGCCATGATATCTATTAGTAGCAGTCACTTGACACACACTTCTTCCTTCTCTTCAGATGCCAATCACAAACATCACTAACCAATTATGATAGTATTCCTTGCTAAGCCCTGGCCTCCCCAAACACCTTTCTTAAAGCAGCACTCAGACAGCCATGACCAACTGCCTGGACAGAGAAAAGAGGGAAAAACTTTTTGTCATTCCAAATAGATAGTAAATAACAAGCTATTAGTCATTTCTCCTGGAATGAGACCACCGTGAAGAGTTTTTGCTTTTTTGGTCCAAAGCCTTTTCTTGCTATTACCCAGTTTTCAAGTGCTGATGCATTTCCCAGGGTTCCCGGCACTTATTAAAAACTGAGTGTCCCCCTTTCATGTCTTTTGCAGATAAAATGTATGTAACTTCTACCATATGTAACAATGAGCTGAGCTCTGGCAACATAATGCCAACCAACCAGCCAGTTACATAACACTTAGATTTCTTTGGTGTTCTTTATTGCTAGGTGATGATATTGCACAATATATTACAACCAGAAAGAGAAAAGGAGAAAGAAAGTCAATCGTGATAAAAAATGTAAAGAAAAAATGAAAGAGGATCATACATTACCAGCTGAGCTTTAGGCTGCCTCCTCAGGGGCTGGGTGAAAGTTTTAGAATCATCATGTATTAGTGCTTCTCCATCAAGAAAGCTTTCGATTTTAGAAGGATACAGTCAATGTAATAAAAATGGGAAAATAGTTGTTTTCTTTTCAATAGCCTTATCCTGCTTTTTGTATTGTTTCTTGTCCTCCACAGGCTTACAGTCCTCCTTCTATTATAATCCATCAAGCCCCCATGGTTGGATCTGATTTTTTTTTTAATAGGAGAAGGAAAGAGAAAAGGAGATTAGCATTTCATCTCTATAACTAAGCTATGAGCCAATAAAATGACATTTTCATACACATTTTAAGAGCTAGCCATAGTAACTTAAGGAACCATGGTTAGAATCCTCTGACATCTTATTAAAACCCTGAGTGATAATAGAGTACTGTGATGGTTAAGGAGGTTATTGGTCTTTAAAGAGAAAAATGCTCTCTGAACACTGATTCTGATTGTTTCTGATTAAGGCTATCCCTTAAACATGACTCAAGAAAAAAATTGTTACTCTGGAGCTTTTATTATTCTCCATTATTTTATTTCTGGATACCTTTATTTTTAATCAATTTCATTAAACAGAATATTCTCATTCTCATAAGGATTGCTGTCCAAAATGCAATTTACAATCCCATTCAGAGATCTGGTTGTCCTTAATGACTTTCAGTGGACAAATTTGCCATCCCCTTCAGTAGGCAGATGTGTAGCTGCTTTTAGTTTGGATGTTTCAAATCAGGTAGAATTGCCTGACATTCCCCATCTCCAGTGTCTGTAAAGTTACTATACAGAGGAGAAAGAGAATTTATAGTGTGAGCAATATCATCAAGAGTTGATCTATAATCCCCTATAAACAATTGGCTTTGAATAATTGATCGCTACCAGACCTGGAAAACACAGGACGTTGCGTTAGATTGGCGATTCTGGGAGTAAATGATCTACTTTCTGTAAAGGCATCTCCTGCATAGACGCCAGTTCTGTCAATTGTGAAGTAGCAGTTTCATCTTCCCTAATTAATTTGGGAACAAAAGGTGGATGGCACATCCCAAATGGTAATAATCTGAACAAATTCAGCAGCTGCCTTTGTGTACAGGCTGTGTACACAAAGTCCGATGGAAAGATTTTTAAAAGAGCAGTAAATGGCAATTCACATGGATAATGAACTGGATTAATGTAGCAATTAAAATTTATTAAAATGAAGTATTACCCTTAGACAGAACCTGGCAATGATGTAAAAGCTGAGGATCTGCTTACAAAAATTGAGGCTTAGCAAAGGAAATTTAAATTCCCAAGTGGTTATAAAGTCCATTGTGAATATGCATAACCATGCTGAGACAGTTGAGGTTTAAGAAGTAATCTTAGAAGAGTGAAGGATTTAGAGCAAGAATAATTACATATCTCTCATCTAGAAGATAGGCTTTCTTTAGACAAAGGGTGCCAAGTTTTCTGCTGATAAAGGAATCTCTGGGAGCTAATGTTTTGTTCTTATCCTGTCTTGAGAAAGACATTTGTGAACTGTAAGTACCTCACCTGAATGCAAAAACCAAAGAAAAATGGTAGTGGAACAGGGAAGGCAGATGATGTACAAATTATTTTACAAATGTAAAAGGAGGCATTGGGAAATGAAGGAAGGCTTCCAGCAAAGTTAATGAACCCCATTCTTAGAAGGTATCTGACATCATTAGATCTTACTAAATCCCATTATAGAGATTATGCCCAAAGCAAAATGTATGAAGGTCCCTGAATTTTTTTTTCCTGTTACTCATTAGTTTATATTTCAGGGATGAGAGAAAGGTACTCCAGAGGAAACAACATATAAAGCTCCCCAAGTTGAGCTATTAAAATTTGTCAGCATTTCATTATGGAATTTTCCTCTGTGCTAGAGGTTAGGTTACCATATCTGGTTTGCTCTCAGAGGTATTCAAACATAAAGCTATTACGTTTTTCTCTAATCAGTGTCCCCACTAGTACTGTGTCGAATCCCTCTTCCTGACTTGGTGGTAGATCTCCCAATAATACCTTGTGCGGAAAACATTGACTTCCAAGTTATTTTAGGTTCAATTTAAAATATGACTGATTAAAACATTCCCTGACTTGGCCAGACCTGTGGTTTGAGGGACCTGATTTGGTGAAGGGACATGGCATGGTTCTTTATTTCTCCCTGTTCACCTCTACCTTGAAGTACAGGAAAGATTTTAGTCTGCTTCTGGAATACTTCTTTTACCCCTTTTTATAGAATTTTGGAAGTTCTCAACCCTAGCCGCTCATTAGCACGAGCAAAGACTTTTAAAAAAACATCCTTACTTGGCTCCTTTCTGGTCTCATACAAAATTTTAAAGATGAGGAAAAAAAGAGCATGTGTTCATTATTTCACAAGATACTGATATTGTCCTCTATGTTCACACTGACTGGTGATAGGGTTTAGGACACACTACCTTACAATTTGGCACCTTGATATTTGAGAAAACAGCAGAAACAGGAAGGTCTTGCTGACTTTTTCCTGCTGTTCTCCCCTGTTCTAGACCATAAAATAATTATCTGACCTTCCTCTAAAGTATATCATAAAACTCCCATTCCAGAGTGATCTTCCCTATACCTGGAGGAAATGAATTAATATACAGAAATGCCAAAAAGCGTCTGAAAAAGAAATCATGCATTACTAAGTTCTTCCCAGTTTATTATCATTAAGTCATAATCTTCTGTTTTCCAATCATACTTCTGGATGACTATCACAAATACATAGGCTTCCTTGTTTTGGGGGGTCTTCAATTCTGAAGGCTTCCATGTCACATAAAATTTATATGAAATGAATTTTTTATGCTTTTATCTTGTTTCTCTTGCCATGAATCTAGTGATAAGTGAGAAAGGAATCTTTTCTCTCCTGCACTGGCCATTGATGTCCTCTAGGTGGCAGGCAACCCAATGGCATGACTGGAGAAGGCATATATATGGAAGAAGAGTCCCTTCAGCTGACCTCCCTGCTATATAGAGAGAAGTGGAAGAGTTGATTTCAACATAACCTCTTCCAAACCTCCTAATTCCCTCTTAATACCACTAGAGCGCAATCATCAGCTTTTGGCTCTTGGAGTCTTCTTGCCCCGAGGTCAGATCTCTTGGATGGGCTATTGGCAAAAAGCTGCTTCTCCAGGTACCCTATTACACACAAAATGGTAAGAGGGTGAGCAGATTGCCCCACTGATGCCTTTTCTCCCAGCCTGCCTACTTTCTCCAAGTCTTTTTTCCTCTGTTCAAAGGGAAACAGGGTGCATATCAACAGAGCTCTGTATAAGCAGATGAACCATTGATGAGATATCATGCTCTGCTCTTTGGGGCATCATAGTCTTCACAATTGATTCAGTCAATGCCATCTTCAATTGGCTGGAAGTAGAGTTGGGAGTTTATGCCATTCTTATTCTAAGACATAAAATCTTCACTAGACATTAATGGACGTTAAAAGAAAGAGAGAGATCAAGAATGCAGAGCACAGAAGGGAGACAGTGGGAATGCTTAGGTTAACAATCCAACCTTGGAAGCCAACTCCAGCCACAGCCTTGCCAGGATACAGTCTGATGGGCTTAGCATTTCTCTACTCTTTGCCTTGAGCAATTTCATTCTCTTGTGTTGAATGAATGCATGGCCCCAGACAATATTTCTCAAGCATAAAAACAATAATTAGCTTAGACATAACACAGAAGTAGAAAAATTGGCTACCTCCGCAATTACAGAATACCTAATAAAGTAAGGTAGGGCATGGTTCCATTCACAGATGTACAGGTAATGTAATGGGTATGTTCTTTGGAGGAACTTTGGTATGTATGAGAATTTTTAAAGCTTCACAAAGCTACTAATCAAGTATGTCACAGTGACAGGTTCATCTGCGTTTATTTAAAATAGAAGAAAATTTCAATAAGTTAATTATGAGACGCTTCATTTACAGTGGTAGAAAAATTTTACGTGTGTAGCTTGGCACTAGATTCTTAAAATGTGTCTTCAAATACAGACCTACAAAGGACTTCCAACCAACTTCTCCTCAGCGAAACAGCAATGCTTTTAACTCACACAGCCACTTAGAACTGATGAGAAAGTCTTCCAGGAGACTTCTTTGAGAAGTGGGCAATTTCACTGTAGGGATGGCAGATATAAAAAATCAAAACTTTAAGAAATGAATATCAAAACTACAGTTAGAATTTCACAAATTAGAGTATTTTCTTTTTTAAAAGTCAGAGCACATCTGCTTTCCTTAATGGCAGGCTAGACCAATCCTGCCACCAAGAACAACTGAAATATATGGAGAAAATGTTTTTAAATTTTTGGCACAGTGAGAATAGCAAAGCAGACAAAAATGACAGTAGCAAGGTTAGGGAAGAGAAGGAAATGTGGAGAAGGAAGCCCTACAATTGAGGGTGCTGTCAGTTCCATGGGAAGTAGCTGAGAGACTGAAAAACATAGTAGTACTTACAATGGCCCAAGGGGGCATGTGGTAAATTTGGAGTCCCAGTCCACCAGGTAGAAAGGATTCTGGTAAACTCTTCAGGATTTAGGTTTAGACCAGAAGGGCTTTACCTCAGAGTAAGAAAAAAACATAAATCTCTGTTGTGACTGAAACCTGGTTTTGAATCATCTCAGAGCCCTGAGGTTATATTAAGGTGATCCAAGTTTACACCTACCCCTAGTTACCTGACCAAAGGAAATGTACATCCCACATAGAGAAAGATGGTTGATATGGTTTGGCTCTGTATTCCCACCCAAATCTCATCTCAAATTGTAATCCTCACGTGTCAAAGGAGGGACTTGGTGGGAGGTGACTGGATCACAGGGACAGTTTCCGCCATGCTGTTCTTGTGACATTGAGTCAGTTCTCATGAGAGCTGGTGGCTTTAAGTGTTTGGCAGTTCTTCCTTTGCTTGCACGCTCACTCGCATGCTCGCTCACTCTCTCTCGCTCTCGCTCGCTCTCTCTTCCCCCACAGCCGTGTGAAGGAGACGCCTGCTTCCACTTCCCCTCCTGCCAAGATTGTAAGTTTCCTGAGGCCTCCCCAGACATGTGGAATTATGAGTCAATTAAACCTCTATTGTTTATAAATTGCCCAGTCTCAGGTAGTATCTTCATAGCAGTGTGAAAATGGACTAATACAATGTTGTCACCCAGAATCTCAAAATATGTCTCTATTTTTCCATGGAAAATGAATAGCACTCTATCAAATAACAAATCACACAGAGAAAAGATATTGTAAATAAAATCCAGGATAATAAGTAGCAGAAACACATCAGGAACTCCAAATTTTAGAGTTATTGAGCATCATTTTAAAACAACTATCCTTAATCTATTCAAGGAAATGAGAGAAAAATTAAGAATTGGGACAGCAAACCAGAGATTATTAAAAAATATTCATTGGAAATTTTTAAACTAAAAAAATGCAATAACAAATTAAAAACACAGTGGGTGGATTTAAAAGTATATTAGACATGGTTGAATAGAGATTTAATGAACTAGAATGTGGGTCAGATGTAAGTATCCTGAATGAAGCACAGAGAAATCGATGAATGAAAACGCAAAAAAAAGAGCATAAGAGATATAGGGGATACAGTGAGGTCAAACATAAAGGTAATTAGAGATCCAGATAGGATAGAATGAGCATAGTAATACTTGAATATGTGATATGGACAATTTTCCAAACCAACAAATGCCATCAAATCACAAATTCAAGAAGCATTTCTATCCCCGAGCAGTATGAACACAAGCAAATTAAACACATCAAGGCATATCATGGTAAAATTGCTGAAACAAAAATAGAAAAAACTTCTAAGCAGCCATGGAAAAAAAATATAAATGAGCATCAAAGAAGTAACAATCTCTTTCCTCAGAAATCGTATAAAAGATGCACTGTGAGCAAAATACATCTTATGCACAAGGCTATTCATTGTGGCATTATTTGTGATAAACAATTGGAAAAAACCCATAAACATCTACCGATAGAGGACTAGTTGAATAAGCATGGTATCTGCACAAAATGCTGCTATGGGACATTCAAACATGGTGTGCTTCCTGATATGATATAACATGAAGTACACAGAACCACCTGTGAAATATTCTTGCCAAACATAGTTGAATCTGAACCTTATTAGAGCTAACTTTCAATTTCTAGGAAATATGGGGCTAAAGGAACAAATTAAATGACACTCCAAAGAAACAGACAAATCCAAGTTATGGGACAATATCCAGGAAAATAAATCTGGTTCTTCAATAAGACAACAGCATGAAACAAAAGAGGTGATGGGAGGAAATTTAAACCATAACAACCAAATGATATGTGGGTTATTTTTCCCCTAATTGGAATAATCAATCATAAAAGCTCACAGTTGACAAAATCAGGTAAATCTGGATCCTGACTAGGCAATAATTACACAAAAAATTTTTGTTGATTATGTTTTGTTAAATGTGATAAGGGCATCATGGTTAAACAAGAATATGGCCCTGTTTTTAGAGATGTATTCTAAATATTTAAGTGTAAAAAAAAATGAGATTTGGGCTTTACAAAAAACTACAGAAGAGGAAAGATGAAGCAAATATGGCACAATTTTTATCTTTATCATTGTTGAATTTGGATTATGTATATATGGTGTTTCATTATATTCTTCTTTAGTGTATGTTTGAAAGTTTCACCGTAGGTTTTTTTAAAGCGAATATGTGTCCCAGAAATAGAACCTCAGAAATAGAACATCTGTCCCTGAGATTTGCAATGTGGGCTCCTATTTGAAATCACCTGTTTCCTTCTGTCACCTGTTTTACTTCTTTAAATATATATGTTTAAGCAGAGTAGACAGAAGGAAACAGGTGATTAGGCTGCTAATTTATTATATACATATGCCTCTCAGTGTACCTGTTTTAGCTACTTTGAAAGAAAACTGTATCTTCAAAGTCAATTCCTTGGATCTGTCAATGTGAATTTTGCACATTCCATATGGTTTATACATTGAGGACACATTTTCTGAACATACCCTCCATCTTTGAATACAATCTCCCTAACTGGTTTTACATGATGTGGTAACAGATCAACTGACACGAGCTTCATTTTCTTCATGTCGTTTTGATTCTAACAACAAGCCCATGGTAAAGGCACCGATATCCCCATTTTACCAAGGAGGAAACAATAGTTCAGCAAGATTAAACAACTTGTCCAAAGTAATGCCCTGGGATTTTTGTGAATAAAATCAGTTTTCTTCCCCCACTCCCACCAACAGTACCCTCCAATGCATCCCCTAAGCTTAGGGTCATAGTTGAAATAGAAATTGAAGCAGAAATTGGGTTTGTCATTTCCAGGATTAGATATAGGTCTATGATAAGAAGCTGGCAATTCTAAGCTAGTTGAAGGCTGACTTTTGCAACATGACTGGAAGTACTAGTTGAAATAAAATGTCATCATCATCATCTGGTACAGGGCAGCGTCAGAGAACTGTGTTGAACAAATTAACTTCTACTGAATTCATGGGAATCTTCCTCATAAAAATATACTGTGTGATTTTATAATCTAATTTTTGAGAAATTGTATACTATGAGAATGTTACCCTTTCCTTCTATCTCAGCTTGGGCCATTCTGTACGTTCATTTCATCACTGGTCCTTGATTGGACTCGAATTTCCAGTGTGGTCCATGAATGTATGAATTACCATCCTGGATAAATAGCCACATCCAATTTCCAGGAGCAGAGAGAATGGCAACAATGATTGTGTGGTTTAAATAAATATAGCAACAGTAGTGCCAACACAATCTATTCCCATGGTGAAAGTAATTTAGCATCCCTATTCAGACATCTCCTGCTTACCATCAATTACCCGATCAGCATGAATCACACATTCCAACTGAGCCACCTGGATAATTGTGGAACGCATCTATGCTTGTTTAATCCAGCGAATCTACTAAGAAGGAAAGGGCTGAAATGTTCCACTGCAGCAAAATAAACTTGCTTCTGTTTTTCTTTAGCAGCCTAATTCTGATGCAGTGAAGCCAGGAATAAGTGGCATTTTTGTTTTACTTAAAATGAAGGAGAATACGCTTCAAATCAGAGTGCTGTTATGCTACACTAACAATAGCTTCTACTGCAGGGTAAAACTAAAATATTGTTTATCAATACCGTAATCATGACAAGCAGTTAACATTTATTAAATGCTTACTGCTTGTACATTATCTCATGCCTCACGGTAATCTTATCAAATAGGTTTCTATTATCTTTATTTTTATAGACCAAGAAACTTAGGTAAGGAGGTGAAGCAACTTGTTTAAGCTACTAAGTGGCAGAGTCTGGCCTCAAATTCAGATGCTCATTCGACTCAAAAACCTAAGTGCTAAATGAATGTTATACAGACCCTGTACGTAGTATTTAAGGAAGACTTGTCTATATCAATCATTTAGGATGTTTAATGCTGCAAGTAACAGGATCCAATTAACTGTTTCAACACCAGGCCTTCATTATCTCACTTCACAAGAAGTCAGGTGCCAAGCAGATCCAAGCTCATTCAGAGGCTGCACCATGTCAACTGGGACCCAGGTTTCATCCATGTTTCTGCTCTGTCATTATGTCATACTCCAAGGGAGTCGCCAGATGACTGCTGCAGCTGAGGCTTTTCTTTCACAGCATCTAACAGAGGTATGGGGAGGGTTTTCCCACACACCCCTTTTTTACAGGAAGGCACACCTGTTCCAGAAATCTCTAAGAAAGTTCTTTTGCTAAATGGCCAGGGTGTAGTCACAGCCCATACTTAAACCAATGACTGTTGCTGATCATGACTTTGCCATGATTGCCTTAGACTTATCAAATTTTCTCACCCCCAGGCTGGGGAGAGGCTCCATGAAGCACGTGGTTTCCTAATACCAGAAGAAAATTCAAGCCTTTTAACATGGCAGTCCACAGTGGTAGGAGGCGGAAAGAGACTTTGGGTATTCAGAAATGGTTTATCACCTTCTACTTCTTTGGCTGCATGATACTCAGAGATACCATTCATGTCTATATCTAAATGACACTCATTTTTTTCCTTTCTAAATGGAGCACCTGGCTCCAAGTTCTGGACATCTGGGTGATGCAGTGTTTTCTTCATTTATCCCCTATGTACAACCCTATGGATATAAGACAAATAATTTACTAATTACACACAAATATACACTGAGAAACAGAAGCAGCTAATTCCAAAATTCTTGTTTGCTACCCACTGTCTGTACCTTGTCCTTGGAATCCTGACCTTCTCCCTCTCCATTGGTTTAATGGCCTCTTCCTTAAGACCTTTGAAAGGTGTGGCCTTTGTTGAGAAAGTGCCCATCTTTATTCAATCTTCACAGACAGACTTGCCTCTCTTTCGTTTAGAAGTAAGTAGTAATGGGGTATTTGCAAGAGGCCCAAGGCACCAAACTGCTTAATTTTATCTTATAAGTTTGTTTCCCTGCTGCTTCATAAACTAGCTTTAGCTTGGGGGAGGCGGGGTGGGGGAGTTAACACTGCAAGGCAGTTTTCACTGCCATGAAAACTTACGTTTGAACAGCAATAGAATAAGAAACAATGCAGAGGCCCTGGTGTATACCCATCCCTACCCAGCTGGACAGGAATCATGAGGATTCTAAGCCCAGGCAGTGCAGTCACCTCTCAGGACAGCCAGTCTGGAAGCCTAGGTTCTGCCGTTTAAGAAGATGGCCCTTGTCCCCTGTCCTCAGTAGACCTGGTTCTGCCATCTGGTGGAGATAGCTTTTGTCCACAGTCCTCTGAATACCTGGTTCTGCACTCTAGGAAGATCTCCCTTTGTGTCCTCTCCTCCACAAACCTGGTTCTGCTCTCAGATTGGCTGATCCTCCCTGGCTACATCTGAGATGAGCAATGTGAGACTGCATTCCTGTAGGAGGCACAGCAGTAGCTACCCCCTGCATATTTGTTCAGGTGTAGAGGCCTGCAATTTGCCTCAGGGGTTATAATTCATAAGCTGTTCTGGGCCAGGATCAGTGTTTCTTTTCAACACAGTAATCATACAAACTTGGCATACATGCAGTCTATTTACTTCCAATTTCATGGGTTACTAAACACAGCTAAAATTTTTGACTGGACGTGGTCACTAATTCCAAAATTCTTGTTTCCTACCCACTGTCTGTCCCTTGATCTTGGAAACCTGACCTTCTCCCTCTCCACTGGTTTAATGGCCCCTTCCTTAAGACCTTTGAAAGGTGTGGCCTTTGTTGAGAAAGTTCCCATCTTTATTCAGTCTTCACAGACAGACTTGCCTCTCTTTCATTTAGAAGTAATTAATAATGGGGTATTTGCAAGAGGCCCGAAGCACCAAACTGCTTAATTTTATCTTCTGATAAGTCTCTGTTTCCCTGCTGCTTCATAAACTAGCTTTAGCTTGGGGGGCAGTTAACACTGCAAGGCTTTTTCAACACTGCAAGACTTCAAATTAAAAGATTCTCAGTCAACACAGTTTTCAGCTTCTGGGTATAAAATACCTCTCTTAGCAGTTTGTTTTCTTTAACTTTGTTCTCACATGGGCCACATTCAGGAGATGTGTCTCTTGCAGAATCTTATGAAGGAATCTATAAACAGTCACAAATCCCTCATATACTGAATTTTTCCTCTCATTTCCTCTAACTCAGAGCCAAATCAGAATATAATCGGCATCACAAGAAACAAGTGGCAGTTGGATCAAATACCTGCATAATGGGTATCTCCAACTTCCCAGCCTGGAGTGGTCCAGTTGCCACTGTCTTCCATTCTATCTGCTGCACTTACAAGTTCAACATGTTATGGTCTGTTCCTTAGAGCATTCTGGAATAAAACTATCATAAGATGCTATAAGTTTCAAATAGCAGGATATCTAACTTAAAGTAGTTCAAATTATGTAGGGCTTATTTTCGTATTTAAGTCCAGTGGCAAGGTATTTCAAAGGTTATTTTTAATCATTAGCAATGTCATCAAGAACCTACATTTCTTCCCTCTTTCCTCTCCATCATCCTTAGTATACTGGCTACTCTGCCTATGCTAGGATATGGCTTTGCCAACTCCAGACACTGTCTTCCCACACAGCTTCATCGAGGGGCAAAGAAAAAAAATTAGCAGTGGTTTGGTCCATTGCCGTTTCCAATCAGAGTGAGAAAGTTTCCCTAAACACCCATCATGTTCTCTTACTGGCCTGTGTAACTTCTCATGCCAATGCCTGTCAAGTGATTGGCATTACAGCTAATGATTTAATCAAATCAACATTCATCCCCGTGAACTGGGGTGGGCTCATAATACATAATATTCAAGAATCTTTTAGTTAAAAAGTCAGTTGGGGAGAGGAGGTTATTGAGTCGGTAATCCCATTTTCTAATCCCCCAAACCCTTATTTTTGAACAGTGTTTCTTAAAGTGTGGTCCATGTATAGTGCTAGTATTCTGATGAACATAAACATATACCTGGACCCTACTCAGACCTAAATTAACAGACCCCCTACAGTAATGTTCAGGAACTTGCATTTTAACAATCTCCCCAAGTGATCCTTTAGCACATTGCAGAAGTCCTTGGGACCTCATCTGATTCAAATTCACATCCTCATGCCATCTATAGAGAATATTGTTCTTGGGCAGATGTTTAATGGAGTTGTTTAATTACTGTTATATTAAAAAACTGATCAATTTTTTTCTCTTTTCCTTAATTTTTCTTTTCAGCAAAAGTCATCTAGTTTCTTATTACTCCCTATAGGATTAAGCACTTCTCTTTGTGCACTGTGGGAACCCTGTAAATGCTGTTATAGGGTTGTGTTATTTCCTCTTCTGCTCATATTATTCCCAGAAAAAGGGGCAAGAGGAAATATTATTAAAAACAGCAACAACAAATAAGATGGGAAGATAAAAGTGAGAAATCAGTTCTTATTTTTATGAGGAAATAATTTTTTCATAATTTTTTCTGGGCCCCCCTTGATGGAAATTTAGGTAGAATATAGACTGAGGTTAAAATAGGGAAAATATTATAAAATCAATAGTTTTTCGATGTCAGTTATTTGATGTCTGCACAGAACATTCTTTTCCAAGAAAAGCTACTTTACTTACCACCCAGAGCTATGCAAGTTCTACATTCATTGTGAATGATTGATTTCATGTCATGGAGCAGAATTATAAGAAGATATAATAATAAGTACTAACATAATGCTTATCATGTGCTAGACACTGTGCGGGAATCTTAATATTAACTCATTTAATCCTTATGCCAATAATTTGAAGGATGCATCCTCACTTATGTCATGAGGCCTATTTTAGAGACAAGGTGACTAAGGCAAACAAGGTTAATGACTTTCTCATTGTTAATGGGGTGGGCATTTGAACTAGAAATCTGGCTTCAGAGACTTTCTTATAACCATGAAGCTATTAATGTGCTCAACTGACAACACAAACTATTGTCCTGTGAACCACGGATGGCTTGTGTTGAGTTCTTAAAATTTTGTAATTAGTCTGAAACAACTAACAATCAGTAGAATACATTTTAAAATTCTGAACTCTGGCCTTTATTGAAAAATCAGAATATTTATGCTGGCAGTACTAGTCCAAGGACATCCATGGCAACCGACACTGGATGTGAGTAGAGCCATCACCTTCAGATGAGTCATGCGTTCTTTTGTTTGTCAGTTTCCCTTACTCTCTATTACTTTCCAACACTTAGACTAAGAGCTTATGCTATTGCTTTGACTATGGTAAATGAAAGAACCCACATCTCTATCTAAGAGAGTCAATATAATACAGTGGTTATGCCCATTGATTCAGGAGGTGACTGCTTAAATTTAAACTCCAAATCAAACATTTACTAGTTGTATGATCATGAGAAGATACTTTATCTCTCTATGCCTTAGTTACCCCATATTTAAAATGGGAGTAACGATAAAATCCACTCAAAATTTTTTATGATTGGCTGGGCTCGGTGGCTTACGCTGCAATCCCAGCACTTTAGGAGGCCGAGGCGGGTGGATCCACGAGGTCAGGAGTTTGAGACCAGCCTGACCAACATGGTAAAACCCTGTCTCTACTAAAAATACAAAAATTAGCCAGGCATGGTGGGGCACGCCTGTAATCCCAGCTACTTGGGAGGCTGAGGCAGGAGAATGCCTTGAACCTGGTAGGCAGAAGTTGCAGTGAGCCAAGATCGTGCCACTGCACTCCAGCCTGGGTGACAGAGCAAGACTCCATCTCAAAAAAAAAAAAAAAATTGTGATTTATCAAATGAGTTAATATATATATAAAGTGTTTGAAGCAATATCAGGCATGGAGTATCATGCACTTCTAATGAAAAAATAAAAGATGAACCAAGAGAACCCTGTGTGTGTTTCATGGAGAAGAAAGCATATTACTTTGGAAAACTGAAAAATCTTCCTGTGTGATGTTCACTGCATAAACAATATTCATGATCCTGAAAGAGGCAGATTGGGTCCAGGCCCAGTAAATGACCCCAGCTTAATCTCTAAAAGCATGGAGCAGGGGAATTCTCCATCAGTCTCCTAGAATTTCCTTGTTGAGGAGGCCTTATTTCAATCCTCTTTTATGTCTGTGAAGCTGAGGCTCAGAGAGTCCCGTGACTCCACCTAATGTAACACAGAACTGTGATGGCAGAGCCAGGATTCATAGCCAGGTCAATCATTCCAAAAGGAAGGGTTTCTTCTACTTGGCTCCTGGATCCATTTTTACATCAAAAAGTACAAGCAGATTGATTTGTTTTGGAGGTAGAAACTTAACTCTGTTTTCAAATGCCATATATTTATTCTCAAATTTATCCAGAAGTTTGAAAGTTGTCTAGTTATGCCAATTTTCACATGAGGATGCTGTAGAAAGGGATGCTGAAGAAGATCATGGCTTCTTGTTTTCACTCCCAGAATCCCTATAAAATGGGTAAAATGCATGTCTTTTAGTGGCTCAGACACTACCATTCCTGGGTGGCATATTTTTGGTTGTCTTTTTATGCCCAAATCATCTCAATTAAAACATTATTGAAATGGGAGAATTCCCTGATCCCCTTATGGGATGGTGTGGCTCATTTATTCGGCCACCATGTGCTCAAATCCCTTACAGGAAGGGAAGTATGCAGGTGAGCAGGTGCAGGAGCTGGGATGAGCACTTTTGGGCTCCAGCCCCACAGCACTGTCTAGGGGTCTTACAGTGCTCCTTTAGCCCTGCTGTCCAGGGATGGCTTGAGTGTTAAACAGCTCTGTGAAGAGTCAGTGTGACAGCCTTTTTCGGTTACCACACCCAGTGTGTCCCAAATTCTTGTCCAGCATCCAGGAAGAATCAGGTCACACAGACTTGAAGGATGGTGAATGCGGGGATTTTATTGAGTGATGGAGCTGGTTCTCAGTGGGATGAGGAGCTGGAGAGGGGATGGAGTAGGAAGATAATCTTCCCCTGGGATTTGGCCATCCCATGGCTGATCTCCACCACAACCTCCCCCAGCCAAACTCCTCTCAACATTCAGACACTTCTCTCTTCTTCTTCTCTGCCATGCTGCTCTGCCACTCTGCTACTCTTCTGCTTATGGAGCCTGGGGTTTAGGGGTTATATGGGCACAGGCTAGAGGGGCATAGTGGGCCAAAAGTCAACATTTAGGTGAAAAAACAGGAATGCCTGTTCTCATTTAGAACTGTGGGTCCAGGCTTGAGGGTGGAGCCCTTTCCAGGGACCCCACCCTCCTGTCTCCTGTCCATATCATTATCACTCTCCATTTTTTAATATGCTGAAAAGCTAATCACTGGAAGAAAAAGGCAGGATCTAATGCATTCTCATGCCATATAAAAAGTATTTAGGCAATGAACTCAGAATAAATAGCCAAGCCCTAACTTCTTGACTTGATGTTTAAGACCCTCCATGATTTATCACCAACATGTATCACACTAATCCATATCTGTACCTTTTGGAACCTGCCATGAGGATTTGCACAAAATAGTTGCCCTCTTTTCCTGTCCTACTGACCATGCCACCATTGTTGCTCCCTCCATCTACATCTCAGACATTACTGACTCCAAGAAGTATTTCTAAACGTTTGCTTTCTGCTCTCACAGGGTTCATCTTCCCCTGCTTTGTTCTAGCATTTAATAATTATACTTAAAGTGTGTCCCCACAATTGTGTCTCCCCCACTAGACTATGAGGTCTCTGATAGGAGAGACTGAGTCTTCAATTTCTGCTTAAAATTATTTCCATTTAATAATTTTAGTTTTTATTTTAGAATCTGTTCTTGTCATTCAAACATTCTTTCAAGATAAATCAAAAGATATGTCCCTCAAATCCTCTCATATTGATTAATCCACTGTGTATTTTCCACTGGCCTTTCTAAGTTCACTCTGTTTTCATAATTTCACAATGTTCTAGCACAGTGCAGATATCACATTAATAGCTGATATTTATTGAACTTCAGCTAGGGGCCAGGCATTCTCCAAAGCATTTTACAGTCATTATCTCATTAGTAATGAGGTGTAAGAGCTATGCATCATCATTTCTATGTCCAAGATAAGAGACCTGGGATCAGGTAGGTTATATAATATGTCAAGTGGGGGTAGGAATTCAGATTCTAAAGTTGTGCTTTATTACTCACTGCACTACACATCTTCACAAACCAATCTTTGTAATCTGTTATTTTTATATTTGACACTGCATCATCAACAATTGCCATATCACCTAGATTTAAGTAATTATTATTTATATCAAGGCAATGCAATCATTTCAAAATAAAAAAAGTTATCAAAAAAAGCAAAAGCAAGGAATGTGTTACTCATTTCCTTTTTCCGAGCACCTAACCCAATGTTTTTTACTTGAATTGTTAAATCTGTTGATTTGATTTGACTTCCTTAGATCTTTATAGGACAGTGCAGGATCTTTGCCTAAGAGGAAGTGTTTATCCAGGGAGACAAATGCTCTTGAGAAGAGCAAGAAGTATGAATACTGCAGCCTGGATTCCTCTTTCATGCAACCACTGCAGGATATGAAACATAATGTGTGTTTAATACCCATTGTTCCTCTAATTCACTCATCCGTCTGGCCGAATTGGTCTTGACAAAGACTGAAATTGTGGACCAATCAAATCAGAACATTTGCACTGTTAACAAACATCTTGTGCTATTCTTAGAAATTGTTTGTGACCTTGGAGAAGTCTAACAAATCAGTCTTCCACTGACTCTTACCACCTCTTCCCTCTTCCTTAACACCATTTAAGGTGACAAGGAGACAAGCTGAGGGCTCTTGGTTTGTTGACAGTGCATTCAGTCATAAGTGTGTTGCTAAATTCCAGCTTTATCAAGTTACAAGTAACAAGTAATTACCATGCAGCACATCACCTGGAGTCCCATTATGCAAATTTACATATGGCTCAGCTGCACAATCTAGACAAATATTTATCATCATCCTAAAGCCTGCCTTGCAAAGAGAAAACAGGCCGAGTGGCATTTTATCATTGCACATATCCCATTTTTTAAAGTAGAAATGAACTAGGCTGTGCTTATCTCTGGCACTAAAACTCTCTAGAGGAAGTATCCTCTTATTAGTCTTTCATGGAGGAGGGAAGTTTCAAGGATAATTTGATTAACTTCATGAAGAGACAATTCAAGGAAAACCAGAAAACTGTCTTCAAATATGTGTGGGGCTTTCATCTGGAAGAGGGAACACACTTGATCTTTATTGTTCTGAAAGGACATGTTGGAAGATGTGGGCTGGAATTTCAGAATTACAGAGACAGATCTCAACCCAATCTAAGGTAGAATTTTTTTAACCAAGGGGGTTGCTTTTTTGGAAAGTTGGACTGTGTGTGTGTGTGTGTGTGTGTGTGTGTGTGTGTGTGTGTATGAAGTTTTGTACATTAAATTTGTGGACTTTTTTTGACCAAATGAGTCAGATATCCAAATTAGTATGTTGCTTTCAAAATTGTCACCCTAGAAGGTTATAAACTCATTCCATAAAGGCTGCCCTTGACAGTTTTAGAACACCCTTTTGAGAAGAGCCTTTGTAGCCTATGGACCATTTTCTCCTGGGATGCCTCTGTAATGGCAAATCCACAATACTAGATTCTTGAATAGGTCAACGGATACCCAGACCTATATCTCTCTCATAAATAATGTGATTAATAGAGGTAGATGAATACTTTTGAGGGATCAGAAAGTCAAAATCAAAATTAAAGTGTTACTATAAATGTTGAGATGGAGCCGCTTAAGAGGTTTTTGAAAGCAATTCTTGCTGAGATGCCCCCAAACTTCTCTTTAACCCTGCTAACTAACTTGGAGAATGGAGGCTCATCCAAGCAGGAAAAATATTCAGTGTGTTCTTGACTCATAACTCAAGCTAAAAATAGAACAAAAAACATTGCATTACATATCAGGTGTCTGAGTTCTATGAGCTCCCAGGAATGGAAAAGTATAGAATGTCACAGCTGGGCCTGAGTTTAAACCGCAACTCTGCTATCACTTGCTAGATCACAGCAACACATAATGTAACCTCTTTGAGTCTGTTTCTTCACCTGTAAAATTAGAGTGATGATAAATACCTCAAAGGGTTGTTCTAAGAATTTAGACAATATACAAATAAGTATGTAACACAGTGTTAGGCATATATTAAGTTCTCAACTCATTGTAGCTGATACAATTATTATTACCATTGTTAAATGCTATTATTGTTATCTTCATTCTGAATCACCATTCTCATTGCACTTCCTTACCTCATCTTTTCTACTTTCTCTAGTTTTCAAATTAATTTGCCTAAAATTCATTTTAATTATCCTGCCAATTTCCAGCCCTCTATAATCCTCTTTAAGGGATTTTGTCAAATTATGTGTGACAGTATTTTTATACACAACATGAAGATTAGAAAAACAAAGCTGTTTTTAAACAAGTTTTATCATCCAATTATACACATACTACAATGAGTTTTCAGTGCTATCGCAGTATACAAGCTAATAAAAATTTATAGAGAAATCTTAAAAAGACTTGAGACAAGGTTACTGCAACAACCTTGGAGCAGACTCCCTGGGATAAAACTCTCTGACTAGTTCTCTAACATTGTACAAGTTGATTAACCTCTGTGTGCCTCAGTTTTCTGATTTTTAAATTGGATATAATAATAGGACCTATCTTATGGGGTTCTTATGAGGCTTAGATAAGTAAAAAGTACTTAGAATAGCACTTGGCAAAAAGAACTTAATGAGCGGTAGCTATGATTACTGTTGTTAGTGGTTAATGTGGTTTGGCACTGTGTGCCCACCCAAATCTCATGTTGAACTTTAATCCCCAGTGTTGGGGGAGGGACCTGATGGGAGGTGATTGGATCATGGGGCAAATTTCCCCCTTGCTGGTCTCATGATAGTGAGTAAGTTCTCATGAGATCTGGTTGTTAAAAAGTATGTAGCACCTCCCCCTTCGCGGTCTGTCTTCCTCCTACTCCGACACGTGGAGAAGGTGCTTGCTTCCCCTTCACCCTTCTGCCATGACTGTAAGTTTCCTGAGTCCTTCCAACCATGCTTCCCATATAGCCTGTGGAACTGTGAGTCAATTCAACCTCTTTTCTTAATACCCATTCTCAGGTAGTTTTTTATAGCTGTGTGAGAATGAACTAATACGGTGGTCCATTGTAGCAGGGACATAAGTTTCAAAATTATGGAAGAAAAAGACTGAATAGTCAGAATAAGTGGATGACAGATATGATTTCATCGAAAACAGATCCCATTGTGGTATCTCAATTAGGTCTTTAAAGTTTCCTGCTCTTGCTTAACTATGGAATACAATCCAAAGAGAATGGCAGGCATGCTTTGCATGCTGAAGACATGAAAGGCTGACAGCTGATATACAATCTCAGATTTTACAGCCAAGCCCAACAGGCACTACCTTTAAAACCACTTTTCTGTATTCATTAACTATCCTGTTAAATGTTTTTTCCCAAATTAAAATTTTATATCTAATACATAGAAATTAAATGCATGATTTAGCAATATAAAAAAACTGTTGATATGTGAGTATGCAAAGAACAATGTTACACATTTGTGAAAAAAGAGAATACGATGAATGAATTAAGAGTCCCAAATCCTGGCTTAAGCCCCAGATTTACAAGAGATTCACTGAATGACCTTGACCTAATCATTTGTCTCCTGGGTCTCAGTTGTCCCAGCTGTTGAAAGAAAAATGTAGGTAGGTCAGTGCTTTCCAAGCTTTAGCCACCCATAAAACCCTTACAACTATTGCCATATCCATGTGTATATTCACCCTATATAATAATATCCTTGAAATCATGCTTTTCTTGTACTATTCAACATTTTTTGTAATGCATACAAAAATAAATGTTTGCCTATTTATAATTTTTAAAGTTAAAAAATAATTATTTCATGTACAGTCTAGAATCATACTGTGTACTCTGTGAAACATTAGAATAGGTGATCACTGAGATCCCTTACAATTTGCAGGCTTAGTCATGCTGTATCTGAAAAAAAAAGAAAGAATGAAATTATAATATGGAGATAAACAACCTTTAGCCTTGCAATGTCTGCATGATTTTTCTCATTTTCAGTTAAAGGAGCCAACACCAAGCATATTGTTATCTTCCAATTTGGAAGATTCTATCGAATCTCAAAGTGAATGCTTTGGCCAGCCTATAAAAGAGACTATTAGCTACAGTGAGAAAATTGAAAATCCAAACCACAAGACTGCCAAGAGCACTGAGTTAGGCCCATCAGTCCAAATGAAGGACAAGATAGCATGACTTAGGTTCAATCTGGAAAAGAGTCCAGGTATATGTGATAGAAAAGGGTAGGAATTTTCATAGTAAGAAGTAAGGAAGATGTAATGTGAGGGCAAGGGAAAAACAAAATGTTTCTTCATTTGCATTCTCTCAGTCACTTTTTCTCAATTGTCATCTTTGTCACATAAAATTTACTGTCTCAACTGAATCAGAACATCCTAGTAGGTTGTTAATGACCTTCATAAATCAGGTAAATTAGTTATTTTTTTCTTACTATTTTTTCTTCTTCAATAGTTGTGTGATCAATTTATGTTGCCTCTCATCCAAGGAAGAAAGTAAGGCCTTGCCTTCTCTTTGCAGAGAAAAGGAAGGCAGAGAGCTCAGCCCACTTAACACCTTCCTTTGTCCAGGTTGAGAACTATCCACAGCACCACGGGAGCCAGAAAAGAAATGAGTCTTTCCTTCGAGAGTGAGCCTTAGGCTGTCTTCTTGTGTGACATGCAAAGCTCAGCACTTTGAAATGTTTAAGGAGAAGGGAAGAAGGAAGGATTCTTTTCTGTCCTATCTTCCTGGTTTAATGAAGGGGTTTCAGGCTCCTTGTTTCCTTAGAGTCTGTGTTCAGGAGCATTGTTGAGGACCCATGGGTCTCTATGAGTTACCTTTTTAGAGCTTTTGGAATACTTTAATTACTTATGGCATGGAAAATGTCAGTCTCTATACCAGTGTCGTAGAAAATCCAGGGAAAAGCTAAACTCACAACTGGATCCCAGGAAAGAAGCCTTCACAGTTTTGTTCTTTCTGCTCAGCTTCCTCTTCTGCCACTGCAGTGAGGGCTTGTTCTTCCCCTCTAGAGAATTGTTCTTATTCTTGAATATAAAATTTGCTAATAACAGCTCACAGATTATTAGTTTGAAAGATGCTCTGAAGACTTATGAGTGTATTTTCCTGGTAGTTTTTTTCCTAAAATTAGTCACCCCAAATCCTCTGATAGTATATGTAAGGAATAATATGCATATCCTAGACTAACAAGAGACTTCAAGCATTTTCCATATGTGGGGGTGCCCAACATTTTTGTGAGAGGTACGTTTTAGTTTCCCAACGCCTTGAGGTACCCATGTGAGTATAACTCCAAAGTGCACATTGGTGATGTTGGACTTGTACATCTCAGAGGGGCTCCACATCACCTCTGTCTGCCTCCACCAGAAACATTCATGAGCCCCCAAGGAGGAGAATTCATCTACTGACTGTGGATGCCTGTCATATTTCACTCAGTTACCTTTAGACCAGGGGCAGTTGATGTCTTTGTTTTGTAAATGAGGAAACTGAGTCACAGAGCAAGGAGAGAAGCCTTCCTAAAACTCAAACCTCTTGCACTTTGTAAGCCTCATGGCTCCCTCTGTCCTAGTACTCACCCTACCATAAGACCGTGAACCTATCATTAGGATTTAAGTAGACATATTAAATTCCATATAACTCAAGGAACAAAAGGCTTCAACTAGGGAGGGAATAACATAAGAAAGATAACGTAATTGCTATAACTGCCATTTTTCAAGTAGGCCTTGCTGTTCCAAGATTTTCCATATTTATGAAGTCTAAAATGTCCTTCTCCCTGTTGCTTGTCAAACTCCTGTCCATCCTTCAGGACCCAACTCAAGTGCTATTTTTCTCAGTGAAGCTTCTATTGGCTTGCACCTGTGCTTCCACTGCCCTCCTTGGTATATCTACTGTAGCAGCTATGATAGTGCATTCTGATCACCTGTTGATACACTTGGGAGCCCCCTAATACTTAGAATGTTCAAATTTTGTCCTCACTCGAGTCATACAACAGACTCAAGATATTGAGAAATATAATTCCACACTGATGAGCATTTTCAACTCATAGTAATCTAGCTGGAGTAGGAAGCAGATTGTGCAAACATGCACAGTTAGAAAACCAAATTACACACCACTTGGGATTTGTAAAGAGAATCGTTGTCAATCACTGCCCTCCTTCTCAAACGATATGATAATAAATACATCCACAGCCCAGAAGTGCTAGGGGAATATAATGCAGAATGTACAACTGACATTAATTAGGAAAGGATGTAGTGTGCAGGAATTTTACACCTGAAAATGATTGTAGAGGCCACTTCCACCTTTTTTACAGGAAGACATCTACACTGTTTAATAACTGAACACAAACAGCAGGTTCCATTTTCTACCTGTGAATACTAATGAGTCACATCATTATTTTCAAATCACTGCACAGAGCGATTTACAGGGCATATTTTCTTTCTAGCCCAGGTTTGACAGGCATGAACCTGCAGCCTTAGGAAAGAGCAGCCTACCTTTACCAAAGTGTTGCCGTGTATGAAATCACAGAAGTAGGCGAACAGAATTCCTGAAAAAGGGATAAAGGATTTATGTGCTTTCAGAGAAGCAATGCAATGTGACTTGAGGTAACAAGCCTAAGTTATGAGTGGGCATGATCGATGTCACCCCTGATGGACGACTGCCCTGAGACCTTTAAGAAACACAGCAGGGCGATGAGAAACACCATAGAGGCAGAGCACCAAAGTGAAAGATGTAGCTTTCCCCGCTCCAGGCTATCAGCATTAGGTCCTGCTGTGCTAATGTTAAGACCATAAAACCCAGGGTCTAACCACTGTGGGGAAGATGGTTTTCAGCAGTCATCACTCATATGTAGGTAATTACCTTTCTTCTCCTTTCATTGTCCTGCTGCTTCTGCAGAAGCTCAGGGTGGAGGCAGGTCACATACTTACCATTGTGATGTACTGTGTTGTCCACTCTCACTCCTCTGCACTGTCAAAGGCCACCTCCACTGTTCCAGATGAAAAATCTCTCTATAATCATGGAAACTGGCAAAGCAATATAATCATTAGCCAGCATGTAATCTTAAACAAATAAGCTTGATGACATGCATAGTCACAAAAATTGTGGGCTCGGTTAGTTTACAATATAAGAAGCTATCCTGCTATGTTTCTTTAAAAGGCGCCTAAGATCATTTTAAAACAGCATTTCAAAGAGTTTTCAAAAACAAGTAGGCTGCCAGTATCTTTTTGGAGACTACTGTGAATACAGCACAGTATAGTGGAAAGAATTTAGAGTCAACAACCCTAGCTCAGCCCCTCATTAAACTCATGACTTTGGATCAAGTTATTAATGACAGGCTCTGGTTTTCTCATTTGTAAACCAGAAGTAGCAATATCTATTTTCTAGGGCTGTTGTGAAGGTAGTACACATAGTTTTTGGCACAAGTTTGACACTAAATAAATAGTGGCTTTTAACATTATTGGTAGTATAATTACCTCCCATTTCTTTCCCCAAAATCTGTGCCTACATGTAACAAACTATGTCCTCTTACACCTCAGTTATAGCTGAGTATCTTTGTAAAAAAAAATTGAGAATTGTCCGAAACATAAATTTTAGTCAAATCTTTATAATAATACCAAATTTCATAATGCTGGATTTTCAACATTAAGGTACCATCCTACTTCCCTCACAAATTAGATGGTAAACAGATAAACCCATAGACCATAAGGTAGAAGACAGAAGGACAGAATCCCCCAACAGATCACTGGGAGACATAAAATAATTTTGCTGGTGCCGTCAAACAGAGAAACCAGATTAGGGAACTGAAGCAAAGCTATGCTGAAAAGGTTCTTGAACTTTTCTTATATTCTGATGTAAGCTATATAATAGACATTATATCCCAAATTAATGGAGTACCCACTACATGCCAGGAACCTTTCTAGACACGGGGGATAAAGTAATTAGCAGAATCAAGTTACTAAACTTATAAGCTTTTCTTTCCAATTGAGAAAATGGGATAACAAATATATAAATGCATACATGTGGGAATATAAGTACTACAGAGAAGTAAAGCAGGAAAATGGGGCAGGGAGTTTCCATTGTTGGGGGTGGGTGTTGCATATTTTTGTTTGTTTGTTTGAGATGAAGTCTCACTCTGTAGCTCAGGCTGAAGTGCAATGGCACAATCTCAGCTCACTGCAACCTCCACCTCCTGGGTTCAAGTGATTCTCCTGCCTCAGCCTCCCAATTAGCTGGGACTACAGGTACCCGCCACCACGCCCGGCTAATTTTTTGCATTTTTAATAGAGACGGGTTTTCACCGTGTTAGCCAGGATGGTCTCAATCTCCTGACCTTGTGATCCGCCCGCCTTGGCTTCCAAAAGTCCTGGGATTACAGGCATGAGCCACCACTGCCCTGCCCAGGTATTGCCTTTTAAGATGACTGTTAAAAGATCAGGGAAAGCCCCACTGGAAGGCGATACTTGAGTAGAGAGCTAAAGGAATGAGGGATGAGCCATGTGGATATCTGAGGGAAGAGGGTATCAGGCATAGGAAATAGCAAATGCCTTTGGAAAATGTTTAACAGAAGATAATCGTGCATTTTTAAAAATCCCTTTGGAGGCTATGTTGAAGGTAGATTTTATGTCAAGGGTTGAGATAAGGAAGCTAATCCAGAAGAGAGGGGATGGTGTCGTGGCCCAGGGTGAGAAAGGTGGTAAGAAATACAGAATCTGGATGAATTTTGAAAGAGAGTGTGTTAGTCCGTTTTCACGCTACTGATAAAGCCATACCCAAGACTGGGTAATTTATAAAGGAAAAGAGGTTTCATGGACTCATAGTTCCATGTGGCTGGGGAGGACTCACAATCATGGTGGAAGGTAAAAGGCACATTTTATATGGCAGCAGGCAAGAGAGAAAATGAAAGCCAAGCAAATGGGAAACCCCTTATAAAACCATCAGATCTCATGAGACTTATTCTCTACCACAAGAGCAGCATGGGGAAAACCGCCCCCATGGCTCAGTTATCTCCCACCAGGTCCCTCTCACAATACATGGGAATTAAAGGAGATACAATTCAAGATGAGATTTGGTTGGGGACACAGCAAAATCGTGTCAGAAAGCCACAAGGATTTTCTAATGGATTGAATGTGGGTGTGAGAAAGTCATGGATAATGATCAGGTATTAGGGCTCCTGTATCTAAAAAAGCACAGGCACCACTTACCGAGTTGTAGAAGACTGGAAAAGAAGTAGATTTGTGGAGAAGATAAGGCATTCCATTTTAGACATTTATGTTTGAGAGGCCTGTTAGACACCTAAGCAGGGCTGTTGAGTAGGCAGTTGGTATCTGAGTCTAGCGTTTAGCAGAAAGGTCTGCGATATGAATCTAGGTTTGGGAGTCATTCATTTATAGATGATATTTAAAGCTGTAGTACTGAATAAGATAACCTAAGGAGTGAATGGAGAATAGCAAGAGAAGTTCGAGGACTCAAACTTTGTTAAGCAGCCAAAGCAAAATAAAAAAAAAAAAAAGTATAATATAATTAAAACCTCCCTAAATCCTATGTGGTGTGGAAACGGTTCCAGAATTTCTGCATCCTGTGGGGCAGACATGGAGAGTAGTTGATGATGCTGACTGGTGATTCTGTAAGGGGAGGTAACTGCATTGGGAACAATGTGGTCCCCAGTTAAGAGCTATGACCAGGTACCAAGGAGATAGCCAGTCAAAGTGTAGCAGGATGAGCCACAGACAAAACTCCTCAGACACCTGGTTAAAGAAGGAAGGAGCTTTATTCAGCCAGGAACTTCAGTGGACTTGCATCTCAAAAGCCAAGCTCCCTGAGTGAGCAATTCCTGTCCCTTTTAAGGGCTTACAACTCTACAGGGGTCCATGTGAGAGGGTCGTGATTGACTGAGCAAGCAGGGGGTATGTGACTGGTAATCACTGCATGCACTGGTAATCAGAACGGAAGAGAACAGGACAGGGATTTTCACAGTGCTTTTCCATAGTGTCTGGAATCTACAGATTCATACAGACAACATAACTGGTTAGGTCAGGGATCGATCTTTAACTACCAGGCCCAGGACATGGTACTGGGCTGTCTGCCTGTGGATTT
The DNA here is from genome assembly GCF_000001405.40 of Homo sapiens. Lineage (NCBI taxonomy): Eukaryota > Metazoa > Chordata > Mammalia > Primates > Hominidae > Homo > Homo sapiens. Next base: position 103,578,730 of record NC_000011.10, on the reverse strand, counting down.
CACTTCTGCCTTTTAGTTTTTACTTCTACTTTATTTGGAGGCAGAAATTGGGCATAAGACAATATGAGGGGTGGTCTCCCTTATTCCCCCTCTTTGAGAACCTCACCCATTAGAGGGAGTTCTCACTTTCATCCTCACTACCCGTGTCTTCTTGCAAGACAGATTGATAGTGATTCATATAGTACACTTTTGCTGAAGTATTTTGATGGACTAAGGTAGTAACAAAACTTCTCATTACTTGAAGGAGCAAAGGCAGCACACAGGGAAGCAACAAGCAGGTTCCTATTACTATTATAATTCTTATTATAGGAGTTTTAAATCCTCCTAGTGCTGGAAACCATTTTTCAAACATGGACCTAGGATTAAACCCATGCCACACCTGCAAGGGCACATGTGCCAGCTTTGTTATATCTTTATATCTTCAACTACTTGCCCTTGGTCATCTATGTGCAGACAGCAATTGGTCAGGTTAAACTTTCCACAGACCTCTCCTTCAGCTGCTAGCAAGTAGTCTAGGTCTAGTCTATTTTATAGATAGCATTTCTCATCTGGGTTTCTTGCCGGGCTAAAACAGTTAAAGCTCTGACAGTTTTATTAGTGATTATTTCTAAGCTTGTAACCATATGATTCGGTTGAGTATATAAATAGGGGTTCGGTATCCCTATGAGCCATCCTGTGCCCAAGTGGCAGGCCCATAGTAATGTATGATTCTTTCAGGGCACCACTCGTCATCTTCCCAGTCGCCTATAGCTATGCTTCTCTTTTCTTGGGAAGCATAGACAGGGAAGCCTAGGAGCTCGCCTGTTTTTATGGGCAGTAGAAAAAAGGATGGTTTAATGGTGCCAGTAACAGAACTACCTGCCCATTGGTCAGGTAACTTGGCATAGGCTCTATGCCCACTTATCCTGTATAATCCAGTGGGGGCTGTCTAGTCCCCATGGGACTCCAGGTGGGTCCACACGGTTTGCAACTTTGGAAATTTACTAAACAGATTTCTTTCAGTGTGGTTTGAACTCCACCAGGTGGCTGTTTTTGTAGTACTATTATACAGTTTTTGCCCAATGCAGCTGAGTCTTCCCACAGGAAGGGTGAAGTCCTTCCTCACCCTTGCTATACAATATTGTCTAATAACTGAGGTTTTTCAGAACGCAGAAGTTGCCAGTCTTTAATCTTATTTTAAAAACGGGAGTCATAGGGGGCTCAGGTGGGTTATAGCACACATCAGGCTGGTCACTTCCTGGGCTACATACCTTATATGGCATTATACAAATAAGTTCCTTTTAGAGTCCTGGTACACTTATAATAACCATAAAATAATAGGACTGTAGCAACCTTTTGTCCTGCCTCAGTAACTTGATGTATATACTGGGAACAATCCTCAGTGTGCGGAAGGTCAGTTGAAGTCCTTACTGTACAAGTCCAAATTTTAAGGAAAATGAGTCCCGCAATGAGTTCCTCATGCTTTGGCTGTGCATGGACCAGTCAGCTTCCGGTGTGACTGAAGCAGGGCTTGTCGTCGTCTTCAGAGTCACTTTGCAAGGGTTGGCGAAGCTGCTCCCGTCCAAGTACAGCTCCCAGTCTACTGATGTTCAAGGATGGTCTCAGAGGGTGGGCCTGCTAGAATAAATTGAGTCTAACACCTCTACACAGTTATGTTCAACTGGGCTCTCTGATACCGGGAGCAAGGTTGTGGGATTCAGGGTGTTGCAAACTTCAATAGTTATGCGGGAGTTTTCACAGAGCAAGCTTTGGTATTTAGTTAGTCTAGCATTCGTTAGCCAATGATGTCCTTTGGTATTTATTAAAGTCAGCACAACATGGAGGGCCTTTATGTTTAGGTTTTGCCCAAGAGTTAGCTTATCCGCTTCTTGTGCTGGCAGGGCTGTTGCTGCCAAGGCCCTCAAACATTGGGGCCAACTCTTAGAAACCCTGTCTTGTTGTTTACAGAGGTAGGCCATCAGCCTTGGCCAGGGCCCCATGGTCTGGGTCAAAACTCTAACTGCCATTTTTTTTTTCTCTCTCTCTCTCTGATACATATAGTGTAAAAGGTTTTGTCAGGTCAGGTAGCCCCAGGGCTGGGGCCAACCTGAGTTTTTCTTTTATCTCATGAAAAGCTCGTTGCTGTTGGTTGTAATAGATGTAGTTTATCCAATCTACATTTTTATTAACTGTCACCTACCAAAATATTGACTCAAATCTTGCAGCTATTTGATTTCAGGCTTCAAATTGATCTGGTTTTCCCCATGGGACTTCAATTGTGTCTAAATAGACATGAGAGTCCAAAGACCCATAAGGGGCTTCACTTGCTTTATGATGTCTTATTTTTCCTCCCTCTGGTTGATGAAATGCCAGGGTGAAAGGGATAGCCAATCAGACTAAAGCAGAAGTGCCACTCCAGTTATTTGGCAGAGTGCCCAGTAAAGGTCCACCACAATACCACCACACATCCACTCGGGGATGAACAAGGGCTGACTGATTGATAAGCTCTTGAGAATTCTTAAGCTCACTGCATCCCTTCAGATCTCCAAGGAACACTAAGTTTCCTCCCTGTCATGAGAGACACGAAGTGAACTTAGTGTTGGAAGACGGAAGCTAGATGGCCCTCGGGGTCTGACCCTCAGGGTGCCGGACTTTGGGATATAGCAGAGAGAGCTTGGCATGACTTATTACTCCAGGCTGTAGAATCCTGGAAAAAAGCTACCATGCAGCCCACGCCTGGTCAACTGGAGGACCACCTTAGTGGAAAGGGGGACAATCTGGACCTCTTGCCTGCCATGTGCACAAGCATAACAATTGCTTTTGTTTAACATGTGGACAGAATATTTGATCCATTCCAACCAGGCATTTGCACCTTGGTATCCTGTCTTAATGGCCAAAGTTTCCCCTAAGTCTTTAACTTCTATAATCCTCTAGTAAAATGAATGTATGATTTTAGGAAATTACAAAAACCAGTTGGGGCAGTCCATCCTTGCTCTTTAGTGGTCCACAGAACGTTGGACTGACTATGGCATAAAAGCTCTACATCGGGGGGCAAGACTCCTGGTTGTCACTGGGGTCTTTATTGAAATCTCCCTGGATTAATGATCCCAATTTACTAATGCCCAGTCTGAGGAGAGTCAGGAGGGACACAGGTACTTTTCTGAAGTAGAGAGCTGTCTTGACTTGGCAAGTCCCCACAGGGTATAACAAGGCAAGCATTAAATGCAATAGTTTGAGATGAAATTGACTTGGTTATGTTAATAACTAGATGGTCAGCAATAGAGCGAGGAAAGAAGAAAGAGTAATAGAATAGATGAAAGAGTTAAACTTTTCTTAGCTTTAGTTTGGTAGGGTTTTCCCCTGGGACTGTGGCCCACAACTCTGGAGGGGGTGGCACTTTGACTCAGGTGTGATGAGTGCATCCCTTTTTCGCTGTACGAACAGCAGTCTTGGTGGTTAGCAGCACAAGGTAGGGTCCTTCTAGGCTGGCTCAAGTTTTCCTTCTTTCCACCCTTTGATGGGAAGGTGATCTTTAGGCTGGTGTTAGTTTACTGAAAATTCTAGGGGTGGTACCTGTGCTAAAAGACTTTTAGTTTTGAGGGGAAGGAAAGAGGAAGATAAACCAAGTATATAATTTCTAAGAAAACGACCTTTGGTTTTAAATGTGGGAGCATCAACAGTGGACTTTATAGTCTTTGGTGCCTTCTTACTGAGAAATTTCCTTTAGCACTTATTTTTATTAGTTTTTAGACCAAAGAAAGCCAAACACCATTTTATATTTAATAATGCTTCTTGTATGATTTTTACACCAGATAGGCTAAATTTTACCTTTATATTAGTGTGTTATTAATGTTAAACTTAATTTTAATAAAACCTTGTAGACATGTTTATCCAATTTTTAATGTCTGACATAAGGTAAGATTTTTGTAGACTCTTTTTAACCTTTTTTATAATTTTTGTTAAAGAGCAGGTTAGTGCTTTAAGAAAAACCTGTTGTGCTTTTATTTTAATGTCCAGTTCACAGAAAAACTGGATGATACTCCTTTAACTTTAGCCAATATGTTTACACACAGAATTTCCTTTACAATTATTGTTTTAAAACTTGCTTAAACCTTTAAAACAATTTTTTAACCTTTTAATATAGATAAAAATCCACTTTCTTATGCCTCCCTATAATCTTTTTACCAGAGGTATATTTTACTTTCCTTATACACCTTGCACATAAACTGTTTCAATTGTTTTACATTCAGGAGGCCTAATTACTTTTAAATTATACAGCATTTCTTGCATAAATTCTTTTTTTATAACTTTTTTTCTCTTTCATGACTTTCGCAGACAATTCTACACTATGCCTCAATTTTCTATTGCAAACATTTCTTTCTTTAAACAACCAGTTAATTTATTTCAGAACAAGAATTTACCATATAACATTCTTTTTACATAAATTCTGCCCCCCAATTTTTTTTCCCTTTTTTTCTCCCTTTTTTTTGAAGGTGATAACCATTTTTTTCCAAAGCGAACTTCCTTTATATCGGTGAACTAGACTGTCTAAGGCCACAAGATTAGAAGTTACTATAATACATGTTACACTGTTAACTTTTAGCAAACTTTACTTTTGTTGAAAACCTTTTAAGTTTGAGATTTTAATTATCTGTTGCTATTAATAGATGTTGTTTAGTCCAAATTAACTTAGAATTGGTATAGATGGCTTTTTTTTTTTCCTTCAATTATGTGAGAGGAACCATCTATCGTCCTGTCCTGAAGGGAGTTCCTCCTAGGTCTGGTTGGACCTTTGTATGGTAATTAAGACTTAGATCCCCTATTAGGAAACCTGCCGGGTTAAGGGAATTTTCAGTGGTTAATGTTAAATCATCTTTTTTTTTTCTTAGGATACTTCTGAACTGGTGAGGTGTGCTCACAATGACGTTTCCTCTAAAAGTTATTTTTCTACTTTCTTCTGTTAGCAAAGCAGTTGCTGCTACAGATTGAATGCATTTGGGCCATCCGCAGGTTACTGGGTTAAGGATTTTTGATAGGAAGTCCTCGGTGCTTTCGGGATATGCCCTTGTTTAAATGACAACAAAGTGGTATTGGAGTGTTACAGAGAATACCTTTAATTATCTATTATAGGTTTTAAATTTACCTTGGCTTTTAAAGGAATAGGGTACACTGTGTTTTTATTTTCTTAACTACTTGTATATATCTCTTTCTCTTTCTCTCTGTCTTTGACTTTCCTTTTGCCTCTATCTCTTCCTGTCTCTCTGCCTCTCTCTTTCTCTCTCTCTCTCCTTGACTCTCTCTTTGTCTCTCTGTCTCTTCCTCTCGCTTTCCCTCTTTTTCTCTATCTCTTTCCTCTCTCTCCTTTGGCTGGTCTTTCCTTGCCTCTGTCAGCAGCTTATGCTGCTGTTCTCTTAACCACTGTGGCGGGGGCCAGAGGTGGGGTGTCTAAAACCAGCTGTAACCAAGTGTCTATGTATGGGAACTGGTCTGGGTGCCTGGCTTACAGGTTACCTTGTGCCATACCTTTGAAACAAGGGACCTTTCCAGGCTTCCTTCTGATGGGCCAACCCACCTCAAATGCTGGCCAGTCTATTTCACACAAAGTTCTAAGTTTCCTGGTGTCATAGTAACACCGTAATTTCCCTTAAATCCTTTCTTGAAATTTTTCAACATAGTTCCTAGTGGGGTGGGCTTACTTTGTGCCTGACCCACGCTTCCTTGAGACAAAACACCACGCTCACAGCACACGCACACCACAAAACAAAGAATGGGTAAAAAGGGCATACACACACTTTTACAGTTTATACCAAACCAGAATCAAAACCAAAATCAGAGTATCAAGATATCCAAGCCAGGTCAAAACCAAAACCAAAGTATCAAGCAATCCAAATCAAGTCAAAAACAAAAACCAAAATGCCGGTGCAGGCACGCCTTTCCACTCAAATGGAGTGGGCAAGTTCCAAAGACCAGTCTTACCAAGTTTCAGATATCCAGACTCCAAGAGCTAGTTCCTTCCCAGCATTCAGCCACTGCACTGATCCTCCATGGGGGCCTGCCACATGCTGCTTTGGCGAGGCATCCCACAGGGCAATTGCCTACCTGGGAGTGCTGTCAGGATCCATGTCACTCAGGCTGGTTGGAGTCCCCTGCAAGGATGCTCCATGGGGCAGGCCTAAGTCACCTAAGGGGCTGCCTCGACTGTCTGCCAATCACCTCACTTCCAAGTCAGGGAACCAGGGAACCAAGAAATGTAGCAGGATGAGCCACAGACAAAACTCCTCAGACACTAGGTTAAAGAAGGAAGGAGCTTTATTTGGCCAGGAACTTTGGCAGACTTGCATCTCAAAAGCCAAGCTCCCTGAGTGAGCAATTCCTGTCCTTTTTAAGGGCTTACGACTCTAAGGGGGTCTGCATGAGAGGGTCATGATTGACTGAGCAAGCAGGGGATATGTGACTGGGGGCTGCATGCACGGGTAATCAGAATGGAGCAAAACAGGACAGGGATTTTCACAATGTTTTTCCATACAATGTCTGGAATCTATAGATAACATAACCGGTTAGGTCAGGGGTCGATCTTTAACTACCAGGCCCAGGCATGGAGCCAGGCTGTCTGCCTGTGGATTTCATTTCTGCCTTTTAGTTTTTACTTCTTCTTTCTTTGGAGGCAGAAATTGGGCATAAGACAATATAAGGGGTGGTCTCCTCCCTTAAAAGCAAGGGTCAAGGTCAAGGACTGAATCCTAAGGCTCTGACTCCACCAGGATTTAATGGAACCAAGAAAGAAAATCTCCCAATGTCATAAACAACAGACTGAGCCATTAGGTACCAACAGGAAACCCACTGACCAGAGGAAAAGTGGCATTGCCTGGGTCTAGAAGATACAAGAAGATGCTCAAAAAACATGGACACATAGCTGAGGGGCTGTTCCTCTTCCCTGCTGCCATGAGGTCACATAAGCCTCTTCCCTATATTCTTGGATTGATATTGGAGAGAATCAGAAATGCACGAAGCATAAAAACAAAGACTTATCCAAGAGACTAAACTATACATCAGATGGTCTTTAAATTATAGGATTCAACTGAGTTTACTGAATTGGACTAATTGTAGTGTCCTCTTCCCATGCTACCCAATAAAGAGGGGACTTCTTAAGATGATTAGGTAAATTATGAAAAATACATAAGCTGTGCTTTCTTTGCATATCTGAAAGTGGTAGGTAAATTTACAATCTGAGAAATTTATAAAAGCACGTTGTCAACTGTGAAGTGTTTAGTCTGAGAAACATAGGAGGGTAGGGATATCTGGGCAAACCCCAAAAGTGTCAGGAAATTGGAACCCAGAACACATATTTAAAAGTTGCTATGAGATACTGATTAGATAAAACTACTAACATGTAATTAGACTTCAGTGCCTGGCAAGATAATGGAACTGACAAGGAAAGAGTAAATATCTTGGGAAATTAATGGAGTCACATCAAATATTATACATTAATTATATGATGTGCTTAAGGCTATTTTTTAAGACTCAGAAGCTAATTTACAGGCATCTCCTCAATTCCATGAGTCTTTCTGAATCATCTTGACACTGTGTGACAGCACGTCTCCTAGCATTCCCAAATGGTAGGAAAGAGATACGTCAAATGTGTGGGTTATCTGACCAATGGAGCCATGGATCCAAAGGTGGTAGAGTTATCGTGGTCACTCTCTTCCTGTTAGCCTTACTCCCTAATGGGTGTTATTCCTGAGTACACTCCCCAGTAACCCACTAGAAAACAAATCTTCATCTCGGAGTCTGTTTTCTGGGGAACCCAACCATATGGAAGATGATTGATGATCTTTTGACTTTAAAAGATCTACCCAATTGTTTCTCCCCTAACTTCATCTTCTATTCACTTAGATTCTATGCAGGATTGGACTCCCACTAGGACAATAAATACCTTTCTATTCAGTGCTTAATCTTTGGTCTCTGTGATGGTTAATTTTATGTGTCAACTTGACAGGACTAAGGGATGTCCAGACAGCTGGTAAAACATTTGTTCCTGGAAGAGATTAGCATTTAAATCAGTAAACTAAGTAAAAAAGATCTGCCCTCACCAATGGAGGTGTGGGCATCATTCAATCTTTTGAGGGCCTAGAAAGAACAAAAAGGCAGAAGAAGGGCAAATTCTCTTCTTGAGCTGAAACATTCGTCTTCTCCTTGCACTCAAATATTAGAGCTCCTGTTTCTCAGTCCTTTAGACTCCAGGACTTACACCAGCCCTCACTCCAGGTTCTCAGGCCTTTGGGCCTCTGAGCGGGAGTTATACCATAGGCTCTTCCATTTCTCAGTCCTTTCAACTACAGACTGAATTACACCACCAGCTTTTCTAGTTCTCCAGATTGCAAATGGCATGCAGTGGGACTTCTTGGCCTCCAGTATACATATCCTGTTCTATTCCTCTAGAGAATCCTGAATAATACAGTTTCTTAATCTTTGTGTCACCTTCCAAATTCTTCAGGGAAATAAAGAATCTAACTGGTCTACTATTTCCAGTTGTTTTTACTTCTACCACTTTCACATGTTGTTGCTGGTAAAACTCAGTCATGAAATTTTAGTAATTCCATACCTGTCCACAGCTAGGCTCTTGCTGGCTCTCTCCACTTTAGCTATTTAGTTTACATTTACATGTTCAGATCCATTTCTCAAAGGCAGCCACTGTACTAGAATGGCTAGGCCCAAAGTGCTCTTAGGTACAGTCACCAAATGTCAAAACCAAGTCTCCTGTGATCGCAGTATCAGCCAAGATGCCAAGGCCAAATTTAGCCCTAGTGCCCTGAAGAATTTTCTTGTAGGACTCGTTTTTCTGCTGTTGAATCTCATCAGCAGCGTCTACACTTTACAGAGAGTTTCTTTTAACATTAAATTTCAAATATTTTTAAAGTAAAAGAAGTTTGGGATCTTAAATGCATTTCTCAGAAAACTTCCAGGAAGTTTCAAGGACCTATATCAGTTTGCCTATTCCCTACCCAAGAATTTAGTAAGAGTATTAGAAAGAAGAGCCTATTTATCTTATATTTGCATAACGAAGAGGACCCTGCTTATGACTCTAGAAACAGTACCCAAAAGATGAGGTTGGCAACTTTTGAATGAAACCTTCTTTATTTAAAAACAATTGTAAAGTCCACCAAACCAACCAGCCCATTATATCACTAAAGACTTAATTCTGACTAATAACCAAAGCTTTAAACGTCAAATAATTCATTACTTGATCCACTGCTTATGCTTAATTTTAATTTTTAATTTGTTTAAGTCATGCTCTAAGTCTTCTTTGGGAGTTTCCAGTAGAAATATGGGCTGAATTTCTTTCCTGTGGTGAAATATTAAAGATTTACAGAATATAAACACAATTTAACTGAGTAATATACACTAATGGCCTAAAATAAACTCATAATCTCTTCTGCTAACAAACAATTAACTTGTTTGTTTGACTTGTACATAACAGTTGGTTCATGAATATGTTTATTATGGTTCCCTCTAGCAGATATTAACCTATCCCTGGACTTTGCCTGAGTTTTTGGATTAAATCATTAATCCAAACATTAAGAATGATAAATAGGGATGTTTGAGGTCGTAGATTGAAGACTTTGATCCATCTTGAGTTGATTTTTTAATAAAGTGAGATATGAGGATGCAGTTTTATTCCTCTACATGTGGCTTGCCAATTATCCCAGCACCATTTGTTGAATAGGGCATCCTTTCCCCACTTTGTTTTTGTTTGCTTTGTTGAAGATTAGTTTGTAAGTATTTGGTTTTATTTTTGGGTTTTCTATTCTGTCTATGAGCCTATTTTTATAGCAATGCCACCTGAAACCATGACGATTCTATAAGATAACACTGAGAAAACCCTTCTAGACATTGGCTTAGGTAAAGACTTCATGACCAAGAAGCCAAAAGCAAATGCAAAAAAAACCAAAGATAAATAGATGGTACCTAATTGAACTAAAAAGCTTCTGCACAGCAAAAGAAATAATTAGCAGAGTTAACAGACATTCCACAGAGTGGGAGAAAATCTTCACAATCTATACATCTGACAAAGGACTAATACCCAGAATCTACAAAGGACTAATACCCAGAATCTACAAAGAACTCAAACAAATCAGCAAGAACAAAACAAACAATCCCATCAAAAAAGTGGGCTAAGGACATGAATAGACAATTCTCAAAAGAAGATATACAAATGGCCGACAAGCACATGGAAAAATGCTCAACATCATTAATGATGAGGGAAATGCAAATCAAAATCACAATGTGATACCACCTGCAACAATGGCCATAATCAAAAAATAAAAAAATAGATGTTGGCGCAGATACAATCAAAAGGGAACACTTTTACACTCTTGGTTGAAATGTAAACTAGTCAACCACTATGGAAAACCATGTAGATATTCCTTAAAGGACTAAAAGTAGATTCACCGTTTGATCCAGCAAACCCACTACTAGGTATTTACCCAGAGGAAAATAAGTCATTATATGAAAAAGATACGTGCACAGGCATGTTTATAGCAGCAAAATTTGCGGTTGCAGAAATATGGAACAAGCCCAAATGCCCATCAATCAGCAAGTGGATAAAAAATGTGATATATATATATATATATATATATATATATATATCACATTTATATATATATATATACACACACACACATACACACACACCATCGAATACTACTCAGCCATAAAAAGGAATGAAATAATGACATTTGCAGCAACCTGGATGGAATTGAAGACTATTATTCTAAGTGAAGTAATTCAGGAATGGAAAACCAAACATCGTATGTTCTCACTCAAATGTGGGAGCTAAGCTATGAGGACACAGAGGCATAAGGATAATACATTGGACTTTGGGGACTCAGGGAAAGGGTAGGGGGTGGTGAGGGATAAAAGACTACACACTGCATACAGTGTACACTGCTCGGGTGATGGGTGCGCTAAAATCTCAGAAATCACCATTAAAGAACTTACTCATGTAAGCAAACACCACCTGTTCCCCAAAAACCTATTGAAATAAAAAAATTTTTAAAATGCATTAAGAAGACATCCAGGTTTACATTACTCATTGCCATCTGATCTATTGCCATTTCACTCACCAGAGAACTTGGCACAATAGTGAAAAAAGGATGTTGTTGTAAAAGTTTCACCATGAAGGTAGACATATATATATATACACATTTTCACAGGTGCACATGCATGCACACACACACACACCCCTATAAATAGACTCTTAATTGGGAAAAACAAATCAAATAGATGATCAACATATGATGGGAGCATATCAGTTAGAGACTTAATTTGTGCTAGCTATGAGTACTTTGTGGCATAAACAAGTAAAAGTTTATTCTTCCAAAAAAATGCAGTTTGAAGACAGACTGTTTATGGCTAATGTAGCAGTTCTACCAAGTCATCAGTGACCTAGGCTTTTTCTATTTTTTGTTCTACTGTGTATGGTTTTCTAGCCTCCACTTCATCTCATGTGATAGGGGCTAGAACATCATCCATTATATCCACATTCCAACCAGCAGGAAGAAGAGGGTTTTGCTTCCTTCTTTGAAAGGCATCTTCCCAAATATCCCACTCAACATTTCAATTTACATCTCATTAGCTAGAATATAATATCCCTAATTAGCCGCAAGGAAAGATGGAAAATATAGCTTGCCATTCAGGCACATTGCCCTGGATATCTGCTTTGTATCACTTTTAGTAATAAATATATATTATTATGGTTTATTATGTTATTTGTATTACTCATTTAATGCTCACAACAACCTTATATGATTATTTCTGTTTTTGCAGATGAAGACACTTAGGCATCAGACACAAAAAGATAAAGTAATGTCCCTAAGGTCTCACAGCTGATAAATGCTAGAAATTTGGATGTAGGGTTCTTACTTCCTTAAATGCCTAGGAAAGGCATTTAAGAAATGTTGCTTTATTCTTTGGCTAAAGAGAATTGTACTTCTTATTTAAAGACTATTTATTGAATATATATTACTGAACATTTATTATTTTCCATATTATGCATTTTCTGGGGAATGTATCAGTGAACAAGACAGATAAGGTCCCTGCCCACATACAGTTTACATTTCAAGGCCAGACAAAAAGAATAAAGAAACACATTAAGAGTGTATGGATCATGAACAGTGCTATAAATAAGTAATTAAGATGATTTGATATGAAGTATCAGAACAGGCTAGGAGATTATATTACAGTAACAAACAACCCCCTCCCCCTACCCAAAAGAAAGAGGTTTATTTCTCATGTTACTTGGACATTGTGGGTTAGCTTGGGAGCTCTGCTCATGTGGTCACCCAGCAACAGGCTGGGAGAGACGCTATCTCCAAACTCCACAATTACCTTGCCAAGAAGAAAGAGTGTCGAAGTTCTGGCAAGTAAATACTTCCACCTAGAAGCAATACATCAACACATACCACATCTGCCCACACTTCACATTAGTTATGTATGAGTTGAGGAGATGTGTTCCACGCAGAGGAAACACTAGTAGGAAAATGAGTTGGTCTGATGGAGAAGCAGCAATACATCCTCTATCTTGCAACTGGAGAGTCCGGCCCCTTACCCTTCACAGGCACCTCTTTAAGGTCACTGATGATACTCCTCACCCCACAATTGGATATGCTGATTAGGGTTTTGTTTGGGATATTTGTCTATAAACACAGAAATAATATCACCCAGTCTACCTTCCCCTCCTTACCATGAGGGCTTCTGATGATAGCCTATGAATTTGTCCAATAATATCTCTATAATATTGGCACTAATTGTCATTTTCTCTCCCTAAATCTACCCATGAGAAGCTGAAGAAGCAATTCATCACTCCATCAACTGGTTTTACTGAATCGAAGCACAGAGAATGTCCACAGTCACAGTGACTGTAGTGATTTTCTAAAGCTGCAATCTCAGTACAGTTTTACTTTGTTGTGTACAACCTTCATTATACTCATTACTCCATTCTGGAGAATATTTTATAATCACCACTTAAAGTTTTCATTGGCAGGATGTGTCTCTGTTCCTACTGCTCTTTTTTTTTTTATCCAGTAAGAGGGAAATGATTATCTCATTTCTTGGGGGACATAATTGGTCTATACCAATAATTTCACTTAATGGTTTCACTACCTGGTAGATTGTTGTATTTTTTTTTGAAAAACTGTGATAAAGTTTATGGAGCCATCCATCTTCTCTTGGTGGCTTTCCGCTCTTTGAGTCTCTAATGGTTTCCATTATTTCTTCCCTTGTGATATACCCCTCTAATTTTTCTTTATTGTTCTGTGGTTACTGGTGCATTGCTGTTTTTGTAAAGAAATTGTGAAACTTGCTATACCCTACAGGTTTTTGTTCTGATTTATAATCATTTTTATGAAATGTTACTAAAGCAGAATTAATTTTAAATTGGCTAATTTGAAGCATTTCAAGGCCCACATTCTAAAACTGGAATTGAAGACAAGTATTTCATTTAAACAAGTAGAAACAAATAGAACAATAATTTTCATGTTCCATTAATGAAATGCCAATGGATTCATTTTGTCCTAAAAAGAATCATTTTGGCTTTCGATATTCGCAGTATGACTCACTAGTTGATATTCCTGGCTCAGTGATATGGTTCCACCTGAATGAAATATTGCTATTTGCCCACCCAATAGTTATTCTCCACTTTTCTTACAGAACCCAATTACACTCTAGTGGACAATATGCCCATCTAGAAACTACATTTCCCAGCTCCCTTTGTTGCTAGAATAACCATGTAGCCCAGGTTTGTCCAAGGGAAATAAGTGGTAGTCACTGGACAAGACTTCTGGGAAACCTACTTAAAGAGTAAGCCCATTTAAGTGGGCTGTGTGATTCCCTTCTCTTGAGTATGGTCAGAACCTGGGACTTGCTCTAATAAAACAAACACAGCAAATATGACTCAATGTCTAAGATTACATGATTACATTATATACATTATAGAAGATTGAAAGAGGTGTTTTGGACCGGGCACAGTGGCTCACACCTGCTTTGGGAGGTCGAGGCAGGTGGATCACCTGAGGTCAGGAGTTCAAGACCAGCCTGGCCAACATGGTAAAACCTCATCTGTACTAAAAATACAAAAATTTGCCAGGCATGGTACATCGTGGTGGGCACCTGTAATCCTAGCTACTTGGGAGGCTGAGGCAGGAGAATTGCTTGAACCTGGGAGGTGGAGTTTACAGTGAACTGAGATCATACCATGGTACTCCAGCCTGGGCAACAGAGCAAAACTCCATCTCCAAAAAAAAAAAAGGGCGGGGGGATATTTTGCTGGAATCTCTCTCTCCATTGCCTTTGAAGAAACAACTGCCCATGTTGAGGAATTTCAAGTGGCAAGGAAATACAGGCAACATCCAGGAGCTGAAGGTGGCCTCTAGCCAACAACCAGTAAGTGAAGCTCTCAGCCCTATAATCATAAGAAACTACCAAAAAACCTGAGTGAGTTTACAGGACTATCCAGCCTCAGTTGAGCCTCAGATGAAACTGCAGCCCCAAATGACATCTTGATTGCAACCTTGTATAATACTAACTTGAAGACCCAATTAAGCTATGCATTGATTCCTGACCTACAAAATCTGTGGGATAACTGCATATTGTTTTAAGTTGCTGAATTTGTAAATAATGTTAATATTATTACACAGTATTAGATATCTGAAAACCAATCTTACCTTCTTGAAATAAATCATACTTAATCATGGAGTATAATCTCTCTCTCTCTTTTTTTTTTTTTTTTTTTGAAACAGGGTCTCATTCTGTTGCCCAGGTTGGAGTGCAGTGATGTGATCTTGGCTCATCGCAACCTTTGCCTCCCAGGCTCAAGCAATCCTCCCACCTAAGCCTCCTGAGTAGCTGGGACTACAGGCATGCACCACAATGCCCAGCTAACTTTTGTATTTTTAGTAGAGATAGGGTTTCGCCATGTTACCCAGGCTCATTTGGAGCTCCTGGGCTCAAGCAATATGCCTGCCTCAGTGTCCCAAAGTGCTGGGATTGCAGGCATAAGCCACCTTGCCCGTCCTGAGTACAATGTTTTCACTATGTTTCTGGATTCAACTTACTAATATTTTGTTAAATATTTTTAACCTATATTTATCAGTGATATTGGTCTCTTGTGATGTCCTGTTTGGCTTTGTTATCAGGGTAACACTGGCCTTGGAGAATGAGTTGGGAAATTTTTCTTCTATTTTGAGAAGAGTTTGTGAAAGCACTGGTATGATTTATTCTTTTATTTTTTCCAGAATAAATGGGATAGTCTATATTGGAAGCAAAATTCTGGTAACTTTTTTTGGAACTATCTGTATCTTCAAAAAATATCGTGATTCAGTCTATGTTGGGTATGATATCTAATAAGTTTGCAACCTATTTATTAAATGGGGCATTTGGGGAAGCATTTTGAACAGTATTATATAGAATATATTTTAGAAAAAGCTGATATATGTAATATGTAATTATTAATTATATATAAAAACAATTACCAAGCATTAAATTATACTGTTATTCTCAGTAGTCCAGATTAGATCAAATGTAGCAAACTGTTCACCTACTCCCTCCCAACAAAAATGATTGTGATTTCAGGCCAGGCATGATGCCTCACGCCTGTAATCCCAGCACTTTGGGAGGCAAATCACTCGATGCCAGGAGTTCGAGACTAGCCTGGCCAACATGGTAAAAGCCCATCTCAACTAAAAATACAAAAATTAGCTAGGCATGGTGAAATGCGCCTGTAATCCCAGCTGCTCCAGAGGCTGAGGCATGAGAATCACTTAAACCTAGGAGGCAGAGGTTGCAGTGAGCTGAGAAGGTGCCACTATACTCCAGCCTGGGCAACAGAGCCAGACTGTCTCAAAAAAAAAATTATTGTGGTTTGAAAAAATAATGTCTAGAACAATAACAATGAAACTAATTTGCAATTATAAACTCAAATGTAAACTCTAGGCATCATGGAATGCATTAGTCTTACATCTTAATTTCTCAGTGAAGGAAAGAAGGAAATTTATAAGTTTACATGGCAAAGGTACATTCTGACTGGTGCCTAGTACAATGACTAAAAACTAGGAAGTTGCATAGTCTAAAAGTTAAATTATTCCTTCATATTTGTTTTAAGATTCCTGAATTCCAAGGGGGAAATAGAACTCAATTTCAAAAATAAACTTTACAGTCAAAAGGAAATCAGGTAAGCCTTTCCCTTGTGTAGAAAAAGCTATTTCTAAGTTACAGTGAAATTAATCAGCTTGTTAAAGAGCATCATTAAAAGTCAATGTGGGATATTTGTTGCTAAAATATCGAAGGATATCTCCTATATGTGAGATCCCTGACCTCAAACATCTACCTTATTGGAAAGTTGCAAGAATAAACTCAAATAAGTTGTGGTAAATATTTTATGCGCCAGAGGTATTCAGGGAGGAGAATAAGAACATTTAGCTGGAATGAATAGGAAAAGCTTCCCAGCAGAGATAACATTTGAACTGGACTTTGAGTCATGGCATCAAAGAATCAGAGAATCTTAGGTTTGGGGATCCAGTGGTAGCAAACTGAGATCCCAGACAGGTAGCATAGGATAAAAGCTGTGAGCTAGAGCCTAAATGGGTGGGAATATTGGGACTGTGGTAAACTATAGGCTACTTGATCTGTTTAAAAGAAACAATCTATTTTTAGCATCACCAATTGTTGCCAAAAGGGAATGCAGTGCTACCATATTTTCATATTTTTCCCTGAGAAAAAAGAAATTTCAGATGTTTATGGGAATCTATTGATTCATAAATGTTGATAACTAAATCCACCTGTGTTATGGCATCTCGTAGACTGTATTTGGCCACGAACTGCTGGTTTGCTACCTCCACTTTAAGATCATCTGCCTCGACTCTTGCATACTTCCCGCTTCAGAATCCTTGGATCGCCCCTGTGACTTTTTCACTAAGTGGCCACCCATCTTCTGCTTTAACTCCTCCTGTGATGGGAATCTTAATGCCTGACAAGGCAAGTTGACCACTGAGACTTTTCTTCACATACTTGTCCCTAAAACTTGTCCTACTTCTTCCTATGTACTTGAATTCTTTCACATAGGGTGCTTAAGATATTTAAAAGCAGCCATTATGTTCCTCATAAGTTTTGTCTGGTACCTTTGATCTTTGCACAACTCTCTTTGTTTCAAGTTTCTCACCTTCTTGATTACACTCTTATCAGGATGGATTCAGTAATCTGTTTTCCTCAGTGTATAACTTCATTTAGTTCTGTTTTGGTAATGGCAATGAATTCATCAATTTAATATAGACTAATTCCCACAGAAATGTTGGTAGAATAGCAGTGGCATCCGTCTCTCTTCCCATAGTAGAATCTATATGAACCATTTTTAAATATTTTAAAAATATGACATTAAAACTAAAGATGAACAACATTAAGTGTTGCTAAGGATTTGGTGAAATTGGAATCATCATACATTGCTGGTGGGAATTTAGTCCTCAACCCAGGACTAAATGAAGTGATCTAGGTGAAGAAGGAATAATACCACCTTTCTTCTAGTTATTACAGGTTACACCAGTCAGGTATCAGTGTATAATACTAAATATTGTAAAACTAAAATCACCCTAGATATTTTAGATAGAAAGGACTTACATAATACAAAAACATTACAGATGATAAGGAATGGGTGACAGAGACACCACTGGGATTCATATTGGAGAAATGAGCACACTGTTTTCCAAAGCTACTGCATCATTGCACATTCCCACCAGCAAAGTATGAGGGTTCCAATTTCACTAAATCTTTAGTAACACTTGATGTTGTCCATCTTTAGTTTTGAATGTCATATTTTTACAATACTTAAATATGGTTCATGTAGATTCTATCATAGGAAGAGAGATGGATGCCACTGCTATTCCATCAATATTTCTTCGGGAATTCATCTATATTAAATTGATGAATTCATTGCCATTACCAAAACAACAGGAACTCGTTCTCTTTCAACTACAGAAAACTGCCTCATTCAAGGTTTTGCCCCATCCAAAGGGCATCTTGTGATCAAAAACTGGCTTTTTGCAGAGATACAAGGCTTAGTCCCCTAGCTTTAATTTGGGACAATTCTGTTGTCCTATAGGATTGTCTGAGGCCTCATTTGTGATAGCAGTGAAGGTTAGTTTGTCCCTCTGCCCAATTCTTTTCTCTTCATTTCCTAGCGATGTATGTCCTGAGAGCACTCTTTAATAAACCTGCACAATATTTTCCATCTTACAGTTTGTTTGCAAGAACCCAATCTAGCTTCTCTGGATCTTAGTCCCATGATACATTAAAATTGAGATAATAAACCCTTTCTTACAAAATCACTGAGGAGAAATTTGTCATTCCTCTGAACTCCTTTCCAGATTTAAGAAATCAGTAGGGAAAAAAAATGGTCTCCCCAGGTCAGAACTGAAAATGCTAGTTATTTCTCTAAACATCTGAGGGTAGAGCCAAAAGACATCAGCTCTCCAACGCCTTGCCATTCTCTCCGGACCTAGTGATGCAGCAGTAGTAGCAGTGGATGAAATTTCTTCGAGAAGAAATGGCGGTCACATTAATGATGCAAATGGCTGCTTTAAAGTTTATTTTTTAACATAGAAGTTGCCAGTGATATACTAAAACCTAGTATGGGGGCAGCAGTGTTCATTTTTCTCATTAGACCAGTTTGTGTGGTATAGGTATTGCTCTAGGTAGCACAGTCTTGGGCCTGATTCTCCAGCCCTCCAAATGTCTCTGTGGTCTATCTAAAGAGACAGACCTATTTTTACTTAGCTTCTTTTCTGATAAGTCAACTAGAGTTAGCAACTAACATGCTTTAGTTTGCATCTAAACACTAGATTGATACAGTGAGGATTAAATGGCATATAGTGTATAAAGCATGTTACCTAAAGTGTAAACTAAGCACATGGTAGGCACTCAACATACTACAAGTATTAGGATGTTAAGGTCTTTCTGGTGGGTGTGTAGTTTTTAAATCATGGCTTTGGTCATTGTGAGAAGTAATTGAGTTCATAAATGGAAAGCACTAGAACAGTGGCTTGCACATGATAATCACTCAGTACATGTTTATTATTAACGTTACCACTTTTTAATTATAGGATCTTCCCTATATGTTAAATTGTTAACTCAGGCTGGCAATGGGAATTTGGGGCTTGGACTGAACGAAATGGCTTTTTCTTAAGGTGTCAGAAGTGAGGTCAGAACCCAGCTTTTCTTGGGGAGACCTGATTCCCAAATGAGCCGTGAGCACTGTTCAATTGGTATTCTGGTGCCAAGTCCTACCATCAATCTCTATCCCATGTATCTGAAGCTAAGAGCTTTATAAAAAAGAAAATTAACCTTTCTGTTTACTCTCAAGCCATAAGCTCTAATGTCATCAGGTTCCATGGGAGAGATGCAGATGGTCTCAAAGCGTATTCACATCAGCATTTATCAGGAAACTTTATATGCTTTCTATACACTTAGTGTCACCAGAAAAATCTGGGAATTTTTAATGTTCTTTACTTACCACAAGAAAAACATATTTAAAATTATTTGCAGAAAAGTTTGTAAATCAAGCATTTGAAAGTTGTCTTTTTGATGGCTGGTATCCTAGATTTCATTCAGCAAAACTTTTCTGTTTCCCAGAAAATGCTTTACATTTATTTTTGTTTCATTAAGATCTGAATTTACATGGACACAGACTTTCCCAAGGTCAGGGCAACAATCTCCAACATGGGTCTTGATCAGAAGGCATGATTCATCAGTCTTCACTTTCAATTCTGTGAACAGGACAAAAAAAAGATTCAATTAAAGCAAAGAAAGAGAGCCTCTCCAAATTTAATCTGCTTGTTGTTGGCACTCAAACTGAGGATATGCAGAAGTGATTTTGAATGTGTTTACTCTGCTTAGAAGTGGAGGTTTTAATAATCAAATATGTTTTCAGAAATATTAATGTACTGAAATACAAAGTAACTAAATATTTCAATTATATTTTAAGTGTAAGATATTGCATATGCTTTGAATATGGTATGGTTATTTTCTCCAACCAAATTAATTTTGGAAATTACAAAATAATGGGACATTCTGCTCTGCTTTGTTTATTTGGGAAGCAACTGCCCCTGGGGCACACACAGGGCTTGCCCAGCAAATGGTGGTAAGGTCGTTTTATCAGGTGTTCAGTCATGTGAAACCTGTGATTGTCACTCATTGAAGGCACATTCCACAATAGCACTCTCAGTGCTAAAGCTAAAATTTGACCTCCATTTGTCCAATTCACAAGTATTAATTCAAAACTCTAATAAGGAGTAAAGAGAACAATTTTGTTTTATCCACAAATACTGACACCAAGGTCTCTTCTATCTTCTTTATTTTTTTCTTTCATTTATTTGAGACAGGGTCTTGTTCAAGCAATCCTCATGCCTCCTGAGTAGCTGGGACTACAGGTGTGCACCACCACACCCAGGTAATTTTTTGTGTTTGTGGAAAGGAGTCTCACTATGTTGCCCAGACTGGTCCCAAACTCCTGGCCTCAAGCGATTCTCTTTCCTCAGCCTCCCAAAGTGCTGGGATTATAGACATGAGCCACTGTGCAGTAATAAACTATCGCAATGATCCCTAACACTAGTCTTTGTGTTCACTAGATACACATTCTTACTTTTCATTCATCCTTAAACGTACTTTGTTTGAAAAGACCCCAATATTCTGCTACAATTGTTCTTCCAAAGTCACCAATGGCTTTAGAGTGGATAAAAATTAATATTTCATCCTTTTTCGCCCTTTCAGCCATTGGCCTCATTGACCACTCCTCCCTGTATTCTAAGCAGCCGCTCTCTGACAGTTCTGCTCCTGCCTCCTGAAATGCCTTTCTTCAATATCCTGATGATGTCCTTCTCTTATCCTGTAGATGTTGACAGTACCCAATTTCCACCATCCACGTTTTCTCACTCTGCACACTGCCCCCCAGCCCCTGTCCCATTTTCATTTCCATTCAGATGGGAGTAGAACTACCCACCCAATCTCCATGATCGGATTGTTCTAAGAATCAAAGAAATAATGGTTTTGAAAGTGACTCAAATTAAGTAAAGCAATTTATGGACTATCATGTAAGGAACACAGATTCTTCATTCATATGCAGGTACTTTCGGTTATTTTTTTTCCCTGATGACAAGTGGAAGCATATTATTGAGGGAAGTGTCTGTGAGGGTTCAGATGCTTAGCTAGTCTATTTACATTGTGCATGGGCCTCTGAGGTAAATAAAAGCAGCCATCAATTTTATTTTCAATATTTTAGTATCTAAGGATTCTATCATTAGAGGTCAATTTGGGAGGCTGACGTAATATGAAAACATATAATTCTTAATAAAATATAACCCACTCCCTAAATATAGTACTGAGGTCACAACCAAAAAAATGAGAATTTGCAGGTACCAGAAGTGAAGAAGAAACTCAGAGCCAGAGAAGTAGCATAAAATCTGAGACACTAACAAAGGGTTTTGGCCTAAACAGCTCTAATGCCTACCCAAGTAGAGCCATGGAACTGAAATATCTGTGTCCAGCAATTCTATAGGGCTGGTCCATATGTGAAATGGATTTTAGAAGACTGCTATTTGCCAGCCTAGAAAGGAGCTCAGACACTTGCTATCAAATCAGGGCCCTGCTAGAGAAAATAATTACCCCTGAGATATTGTAAAATATATCTTTGGAAAGGTGAGCTTATGAATTTAGGCATTCTGCTTAGGCCTGACTTTCCCAGCATCAGTATACATGAATAGGAAGTCTGAATTAACAAGCCTGTTATGATACAAGATCAAAGCATGATCCAGGCCAGGTATAGTCTATAGACTCTGGGTTTGAGGCAAACCCAAAACATTTTGTGAGCACACGCCTACAAAGCCACAACTCCAGAGAAGATGATCAGTCTAAACAGAAGATCAAAGATTAAAATAAAAAGTTATGAAACAAAAATAAATGAACTATTATGATACAGGAATTTGTACCTCATAGGAAAGCAAAAACACTATTTCTCTACACTCTCAACAGAACATTTCTGAAACCAAATATGTGGGTTTTTCCCTCACATTAAGCAATTATCCAACTCTCTAGATGCCAACCGGGTGTCCCACAGCTGAACTCAATTCAGACACTGCCCAGAGTTAGGGGAGTCCCTTGGGGTTAAAGACTCAGTCCCATAAGGCTTCCCTCACTTCAGATGGCAATCCCAACTCCCAGGATTCCACCTGTACTTTGAATGACTGCCTGTAATTCAGGGGTTCCCTCAACCCCTTCTCAGGTTTAATAATTTGCTAGAACAGCTCACAGAACTCAGAAAATCACATATTTACCAGTTTATTATCCAGGATACAACTCAGGAAAAGCCACGTGGAAGAGAAGAGTAGGTCAAGGTATAAGGGGGTGGATCCTCCATGCCCTCTGTGGGCATGCTACCCTCCCAGCACCTTGATACGTTCATCAACTCAAAGGCTCTCCTAATACTGTTGTTTAGAATTTTTATGGAGGTTTTATTATGTAGTCATGATTGATTACATCACCGCCCTTGCTAATTAGGTCAATCTTTATCACCTCTCCCTTCCCGGAAGGTCAGGGAATGGGGCTTAAATTTCCAACCCTCTAATCACATCGTTGGTACCTCAGTTCCTATCCTCCAAGATAGCATAAACCCCAGTGTGGTTGAAAGGGGCTTATTATAAATAACAAAAAATGCTTCTGTCACCCCAATCACTCAGGAAATTCCAAGAGTTTTAGGAGCTCTGTGCCAGGAACTGGAGATGAAGACTAAGTATATATTTCTTATTACATTGCAATATCACAACAAGACTTGAAGATAGTAAAACTATGTGAAAGAGACTAAAATATAAATACTTGAAATGTCCTAACAGACAAAGGGAGAAATAAAAAAATAGGAGAAGGCAGTATTAAAAAAATAACAAAAGAGAAGTTTTATAAATCAAAAATAACAACCCTCAAGTAGTAATTACAGTGATACCATTCAAGAGAATTAAAGAAGAATATGAGTCCAGCATAAGATAAAGATGGAAAAGATGAAAGAAGAGTTAAAAAATTGAGAAAATGTAAGGAAAAGGTATGTGTAGCTGTACTTATATTCATATGCACACATACACACACCCACTCCCCCCTCCAACACACAAAAGCACATACATGTATATATTGGAGTAACTGAAGAAGAAAATAGAGAAAATGAGACCTAGCTGATACCATTCAGGACATAGGCATGGGCAAAGATTTCATGACAAAGATGTCAAAAGCAATTGCAACAAAAGCAAAAATTGACAAATGAGACCCGATTAAACTAAAGAGCTTCTGCACAGCAGAAGAAACTATCAACAGAGTAAACAGACCACCTATAGAATGAGAGAAAATGTTTGCAAACAATGCATCTAATAAAGGACTAATATCTAGCATCTATTAGGTTGGTGCAGAAATGATTGCAGTTTTTGCCATTAGAAGTAATTACTTTTTTCAAAAAACACAGTTTTGCACCAACCTAATACAAAGAACTTAAATTTAAAAGAAAAACCATTTTAAAAGGGGGCAACAGACATGAACACTTTTCAAAAGAAAACATACATGACATGCAGCCAACAATCACATGAAAATAAGTTCAAGATCACTGATGATTAGAGAAATGCAAATCAAAACCACAATGAGATACCATCTCACGCTAGTCAGAATAGCTGTTATTAAAAAGTCAAAAAATAACAGTTGCTGGTGAGGTTGCAGAGAAAAAGGAACACTTATACACTGTTGGTAGGAGTGTAAATTAGCCCGCCCATTGTGGAAGACAGTGTGATGATTCCTCAAAGACCTAAAGACAGAAATACCATTCAACCAAGCAATTCCATTACTGGGTATATACCCAAAGGAATAGAAGTCATTCTACTATAAAGGCACACACACCCATATGTTCATTGCAGCACTATTCACAATAGCAAAAACATGGAATCAACCTAAGTGCCCATCAGTGGTAGACTGGATAAAGAAAATGTGGTACATACACCACGGAAGACTATGCAGCCATAAAAAAAACCTGAGATCATGTCTTTTGCAGAAACATAGATGGAGCTAGAGGCCATTATCCTTAGCAAACTAACACAGGACCAGAAAACCAAATACCGCATATTCTCACTTATAAGTAGGAGCTAAATGATGAGAACACAAGGAAACTTAGAGGGAAACAACACACACTGAGACCTATCGGATGTAGAGGGTGGGATGAGAGAGAGGTTCAGGAAAAATAACTAATGGGTGATGAAATAATCTACACAACAAACCCCCATGACACAAGTTTACCTATGTAACAAACCTGCACATATACCCTTGAACTTAAAGTAGAAGTTAAAAAAAAATAGAGACAATGAAACAAGGGTGATATTCTAAGACATAAGTTCATAAAAACTTCTAAAATTAATGGGAAAACATGAATACTTAAAGGAACATGCAAAGACTTGAGCAGAAAAAAATTAACCTATATCTGAACATATGATAGTGAAACAATAAACACTCAAACTAATAAAGGCTACTAGATAGAATTGTAACTGAGTAGCCCATTTAAAATCCTTTTCTTTTCCTTCCTGTTTTGTTCTTAATAATGTAATAACCTTTGCTCCTGTCTTTCCACCAGTCACTCCCTTGCACACTGTTTCTTTTTTATCTAATTATGTGATTGCTTAGAAGTTCCAGCGACTAAATCTTGAAACAAACCAGTTGATTGTGGATTTCTCCCCTACCTGGAAATTACCTCAAGGCTAGAGTTAATTTACAACCCAGCCGTAACCAAGACTTTGCCAGCCCATTCACCAGATGGAACAAAAACTCAAGATGGTCATCAGAACAAGTCACATAGACCAGCACCTCCTTGCCACTCCTGCATGCCCCTCAAGCCAAGTTTTCCTTTCTAATCCTCTATACTCAGCCCAAAATTTGAAACGGTTTATTCAAGGTATGAGCCTGGCCATTTCCTCAATTGCTAGCTTTTGCAATTAAAGTCACGGTCCTTTCACTGCGTCTCATCTTTGTTCATTTGATTTTGCAAGCTGTGAGCAGCTGAGCTTGTATTCAGTTATAGAATGAGCCTCGGAATGATGATTGGTTATGCTAACAAAAAGAATGCAAATCAATGGATTACTGAAAACTACTTCTTCGTAGTTGGGGTTTATAATTATTTCTAATAAATGGGAAATTTAAAAGTAAATTAATACCTGAAATTTGACTGTAGGTATACTAATTGATAGCTGGATCTTGGCTTAATTGCAATCATACTGCCTATTTAGTAAAATTCTCTTTGGCCCTTAACCGTGTGCTGAAAGCTGAGAGGGCCACGTGGTCTTGTTTAAGCATCGTTTGGCAGCTTCTCTAAGCCATGCTCATCAGCACAATCCCTCTGTTTCAATTTAATTTGATCTTTGGCTTGAGCTTGCTGTGAAAGGTGAGACAATTCAGTATTTGGATTTAGAAGGAGGGATATTAAAATTTCCTCCAGGGACCACTGCTTGTCTGCTTTAGAGTTCAACACCCAATACAAGACTTTATCTGGTCTTTTCCCACAAAAACCTCTTTGATACTTAACACAAATGATCTGTTAATGGAAAAACCAGACTCAGTAAAATATTCTAAAGAGGTTTATGCTGGGCCAATATGAGTGCCCATGTCCTGGGGAGTGGTCTCAAGAGATCCTGAGAAAATGTGCCCGCAGCAGTCTGACTAAAGTTTAGTTTTATACATTTCAGGGAGACAAGAGTTACAGGCAAAGACATAAATCAATACATCAAAGGTTTACCTTGGTTTGGCCCAAAAAGATGGGATATCATGAAGCAGGGACTTACAGGTTACAGGTGGATTCAGAGATTCTTTAGTCTGCAATTAGTTAAAGAAGTAAAGCTCTGTCTAAAAATTTGGAGTCAGCAGAAGGAAAGGTTTTACCATAAGGAAGTCTATTAACCAACACACTGGGTCAGAGTGACCTGCAGGGGTGTGTTACTTAACCCTTGTCAGACATGGCCTTAGGTATTATTTATAATTTGGTATTTTATTGAGATAAATTCCGTGTTGTTAGTCTTATGATCTCTATTTTAACGTTAATACTGGTCAGTTGTGCCTAAACTCCAAAAGAGAGGGAGTGTAATAAGGTGTGTCCAAGCCCCCTTCCTGTCATAGCTGGGAATTCCATTTTTAAGGTTTTTCTGGGGTCCCCTTGGTCAAGACAGGGCACATTCAGTCAGTGGGGGCTTAGGATTTTATTGTTAGTTCACAAATCACTCTCTTCTCACAGTTTTCTTCTCCTTTGGCTTCCTTTCTCTTTCCAGCTGCTGCTTCTGTCTATTCTTTACTATTTCCTCTTCTGTCAGCATTCCCAGCTTTCCTCCTGGGCCTGCTTCCCCTCTCACGCCACACACACTCCCAAGCTGACATCATCTACTCCCACGGTGTCAACTATTCCCAAACCAGTGTCCCCAATTCAACTCTCTCCTGCGGGGTAGCCCAGAAAGCATGTCAAACCCAATGTACCTAAAAGAAACTCGTGGTCGCCTTTCCTTCAAGTGTTCTTTCTCTTTTCTCTACCCAAACTCCCTTTTAGGGAGAGGGCACCAGACTCCCTCTTGGAGTGTTATTGGGTTCCAAGAAGATCCAGCTGGAGCAGAGAATCCACCTAAAGTAAGGTGGGGTGGGAAGCACACCTAAGTTGCAGCCCTTAGGGAGGACTGAGAAACACTTCTCAGTCAGGCAGGTCTTAAGGCCTAGTCCATATGGCTGGAGAGAGCATCCGAATGAAGGCATACACTCAAGAGGACCTCCTGTTTGGAAAGAAGGGGGTTCGTTCCAGAGCAGGTTGGGGAAGAGTGAGGAGAGTCCATAGGTGTCTTAAATGGCCCTTAAATTTGCTTTTATTGGCCAGTGAATGGGTGATAATGAGGAAGATGTTTAGTGAAAATGGTAGAGTCTGAGAGAACACTCTTAGATTAGAAACTTCAGAATTGTTATTGACTTTTTTCTTCCCTTCAATCTAAGTGTCCAACTCTCTCTCTCACACACACATGCGTGCACACGAGCACACACACACACACACACACACACACACACACACACACTTTATCAACTGCCTTCAGGCCCTTCTTGACCATCCGGCCGTTGTCACCACTGATTTTCTAGTTTTGCTGATTCTATCCTTACCTCCTCTTATTTATCACCACACTGTTTCCAGAATATTATTTTGTAAATCACTACAGGATCCTGTCAACTCCATGGTTTAATCCTTTAGTAGCTCCACCTGTGAGCCATGTTATCTTGGTGGCACAGTAATGGGGTATCAGAAAGCAATTTATGGAAGTAAGCGTGGATGGGTAGGTGGAAAGAAAGATTATAGATTATATCCAAACTCCTTACCATAGCATATAAGAGCCTGCCTCATCTCCTTTGACAATCTCATCTCTTCTCTACCTTCCTCCTCCATGAAGGTCAACCACACAAAAATATTGTTTTCTCCTAAATTTGTCATGCTGGCTCAAAATAAATGTTGATTGAATGAAGATTGTTAAATAAATAGCTGCCTGGGCCTGAAGCCCCATGCCCCGACTATGAAAGATTTTTTTGCATATAAAAAATCTCCCCCAGAAAGTCTTCCTGTGAGCTGGTCTTACTCATCATGTCAGAATTATGGGTCCTGCTGTGTGATGCTGGGGCTGCAGGAGTAAGCCTCACTAGCAGCATGGTACAATTATTGTTGAGTGTGGTAGGAAATAGAGAAATACTACTTATTTTAGATGGAGAAATGATTATAATCAGAGGAGCTGTGGTTTCTAACTTCTCTTTGGGGTTTTGTCTAAAGATGTAAGGTTAGAGACTATGATATAGACCAGCTAAGGAAAGAACAGCTTTTGTTTATTTACTTTTGTTTATCTTTCCCTTTCTTTCTTTCTCCCTCTCCTTTCTTCCTTCCTTCCTTCCTTCCTTCTTTTCTTTTCCTAAGTTCTTATTTTGAAATTAGCAGACTAGAGAAAACATCTTTTTCTCATTTTTGAACTCCCGGATATTTTCATAGGACAGTGCACAGATAAAAATCCTTGAACACCCCACAGCTTTGCTCTCCACTTGCATATTGCCTCTTGGTCATTAGTATGTGGTACCAATTTTCTAATGTCATTTGTTATTCTTGGCCACAGCCAGCCCTCCCCCAAACCCTGCCTCCTTTGATGCACAGAATGCGGAGAGGCAAGTGATTTAATTATGTTCTCTTTTGAAAATCTGATTTGGGGAGTGACTTTTATGTTATCCCATAACATGACTATAAAGCAAACTTTAAAAATTAATGGGCTTAGGAGGACCCCATTCTCCCCATCATCAGAGTGGGTAGGTGGGATCAACAACAATGCAGGTGGCTGATGGTAGCTTTCCTAGGGCAGAAACAGACACCAAATAGTCCTCAGAGAGAAAAGAACCCTTTTTCTGTTTATCCTAAGTCACCATGAACCAGACAGGGAGTTTATACCTCAATAATTAACCTGGCTTATTTTCTTTCTAATCCATGACCCTTTTCTAGAAAAAAAAAAAAAATCACAGGAGTCACCTCCTTTCCATGAGTCCAACTGTCAGTCTCCTGCATCCCCAGGTCACACAGAGGAGGAGAAGGATTCTTGCATCCACCATCAAACTTTGCTACCAGTGAGGAGCATTCACCTATTCCCTCCTCCTTTCACCCTCACCTCTCAAGTCTCCTGGTAAAAACAATGACTCAGAGAAAGGACAAGTCATCTATCTGTGATGACATGGACCAGTGCTAGCAAATGTCTTATTTTCCCTAAAGGACAATTCTATATTCCTAAGGGAAGCCATGTTTCTAACAACTACCCAACCACCACCACCATCCTTCCCCAAACTATTTTCTGCTATTCTGTTTCCTGCTTCCCCTGACATCTTCTTCCCAGTTTCTTTTGCAGCAAAACATAAAAGAATACTTCACCTAATATTCATTGCCTTGGATTTTGCAATCAGAGTCTTCCTCTTATCTTTGGGAAATAAAGAAGGCAAAGAAGAGTGAATGGTTTATGTAAATTTTCTGGATAACTTGAAAAGCCCACACATTCTTAGTGTAAGTAAAGATGCAGAATATAAAATTCACATCAGAGAGATACTGAAGAACAGGGGGCTTAATGCTTCCCAGTATGGGCTTATATGTAGCTATGTATGGAGAAACAAGTGTTGTTTAATATAACTTCTCAGAGAGAGATACACTGGAACCCAGGGCTCATGGAGCAGTTGATAATGCTGGTGTAATTACTGATGAACAGAGTCCCATTGAGAGCAGTGGTAGGAAAAATGCTAATGTAATTGCTTTTTGAAACAATATCACCTAAGTAAAATCCCATATTTTAATTACAGTAATGCTTCCACCTCCAGACTCTAGGAATATAGCCAGATTATATGCTAAGATGAAGTATGCAATTCCTTCCATCCAGCTTAGAAAGCACTCTGGTTTCTGAAGTTTCCACAATTCTCTCAAAGTACATAGGTGACAAAAGAAATGATTCCATCAGCCATCTCTAGCTCTTCTGCTTGTTTTAATACACATTATCTTAGTATTTAATTGAAGATATTGAATTTGTACCACTTGGGAATGGATCACTGCAAAACTCCAGCCCTGTAATTTGCAAAGTCATCAAATGCTTAAGTATTAGCCTTATTTATTCATCAGAGAAAATTCCATTTCCATATGATTGATATTTGCATTGTCTAGCGATGACCAAACCTGTGTCAAACTTTTAATTAAATTCAGTGTTTTGAATTTTCTGAAGTACAAACAAGAGGAGAAAGAATAAGAATAAAGAATGTATAGATCCTGAACATTTCTAAATTCCATTTCTGTCTGAGTCAATTTGAAGAATTCAGTGGGATGGGGGACAGTGCACACTACCACAATTAAAATGGGTTTCACCTGGACCTCTTCTGACACAGGGTAGGTCACAAAGCTAGGCTTCCTTTTGCAATCTTTACAGAGATTGTCAAAGAGAATCACTCATAGTCCAAGCCTGGCTTGCAAAATTAGGCTAATCTGCATATTTGGCACATTATCAGTTTCAGATATTAATAAGTTAACTTTGGGTGCCTGATAGAGCTTTGGACTTCATTGCAATCATATATAGAGCTCAAGTGACATTTTCATGGTTTAAGAATAAATTTCTAATTTACATCAAAGAGCTGTTTGTGAGCTGTCTCTTTTTAAAATCAGTTGAATATTCATATTTTTAGTTTAATTCCATAAAAAATACAAATCAGTCCTGGAAGTGGGTTCTGTAAAATCATGAGCACAAAATCTCAGACCTACATCACTCTAAAATGAAAACAGGGTGAATATAAAACTGCACACACAAAGAGTTTACAGTGAGTCTTAAGTGTGTCCCACCCTGTGCTTGACGTTGTACTGGACATATGTGATTTCAGTCCCTGGAAATCTTTAGGTTTAAATAAGATTATGGCACTTTTATGTTTGATTTCATTTCATTTTTAGATTTCTATTTTTAGGATTTCAGGAAGCCCTGAGAGATGAAGGTGACTTGGGAAAACACAAAATCAGTGTTTATTATTAGTCTAAAAGCTCTAATCTTTTAGTTTTCCTATTTATATTATTCTAGAATGAGAAACTGCCTAGGCGACTGGATGTAGCTATTGCCAGCTAGGCCCACTATCCTTCACCTCCCACGTCCATCTGACTTAAAACAGGATGTAAAACATAGTTGTGTCCTCTGCTCCCCCTCATCACCCCAACCCACTGGGCACTGGGCCACTCTTGCCCTTAGTCTAACCTGAGACGAAGTGGCCAATGGGTCCCCACTCTGTTCCAGAATTTCAGTGCCACAGTGACCAGAACGGAAATACTGGGCTCCTTTCCCATTCTGCCCTGTACACATATTTGCACACACTGTCCCTCAAACACACATACTCATGCATGCATGCTCACCCAGTTCACACACATGCACTCACACATACCCGCAAACACATGTGTGTGCTCACATCCCACCCTCCTGCAGGGCTCTGGAAGCATAAGCTTCTTGATCCAACTTCAAGTCATCTACTTAATATGACCTCAGTTAGGCAGGTAAGCTAAGCACACAGAAGCTCAGTTTACTCATCTCCATAATGGACTTTTTGCAAGGGCTAGAGAGGTTAATATGCATAAAATGCTTAGCACTGTACCTAGCACATGGTAACTGCACAACAGATGGTAACTGTTATTAGCAGCTCTCTAATCATACCTGAGCCTTAGTTGAGGCTTGTCACTGGCCCCCAATCAATGGGCCTTGGTTCTATAACTGGGTTTCTACTTCCAATCTCAAGTTATTTTTCCTCTTCAAGTATATGCTTGGTTCTCCAACTCCTTGATAAGACCCAGGGCCTACCCTTTTTTGGCAGTCTCTGCCTTTTGGATATGATTCTCATGTTATCTGCCTGACAACTTGTTAATGTCACCTGCTGCCTCTACTGGCAGCCTGTGATGCTGGGACAGCTTCACCAGCACCCATCACCCTCATACAAGAAGGTGAATTCCTCTGCCTGACCGTCTCACCTCTCTGGGATCATCCATGAGCCACCGAGTTCTGAGACACAACACCTGTCCTTGATGGTGCAGGCAAAACAGAACTTACCATTTTTAAGCTTTGTTCTTATTTACTAATAAGAATCTAGAGGATGCAGATAAGCATAAAAACTTACCAATTGCAATAAACCTCATTGTATTCAGAGTTTTAAGAATGGGGTACTCATGAATATTCCTTTTTCAGAGCGATTCCATGCAAGCTAACTGTCAGTTTCTAATTTCATAAGAATTATAATTCATAAAACATGAAATTAAATCTAAAACTCTATTAAATACAATTTATCCATTTTTAATTACTTAAGAGGTGCTTTGTGATCTTAAAGTGACCATTACTTATTATCATTAACTTATAGATGTAAAATAGTTAGCTTGATTGAGCCTAATCTGTACAAATTAGAGGGTGTACCAGGTGTTTCTCCACGTGGTTTTTAGGCCACCTGCTTCAGAATCAGTCTGGCCTCACTTCAGATTCATTAGGTCTGAGCTTAATGCTTACATAAAGCATTAAGATAATTGGGAGTCTATTGGCTATTTCAATAAGTCCCTAAAATAATATTTAAACAGTATTTATTGCATGATTAATCATCAATGTGGAATGAGAGATACCAGGGAAACACATGCACACATACACACAGCACATCGTGGTTTTTGTTTTGCCTCGCCATTCTAACCTCAGGATCTGCTGGTCCAGATATGTTTTTAAGCCACTTCACCATCATTACTCATTAGTCAAATAGAGCAAGGGATACCTGCATGAGTTCTTTAGAAGAAAACACAAATTAATTGAACTGATAATCTGAGGGATTAAGAAAAGGATGAATGAAGGATGAAGCTGAAGTTTTCAAGCTGAGCTTAAACACTGTGACATGTATTTATAAGTGTGACCTAAAAAGCTAGGGAAGAATATAGTTCATGAGTATTATGAATCTGTAACATATTCTCTCACAATAGTTACACAAAATGTATAAGTTGGGCAGCTGGAAATATAAATAGGAGGGTCAACACATTTGAAGAATATGAACTTCATCTTAGAACCTTAAAATTTGATGTATTCAATCCTTCCCCATTGAAAATTCCAGCTGTCTACCTTTGTCTCTTTCTCACACGGTTCCAACTTCCTTTTCTACTAAAACGGTAGCATTAATGTCATGACAACCAGCTGAGGGTTACCAAGTGTAGGGAAAGAAATTCATGATGGATTTCACCATTGCTCCCAGGATAGCTCCAGCCTGGAACCCAGCAGACTCACCATCAGGACAAGGAATGTGGCTTTCTGATTTAAAGATGAGAGCAACTAAATTTAGCTACACTTCTGTATTGCATTGACCTCTGTGACATCATGATAAAACAAGTATGGAACTTCTGCACATGTAGAAGGCTCATAGTTATTTTTGTGGCATAAAAGATTGGGCATGTAGCCATACCCAGAGTGGTGGCTGCAATGGCTGGGGAACTAAACACACCTTTTAAAAATATATATTTATTTTTAGAGATGTTGCCCAGACTGGTCTTGAAATCCTGGCCTCAAGTGATCATCCCCTCCTTGGCCTCCTGAGTAGCTGGCATAATAGGTGCAATCAACCCTTTAAAAAGAACCTTTAATGCAAATAAAATAATTTTCATTGTTTTCAAGTTGTCCGCCCTGTGGATTTGTGGACAGTTTCTGACACACACACAAAAATGTCAATGTTAGAGTATTAGGATTCTCTAGAGAAATAGAACCAATACAGATAAGAAAAAGAGAGGTGAGGGGGAGGAGAGAGAGACAGAGAAAAGAGGGAGAGAAGAGAGAGAGAGAAAAGAGGGAGAGGAGAGAGAAAAGAGGGAGAGAAGAGAGAGAGAGAAAGAAAGATGTCGTAAGGGAAATGACTGCAATTCAGTCAGGAGGTCCGCTTGGCTCCCTGCTTATATACTGTGTATGTCTCTGCCATCCTGGAATACATTCTGGGGGTGGACATTTTACATGGCCTGCCGTTACAAACCGCAGCTGGGGAATTCAGACTCTGAGTGCCTGTGGTGAAGCTGGCGCTGCTTGGACATATGCATCACCAGCCTCAGGTCCCGCACAACCCTGACCATTTGCCGGCTGGGCATGTGGAGATAACCGAGACAATTAAAAAGCTGCATGAAGTGCAGATAGTGCATGGCACCCACAGCCCCTACAATTCTCCAATGTGGACAGTTAGAAAGCCTGATGGAACTTGGTGGTTGATGGTTGACTATCAGGAACTGAATAAAGTAACACTCCCTTTGTATGCAGCTGCACTGTCAATCATGGATTTGATAGATCATTGACAAAATTCAGGCATATCCCCAGCCCACCATGGTGAAGGAGCTGCAAACTTTTGTGGGCCTCTTGGGATATCGGTGGGCATTTGTGCCCCCATTTAGCGCAAATGATAAAACCATTATATCGGTTAACAAAGAAGGGAGCTACCTGGGATTGGGATGATGCAGCTGAGACCACCTTCCAGGCAGCAAAGCGGGCTATTCAGCAGACACAAGCCCTATGGGTAGTTGACCAGGGGTGCCCGTTTGAGCAGGATATGCATCTGACCACAGATGGTTTCAGCTGGGGCCTGTGGAAGTGCACAGAGCACTTGAGAATGCCAGGAGGCTTTTGGTCCTGAATATGGAAGGGAGCTGAGTTTTGGTATTCCTTGACAGAAAAACAGCTAGCAGCTGTAAATGCTGCCTTTCAGCCTTGTGAGAGTGTGACAGGATGGGCTATAGTCGTCATGCAAATGACTTACCCAATAGCGGGATGGGTGTATTCATGGGTATTGACCCCTGGACTGGGATGGCACAGACATCTACTTTAGCAAAGTGGGGTGCCTACTTAGACCAGTGGAGTAATCTGAGTACAAGCCCCTTAGCAGAGCTGAAAGAGGTTTTGGGACCTGTAGTCCTAATGCAAGAGAAGGCCACGGGGTCTGATGCACCCCTAGACTCCAAACCATCACTGTTTAAGGAATGGGGTCCCCTCATTCCCAGAGAGGCCTGGTACACAGATGGCTGTAGCTGAGGTACTACTGCTGCCTGGACTGTTGTTGGTTGGTACTGACACCATATGGTTTGATACTGGGTGTGGGCAAAGCAGCCAATGGGCTGAACTTAAAGCAGTATGGATGGCGATCACAAAGGAAGTGACACCTATGGTAATCTGTACCGATAGCTGGACGGTCTATCAAGGCTTAACCTCTTGGTTAACTACTTGGAAAATACAGAATTGGCTAGTTGGCCACCAACCCATTTGGGGCCAAGCCATGTGGCAAGACCTCTAAGAAATGGGTCATCAGAAAGATGTAACTATTTATCATGTGTGAGGCCATATGTCTTTGGCTACCCCTGGTAATGATGAGGCAGATGCATTTGGGTCTGTCCCTGCCCACAGAAGATATTTGCAAGGCTGGTCAGAAATGCCCAGCACGTGCTCAGGCATACCCCAAATGGAGGCAGCTGCCCAGTGTTACACAACAAGTGATGATACGGCGAGTCCCCTTGACCAGGTGGCAAGTAGACTACATCAGGCCACTGCCAAAGTTGCAAGGGAATATACGTGTGCTAACAGCTGTGGACATGGCCACAGGCCTGTTGTTCACCTACGCTTGCAGAGTGGCCAAACAATAGCACACCATCTGGACCTTGCAACACTTATGTACCCTGGATGGTTGCCCTCTGGTCGTTGAGAGTGATAGGGAAACACATTTCACTGGATAACAGGTACAATAATGGGCACAACAAATGGACATAAAGTGGGGATTCCATGTGCTATACAACCTGCAAGCTGCAGGTATAATTGAGCGATATAACAGGCTACTGAAGAATGGGTTACACTTGCATGTCACACCCCCATCTTTGCGGGGCTGGAGTTCAAGTCTCGACCTGGTGCTCCAAACCTTGAATGAATGGCCATGGAAAGGCAGCCTGGCCCCAGTGAAGGCTTTGTTACAGTGGGCCACCACCCCTATTCAGTTGCAGATACACAACAAGGATGACCTCCTTTGACCAGGTATGAGGACAAATGGTAACATGTTGTTGCCTGCCCCAGTGCCCCTGAAGGCAGGGGAACAGAAAACCTGGCTGTGGCCATGGACCTTCCAGGCCCCTGACTGCCGGTGGTTGGCCATCATAGCTCCCTGGAGGGAGGGCCTACAGTATGACTTGCATGTAACTTCTTGGGTGTTCAATACATGGCCCCTGCAGTTGACTGTTTGTAGGGGAATGACCAGGGAAGGAATCCTCCTTTAGGGAACATATGTACTGTCTATGTGGCCTATTATGAGCTCCCCCATGACTTTGGCATGGATACAGGACCCAAAGGAACCATGGGGAGCTGAGAAGTTATGGTACCATCACTGAGGGCAGAAGCCCTTGGCAGCTGCATTGTTATCTAGGGATAAAAGGTTAGCTTGTATTTTGCCTGAGGGGTGTGATTTACTCCTGTTAGTACCTATGCCTGCTCTGTCATTTTGACCAGAGGTTAACATACTCCAATTGCATTGTGGACTGGGCCCACACCTACACTAGGTGACCAATGTTTCCAACTATTGGATATGCACTGCCCTTCCAGCAGGGCTGCGGATGGCTTGCCTTGGCACATACATCTTGTGTCTGCAGAGAACTGGACATGGTTGGAGACTTGGGGGTCCCATGGCTGATGCCTGGAATGCAACATGGCAGCTTTGGACAAAGGATGCTGCAAGACACATGGTGTGCCCAACCCCTGGCTGGCCCATAGCGTTTATGATGGGGCTGGCTAGTGGGGAACATGTAGTACTCCCAGCCCAAGTGCCACAGTGCATAGAGCAACATTGGGGTAACACCACTGTGGGATGGGTACCTGTCACAGCCTTTGCAAACATAACACATGTCACTACCAAGGTCAGGCCCTGATTGACTTTGTGCCCCCTGGGAGTCTATGGGTCTGTGGGGACACAGAGTAGATTTACCTACCCGCGAACTGCACTGGACATTGTACCTGGGGGTGGCCTTATGTGCCTGCCACTGTTCTCCCCATGTTGCCCTGATGCCCGCATAACTGGGAGATGCTACACTCTTAGTTTGTGTGAGTGCAATGAGCCCCCAGCAGTTCTACCCTTTGGCAGTGACTATCCCTGGAGTGGGTGTCATAATTGTAGAAGCACAGGTTACTGCTCGAGCAGAGCACACCACTCGGGCTCTGAATTACACCCAAGTGGCCCTTCTCTTGTTAACAGATGAGGCTGATCAGATCAGAAAGGTGGTGTTGCAAAACTGGATGGCCATAGACATAGTAACTGCTGCCCAAGGAGGCATCTATGCCCTTTAAGGAACACAATGTTGTACCTTTATCCCTGACAATCAGCAGAACACAACAGCAGCCCTGCAAGGGGTCTCATGGGAGATTAAGGTAGTCGAGAGCATTACTGACAACCCCCTGCAGAGATAGTGGGCATCCCTGGGCCCTGGTCTATGCTGGGCCCTAATAGTCATAAGTAGCATAGCTGAGATCCTAGTAGTGAGGTATTGCTCTCTGTATTGTTGTTGTGGGTTATGGATTCAGGGCTCTGCCCTATGGGCACATGTCCCTACCCAGAAGATGCCCTCAGCCTAGGGGTTGGAGTGTAAGGGAAATAGCTGCACTTCAGTCAGGAGTAGGCAGAGGTGGCCTTCCAGCACAGCATGACTCAGCAGGTTTGGAGCTCAGGTGCACAACCCCACACATTATATGAGGCACATTAGGTAACTACTCATGTGAGCTCGTGCTTGGCTCGGAACCACTATTGTCTGTGAAAGGTATAATTACACTGCTAACACTGTACATACAGCTCATGCCCAGGCTTGCTACCAGAGAGAGAATAAAGCCATGTCAAAACTGCCTATGATTCCTCTAGTGTTTTTCCAGCTATCTGCCACCCACTCCCCGTGGACCTCAGCTTGGGCTAGAACCTGACACTTGATGTGAAAGATGCATTATAAGGAATTGGCTCACATGATTATGAATGTTGCCAAGTCCAAAGATCTGCAGTGGGTAAGCTGGAATCCCAAGAGAGCTGGTATTTCAGTTGCAGTCTGAAGGAAGGAAAAAAACCAATAACTTCCAGCTAATGAAAGTCACTCAGGAGGAAATTCCCTCTTATTCAGGGGAGGATCTGCCTTTTTGTTCTATGCAGGCCTTCAACTGATTGGATGAAGCCCATTCACATTAGAGATGACAATCTGCCTTACTCAGTCTATTCAATGTTAAACTCATCCACAAACACCCTCACAGACATACCTAGAATAATGTTTGACCAGCTATCTAGACACCCCACAGCTCTGTCAAATTGACACATAAAATTAACCATCCCAGCTAGCCTTCCCATTTGATAAGTGACTTCTGGTAACTAAGCTCTTCAGTCTAGTCAATGCCATGGCTGCAATTCTTCCATTGCAAGCCCTCTGTAAATCTGATTTGTGATTAGAATTGGTGTAGCAAACTGTCAGCATCAATATTGTAATTAGGAAGAGCTAAGAGCCCAGGACTTAGAGACATGCAAAAGTCTATGGCAATGGAGAGACAAGCAGAAGAGGGAGTCCAGGACCCCAGAAAAAGAGGAAATTATTGCAGTATCATCAACCCCTCAAACAAGCCAAATTACACAAAGGGAAGATAATCTTTTCAAGTTCTATAGCCACAATTACATTGACAGAGACAAGATTAAGAATTACAGCCGGGCGCGGTGGCTCACGCCTGTAATCCCAGCACTTTGGGAGGCCGAGGCGGGCGGATCACGAGGTCAGGAGATCGAGACCACGGTGAAACCCCGTCTCTACTAAAAATACAAAAAATTAGCCGGGCGCAGTGGCGGGCGCCTGTGGTCCCAGCTACTCGGGAGGCTGAGGCAGGAGAATGGCGTGAACCCGGAAGGCGGAGCTTGCAGTGAGCGGAGATCGCGCCACAGCACTCCCGCCTGGGCGACAGAACGAGACTCCGTCTCAAAAAAAAAAAAAAAAAAAAAAAAAAAAAAAAAAAAAGAATTACAAATTGCTGTAGTATAGAAATATACTGGTGAAGATCCAAACACAAGAAACTTGGCATCCTCTTACAGCCTTCATTGAGCATTTGCTTAATGTAAAAATTATATTGTTGCTTTAAGGAGATTTGTAAGTTACTCACACACCATCATTTTATTTCTCAAGGAATTTCTTTTCTCCAATTCAACAGGACCAATAGCACTGGTATGCCTATATCAGTTGTTAAATGATCTGAATATCATGTTTGGCATGTGGAAAAACACTAGTGGGGACATTATCTATTCATTTATAATGTGTCATGCAAATAATGCCCCATACCAACCACACCGAGAGGTTGTGACTTTTATACTCCCTTTTAAAGAGGAAGGTATGCAATGATTCTCATTTTTGTTATATTATGTGTCTTTAAAATGTATATAAGAAGTGACTTTTTGAAAGTCAAAGAACTAACTTTATGTGTCACTGTGTGCAGACACGTGTGTATGGGGAGGTATTCCCATGAAACAAAAACATTATAAAGTCTTAATAAAAGTTTGCCTTTTGAAAATAATCTTCAATGCATATTTCCAGAATTTGACTTCTTCCTAAATTTTAATTTTGTTCCTTTTCTTCATAATTAATATAGTCAGCCAGTTTAATTCATTAAGCATCTAATTGAGGCTAAAAAGTCACTGCTTCAGCTCATCTAATGATGATCTCAATTAAGTTGAGTTTATAACAAATGTGCTGTTAAGTGCTGAGGCTAGCACTTTTATAGCTCCTATTATACAATCTACTTATTTTTCTAAAATTTTAAGAGCAAAAGTCATTGAAATATCCAGATAATTATACAAACACTGCTAAATAAATATACCCAGCCATGTGATAGCTCAAAATGCTTATCAGCTGAGGACCAAAGTTTGAATTTTGACAAAAGGCAGTAGAGTATCAATATACAGTGTGTGAAAGGGCAGGTGTTCAAAAGTCTATATTAGGGAGTGATACAGTTTGGATTTGTACCCTGCCCAAATCTCATGTTGAAATGTAATCCCCGATGTTGGAGGTACAGCCTGGTGGAAGGTGACTGGATCATGGGTAAAGACACATTTCTCATGAATGGTTTATCATCATCCCCTTGGTACTGTTCTCATCATAGTGAGTGAGTTCTCAGGAGACCTAGCTGTTTAAAAGCTTGTGGCACCTTCTCTGTCTTGGTCTTTCTCTTGCCATGTGACATGAAAGCTCCCGCTTCGCCTTCTGCCAGGATTGTAAGCTTCCAGAGACTTCTCCAGAAGCAGATGCTGCCATGATTCCTGTACAGCCTGCAGAACTATGAACCAATTAAACCTCTTTTCTTTATAAGCTTCCCAGTCTCAGGTATTTCTTTATAGCAGTGCAGGAATAGCCTAATACAGGGAGGAACGAGAGAACCACTCCACCATCACATTCTTACTTCAACAGATCAGTCTATAAGGTATTTATCTCTGCTGTTGGGGGAGTATTCAGAGGACTTTGGGTATTTTCATTTCAATAGTGAAAACCTCCCCCAGTCATTATTCTGAATGACAAGCACAGACTTTAAGCATAAGCTCAAAGCTGTACATATAATATAGTTATCAAAACTGTATTTATTAAAACAGAGAATAGAAAGGCTTGACATAGTATGGAATCCTAACAAATAATTTTTTTAAAGCACCTGTTATTTGATGACTTACTTGTTAATCTATAGATTCTCAGGTCAGGAGCTTTGGGCCCACTAAGTGGGTATCAAGGGTACCCACTCAGTGAAACATTCCAAAAACACAAGGATGTGATTTGAGAATGTAAATTCTAAAGTTTGCTTTACTTTGCTGTTTTTAGTCACAATATCTAATTGATTTAGATTGATTTATGAACTTCAAGTAACACCATAGTCTATTTTATTTATGTTTGTCAAAAGAAATCATAAATTAAGAACTGTTGAGAGAGACACTGCACTACTCCCATGTAAATCTCTGTTGTCAAACAGTGATCCCTAGGGGGTGCTACTGAGTTCCCTAAAAATGGTGTAGGCAAATTTTATACAATACACTGCATAAAAGCAAGTATAACATGTAATTTGTCAAATAATCTACTTTAAAGCTGTCTGTCCCCAAGCTTAAGTAGAGAGATTTTTAAATGTACCAGGAATCCTCCCTGGGCTTTGGAATGAGGACAGAATTTCAGAAGGCACAAAGATGAGAAGAAATCATTATCAAATTGATAGGTGCTTTGATTATTTTTAGACTAATGGTGTACAGTTGTGGTGCACTCTCAACAAAGTGCGCATGAGCTGGGAGTGGGTTGAGAGTTGGGGAGACTCTATTTTGTAAATGCTGAAACATTAACCCAGGGACATAAATGTTTATGTCTCTTTCTCTTTACCTGCCAGTCCCTCTTGATTTTTGTCTTATTTTTAAAGTTCTTTTCCTACTTGTGATACCATCCATTTTTAACCACTACATCTTACACCCATTGTCCTTTCTCTCTATTAACATAGCACTCTAGCTCTGTGTTCCTCCATACTTAAGATCTCCCTGGAGAGACACAAAGGGAGTCCATTATCCCTTTTTTTTTTCTGGTCACATTTTGGCAGAGAAGTGTTCTCCACTTGCATGGTCCTGGCAGTGCCCCTTTAATTTTCACATAGCTGGAGGAGGCACACATAAGCCATAGACGAACAATACAGTCCTGACCCTAACCTCATTATGCACCGCACTTGAAGCTGCATTAGCAAAAACAGATGGTCTGGCTGCAAAGCCACAGATGCCAATCAGATACACTGTCGGCAAGCACGTTCTCTAATCAGGCCCCTTTCAAATGGCATCTGCTTCTCCCTCCCTGTAGGTATACATAATGATTTGAAACCTTCTGTACATTTCCTGTTGCACTTGGGCTCTAACAACCTGTTCACAGAACAGAGTTGCCAGTCTAAGATGGGCCAGCTCACCCGGGCTGAGACAGAGAGGCAAACAGCAGGGCTTCAGCCCAGAGTCTTGTGAGGGGCGCAGGAATATTTGGCCTCTTCCTGTGTGGAAGGAGCTGGAGTCTGAGAGGAGATAGAGTGAAACAAAAATGGGCAGTGTCAATAATTTACGTAATATAGTTGCTGTCTCGGCATCCATTTTTAGGCTTGACATAAGTTATTTGAAACCGAGTAGTACCTCGTCACCTTTGGCCTAGTTAAAACTTCCTCTCCCTAAGAAGTTGTTTTTTTGTTTTTGTTTTGATACGGAGTCACTCTGTCGCCCTGGCTGGAGTGCAGTGGCGCAATCTCGGCTCACTGCAACCTCTGCCTCCCGGGTTCAAGCGATTCTCCTGCCTCAACCTCCGGAGTAGCTGAGATTACAGGCTTGAGCCACCCCACCTAGCCAGCTATTTTCAATATAAGCTCATTTGTTTCTTATCCCACCGACCCAAACCCAGCACGCCCAATAGCTGCTGGCCAGGATCAAATCTGATGGTTAACACCAGAGCCACAACACAGATTTTTGTGTTTTTGTTAAACTAGCCAATCCACAACTACCCCGCCTCGTCCTTCCCCAGCAAAGCCTAAGGGATAATGCCCTTGGGTCTTAATAAAGCATAGTCCCACAGGTCCTCTGGCTCTCTCTGGCTCCCACCCTGCTGGCTGAGACGCCTGCTGATTCCGGACTTCCCAGCTTCCCGTCAGCACCCCTAGCCTCTCTGGGATCTGTAAGTGATCCAAACTTCTTTTTTTGTTTCGTGCATCTTGGCTTCACCTCCT
The DNA here is from genome assembly GCF_000001405.40 of Homo sapiens. Taxonomy (NCBI): domain Eukaryota; kingdom Metazoa; phylum Chordata; class Mammalia; order Primates; family Hominidae; genus Homo; species Homo sapiens. The sequence continues at coordinate 103,536,356 of NC_000011.10, read as the reverse complement.
CGGTGCACCTCACTTGACCGTCATACCCAAAGCTAATTTTTTTCCTGGCCAGGACTCTGCTAGAGAGTGGTTACCTTGTCTTATGGCAACTCCCAACAGAGAGGCCTCAAGACTAAATTAGAAAGAGAGCTTAACAATAAAATTACAACAGACAGCTACAGAGATTATTGTGAGAAGCATGCTCTATGTTGAACCTCACCCCAGTTCCCATCTTTATTTCATGACAGTAGCATAAAGTGCTTGATTGGGACAAACACTACCAGATATTAAACATATTATTAAGTAACCATAATTTA